>NC_000004.12:45933257-46242682 GCF_000001405.40 Homo sapiens | reverse complement strand
TCATTCTTATAATTTTGTTAATCTGATCAATTAATTAAAATTGCTGTCTTACTCTTTGTACCCTACAGACCTGTAATTAATTATAAACTGTGAATGTGTATATAGCTGTAGATAATAGATACAGATATAATTGTCATCTTCAGCCCATGCTTTTAATCAAATATTTTTAAAAGTTACTTATTTAATATTTAAAAGTTACTTATAGTAATATGTTTTGCTAATATTTGCCTGAGTAAAATATGATCAATTTAAATAATAAGGTAAGAATTATTAAGGGCTTGGAATTTACATTTCAGCAAACTTATAGCCAGCAAAATGCTAAACACATCAACAGCATTCAACTAGTTTCCCTGATATTAGTCAATTTATAGTCCAGGCTTTCTCAAAATCATCTAAATGAAAGCATGCTATCAATGGAAGCATTCATGTCACCTTTTCTCTGAAAGATTCAAAAGAGAGAAACTGAGGTCTCAAAGGCTTTTCTATGGTGTTTTGTCTGATCTTTAAAATGTAAAACCAAGGAAACTGCTGGTAGAACAGTAAGGCTCAAATCTTAACAGTATACTGTAAAGATGGTTGCATTGCCAATTTGAAAAGATTTTATATTCTCAAACCCATCATCAATATTAACTCTGGGAAGTTTTCAGATGTAGATAGGAAAATAGAAAAATGGAAAACAGATATAAGTGGTAAAAATACTATGGAATCCCTCAGATATCCCTTGAGAGACTGTGGAATTATATCCAATTTTTTTGGTTTAGAAGATCAGGGATATGGGTATGCCTAATTTTTTTTAAATTTCCTCCATCAATTAACAGTTAATATATTAGAAATTAATTGAGCTTCATTTACCTGGAAAATTCACTCCTGTAGAACACCTTATTCTCTTAATAGCTTGAAATTTTCTAACATTTCTTCTATTAGTCCATAACAATTTCTAAATCACTTCTTAAGATGTAGAATAATCAGAAGATGTAAACTAATAATTGAAGTATATCAGTTTTAAACTGTCCATGGACTTACTGTTTGAAACTAGTTTTATTTCCAAAGTAAAATACACATGAAATTCCAGATAAATGGAAAAATGAAACAGTTTTAAAGGTCATCATGCCTACCACTTAAATCAGGCTGTCTACAACCACAGTTTATAGAACGTTTTCATAAGAAGTATATACAGAGGTCACCCTAAGCTGTATCTGAAAATCCCATCCATTCCGGAAAACTGAATCTGTACACCAGGAGAAAAATATCTGTAATTCTATAATTCTTGTTTTGTTAACTTTTCCTCATACTGATCATTGCATTTATCTTTCAGTATTCTGGTATACTATGTAGTAATTGTATTGAACTTCTTGACACTTGTGAGTAACTTTAGGAAGTGTTGAAGGTAGAGTATCTTACTGAAAATCATGTTTTGCTTTCTGAAAGTCGATATATTAGACATGACTTGACTAAGAGCGTGAACAACTTCAAACTAGTTGAAACACACAAGGAATTTAGGAATTTAGGGAAAGGATTGAAGATGTCTCATTCAATTGCAATTAAGCATTAAAACTCCTGACCTCAGGCTGGGAGCAATGGCTCAGGCCTGTAATCTCAGCACTTTGGGAAGCCAAGGTGGATCACTGGAGGCCAGAAGTTTGAGACAAGCCTGAGCAACATACTGAGACCCTATCTCTAAAAATTTTTTTTTTTTAATTAGCTGGATGTGGTGGCAGGCACCTGTAGTCCCAGCTACTTGAGAGGCTGAAGCGGGAGGATACCTGGAGGCCAGGTGTTTGAGGCTGAAGTGAGCTGTGATCCTGGCACTGTTACTCCCAAGTGGGGGATACAAGTAAGACCCTGTCCCTAAGAAACAAAAACAAAGAAAAACGAAAAAACTTATTGAACTCAGAAATGTTAGGAATTAGGCTATGGACTCTATAAATGTGATGAAATAACGAGACTCATTGCCTGTGTAGCTCAGTTCAAATTCTGGAGTAAAATAATCTGATAGGGACAATTTGGTCCAATCAGCTGTATTATCTTGAGTCAAAAATACAAGCACAATTGCTGGGTCACCCCTCATCAGTGGAGAGAGCGAAGGTTCTGCATACACTTCAAAACATTGGCTGTTACAATCAAATAATGTTTTTCTACTTTGAAAAATTACAAAAATGAAAATGAAATTTAAAAATATGTAAAAAATGAGGAAAAAAAAGACACTCTCAATACTGATACAATTATATTTTCTGATAGACACAAATCAACTACATAAGGATGTTATAATTTATTATTGAATTGTCAGTATTTATGTGTCCACGTAATGTACGTATGTGTGTATTTATTTATTTATTTTGATACGGAATCTCACCCTGTCTCCAGGCTGGAGTGCAGTACTGTGATCTCGTCTCACTGCAACTTTTGCCTCCCAGGTTCAATGGATTCTTCTGCCTCAGCCTCCCGATAACTGGGACTACAGGTGCATGCCACCATGCCTGGCTATTTTTTTTTTTTTTTGTATTTTTAGTAGAGACGGGGTTTCACCATGTTGGCAGGTGGGTCTCGAATTCCTGTCCTCAAGTGATCTTCCTGCCTTGGCCTCCCAAAGTGCTGGGATTACAGGCGTAAACCACTGTGCCTGGCTTGCATAATGTTTTTAACATAAAAATAAATACAAACTATCATGAAGATCAAAGAACACATGTACATTAAAGATTTTGTTATATACATTTCTATTATCAAAGTTACTTGCGCTTAGCTTACACTGGGATGACAGGCCATTTACATTCACAGTTGCCTCTAACAGCAGTCTCTCAAGAAGTATGCAGGATACTGGCAGCCCAGGCAAGTGGAGTCATCATGATTTGGACATGGGGTCCTACAGGGCAAAATTTGAACTGTGTTGCCTGTTCTATAGAATCCAGGAATGGAAAGAGACTAAAATGTAACGTCAGACAGAAATTCTCTGGCAAGGAATATTCCAGGAAAATTACTATCGACATGTCCAAATGACAGGAGCATGGACAAAACAAGAAAGTTAGAAGAAGAAACAGAACTGGAATGGAATTGAAACGTGTTATAAATAAGGAAAACAGAGTCTTTATTGAGGACTAAGAATAAAACTAGAATATCTACCTGTCTTCATTACCCACTATCCTCATAATACATGCTGGGTAACACTAACATCAGGTAAAGTAAGTAAGATGAAGCAAAAGTTATGAGAAGTGAATGTAATTTTATTTGAGTCATAAAGTAGCAGAAAATAGTGACCAAATAATTAGCCAAGATTTGAGTAAACAGAAGTAGCAATCAAGATTTGATGATTTAGTTTCATATGTTTTCAAAAACTAGAGTTTCCCATTTACCCTCACTATTAATTTATACCACTAATGTATATTCTGCATATTACTGTTTATTCAGAGGTTACAATTAGGATACATTTTATGCCATATGAGAAATTTTCATACAGGAATAGGGATCACATGTAATATAACATAAACTTAACTGATTGGCATATTTCACAATAGTACAGTACTACTTCTTGAAAGCATGATTTTGTAATTTCACTTTCTGCTAAGTGAATAAATTAGTTTTATTCATTATTAATGGCTTGTTATTAAGCATACAATATTACAATTTCCATAGTATCAAACTTCATCTCTTAGTAGTTTAAAATTGACGAAGCTACAGCTAATATTTTAATAACAGTAGGACTAAAACCTTAGATAATAATTTATGTGTTTTGAGCACACCATAGACAAACTATTATAAAACTTTAAAAACTTGTGCTTGATTGCATATTCATTGATCTCCTGTGTGGCTCACACTTACTTAATAATTGCTTTCTCCATTCGTCTATAATATTCTTAATGGGAGTGATTATGCCTATTGCTTTCAAATATTTTGATTGAAATTTACTGGGATTCTTTGAATCTGGGCATTGGTTTACCAGTTTTGGAACGTTCTTAGTCATTATCTCTTTAAATAACATTACTTCTCCCTACTCTCTCTCCCCTATTTTTCTGTAATACCAATTACATATATTTAGATCTTCTTACTCAGCCCTCCGTGTCTTTTAACCTCTCTTTTATGTTCCCATGTCTTTGGTCTGTATTCCGGATAATTTCCTTTAAGCACTGGCTAAAAAACTGGCCTAAAATCATATTTTTAATTTTGAATTTTTAATCCAGAGTCTGACCATTAAATTGCACACTGGTTCTGTAATTCTCTTGCTTTGAAAAAAATTGATTTGAATATAAAATATTTATATAATTAATAAGACTCTGTGAAAATCATTCTTTAGCCCATGGGGAACCTCCAGGCTAATATTCAGTGATCTGAAATTCTTACAATTGACTTGAGCCAACTCATAAAAGATGAACACCCTTCATATTCCTGTACATTTTCCTCTGAAATTTTGAGGGACAGTTCCAATTACTTAAAAACTAAAATGTAAATTAATTTATGTAAATTTGACCCTTTTGAATAAGCATCCTATCCAAGCACTGAATTTTAAAATCATTTCATAAGGCTACTATCAATAAGATTTCTATAAACATTGTGCCCATTTATGAAATGGCACATTTATGAAATGGGCACAATGTTTATAGCGATCCTACTGATAATAGTCTTAATTAAATGCTGTGTAAGACAAACTGATCAGATATAATTTCAGCTTCTGTCTGTCAGGTCGGGTAAGCCATTAAAGTGTCATGTATTCAAAGAAAAATTCACCAGAAGCCAAGATGGTATATAAACCAGGGATAGATGTTTTAGGAAACACTTCTCCATGAGTGTCACATTTTTGCACATCTTGTCAGCAAAAGGACTGGCTGCCTTTGTTCCAAGCTTACTTTTCAAATGTGTTTGTAGAGCTAGCAGCCTTGAGAGAAAAATATAGCAGCAAATTTTGGTCATTTATACTCTAGTATGATAAAGATATTGTGTCTCTCTGTGGCAAAGACCAGGCAAGTTTATTACCTTTCACAAAACTTTCAGGTTCCCTAATCATGATTCTCTCTCATAATGTAATCTATTATGTGTGTAGGTGTCTGCTGAATATACTTTTATTGCCCTACAGGAATTGAGACTTAGACTGTGGGTGGAAACATGATGAAATTCCAGCTATTACTATTACTGTAAGTAATAAGCTCTTTTGTCTCTGACCCAGGAGTTTCATGACTTCTGCCAATATTCAGAACACTGTGTCTGGTTAACTTTTTAGCTTGCATGTGGGGTAAAATCTTGAACTTCACAGTTCTTGACAAGTTACCACCACCACAACAATAATGGTAAAAATAATAATAACAATATTTATGAACAGAAAAGAAAGCACACTATGCCTGCCATCTTTCAAGGCATTTTAAGTATATTAATTTATCTTTACAATAAAACTATTAAGTTAATAGTATTATACAGATGAGGAAATTGAGGTAGATATGTTAATTACTTTGCTAAAGATCAAATGGCTAATATATGATAGAAGTTAGACTCAAACATAGACCACAAATCTCCAGTCTATGACTTCAACCAACTCTGCTTATTCAAGTAACCCTTTTACTATTGCATATCATAGACTATCCATGCTCCATCTTATAATGCTAGTAAAAACATTGCCAACTAAATACTGAACCAAGTCACTTAACTCCAAACTCCCATTTTCTTAAGAAGTGATTACTTTCAAACATTCTTGTTACCAATTACTTTTTCAGTCAGTATTTATATGCACATCAAACAAATTCCACCATATTTTAAGCAATAGTAGACTACTTATAGAATATGAGTTACATACAGATTTATTGAACATTTATAAATATAAGTCTACTTTTAAAAAAAGTCTCTCAAAGATGTGCTGCAAAATATCTACCAAGGGTAATACCTCTTCTGCAGTCAGGAGGCCACAGATGTCAGACTAACATCACTGCCACAATAAATCATCATAACCAAGTAAGTAACTCTATGTTTTGTCAAGATGGACAAGCACACCATGTTAGCCATCATCCAAATGAACAAAATGTATGTCCATGCCCTACCTTTCAAGTACTGTGGAGTTAGAAGTGTGAGAACTCTGTTAAAACTACTGCAGTATGATTTATAGTCCTTTGGGTATATACCAAGTAATGGGTTGGCTGGGTCAAATGGTATTTCTAGTTCTAGATCTCTGAGGAATTGCCACACTGACTTCCACAATGGTTGAACTAGTTTACAGTCTCACCAACAGTGTAAAAGTGTTCCTATTTCTCCACATCCTCTCCAGCACCTGTTGTTTCCTGACGTTTTAATGATTGCCATTCTAACTGGTGTGAGATGGTATCTCATTGTGGTTTTGATTTGCATTTCTCCAATGGCCAGTGATGACAAGCATTTTTTCATGTGTTGTTTGGCTGCATAAATGTCTTCTTTTGAGAAGTGTCTGTTCATGTCCTTCACCCACTTTTTGATGGGGTTGTTTGTTTTTTTCTTGTAAATTTGTTTGAGTTCATTGTAGATTCTGGATATTAGCCCTTTGTCAGATGAGTAGGTTGCGAAAATTTTCTCCCATTTTGTAGGTTGCCTGTTCACTCTGATGGTAGTTTCTTTTGCTGTGCAGAAGCTCTTTAGTTTAATTAGATCCCATTTGTCAATTTTGACACATGCACACGTATGTTTATTGCGGCACTATTCACAATAGCAAAGACTTGGAACCAACCCAAATGTACAACAATGATAGACTGGATTAAGAAAATGTGGCACATATACACCATGGAATACTATGCAGCCATAAAAAATGATGAGCTCATGTCCTTTGTAGGGACATGGGTGAAATTGGAAATCATCATTCTCAGTAAACTATCGCAAGAACAAAAAACCAAACACTGCATGTTCTCACTCATAGGTGGGAATTGAACAATGGGAATACATGGACACAGGAAGGGGAACATCACACTCTGGGGACTGTTGTGGGTTGGGGGGTCGGGGGAGGGATAGCATTGGGAGATATACCTAATGCTAGATGACCAGTTAGTGGGTGCAGCGCACCAGCATGGCACATGTATACATATGTAACAAACCTGCACATTGTGCACATGTACCCTAAAATTAAAGTATAATAATAAAAATAAATAAATAAATTTAAAAAAATACTGCTCATCTAAAAAAAGAAAAAAACACTACTGCAGAAAAACCTCAACTATCCTAAACTATCCTTCAGTAAGATAAATAGCAGAAGCAGGAGATTTTCTTCCTTCTCTTGGTTTCTGCTTTTCAAATCTTGTGTTAGTTTATCTGTTTGGCTGAATCGAAATCAAATCCAGAACTCTAGTTACATGGGAATCTGAAAAATGATATTAAGCTTCTGGGCGCCACAGAAAAGAATCTATATTCAGAATCTGGGGGCATAGGAGCTGAGAACCATTCTAGCAAATTCTTCCTTGTGCATTGATTTTTAACATAGTAAAAATAAGATCTGTTCCAAAGAAACTACACAATTCAAAAAATCTCAATGATTTTCAACAGGTCTTTTTTTTTTAAATTAAGTGGCTATTAAGCAGCAATAAAAAGTGTTTCACTGAGATCTCTACTCATTTCATGATGCCATCCTGATACTCCTAATTTGGGGAGGTAGGTTTGAAGCTACCTTTTCAGGCCATGAATGTAAATTGAAATGAATTAAACAGTGATTAGAGATTATGTATGTCAGGTCCCTGAGGCAGGGACAAGAACATTTACCTGCCATGTTGTGGAAAGACTAGGAAATAAAGAATGATTATAGTAAATGGAATCTGGTGAGAAAATATAATGTATGATAAGAATCAGTACTATTTCAAATTGTTTTTTTCTTTTTCCATCGGCAGTTACATAGATCTAGAAAAAAGATTAGATTTAAAAGTCGGCTAGAGTTTTTAAAAATGTGAATTGTCTATGTACTGAATACAACTGAATCTCTGTAACACTCTTGAAATTGTAGAACTCTTTAGGGTACTAAATGATGAAATGCTTTAAAAATGGTTACTGGGCAGACATGGCCAAAAAATATCCTAAAATTATAGCATTCCTCAAGCTAAAAGACATTGACAGTGAAATGCTGTAGTAGATAAATTTCTGGCACCGTTATATGGTGATTTTGTGGGTAGTGAAGAGAGAAATTAAGGGCATGGTACAATCTGTTCCTCAGAAGATTCATTGTGTAGTGCTCTCATGAGAATGACAGGGGAATAATTGAATGCATTTTGTGAAACAAAATATTGATGAATAAAGAAGGGACAACTCTTGGGCAAGAAACAGAGCCATGAAAGACAGGTAATTTTCAAACTTTAAGTTGAGTTTCTCGGTGAGATATAGGAAAGAATGAATGTGAGGCAACTCTGAAATTATAATTAGAGGGAAATCTATAACAATTACTTTTGCAAACACTTCTAAAATTGACAGTGGGAAAGATTTTTAAACAAATAATTTTCAGGCCTATTGAAAAGATAATGGAGTGTGTAGTTCTGTCTTGGCACAGACCACAGCTCACTCTGTCCAGAAAATTATAGGGCGAGCAATACAGAACACTTGGGCTTCAGTAAGAAGAACACAGCACACTGCCGACTGGGAAGCAAGTTGCACAGGAACAGAAAGTGTGGAAAAGCACCCACATCTTGCCTATTTGCCATTTCATTCAAATATCATTGTAAATGTTTTAAATTATTCTCTCATCTCATTCTCTGTAGGAAAAAAAATAGTTCTGTTTCTGTAATGAGTCCAGCTGTTCATGCAAGTTAAGAATAATGGGAAAAGTGGGCATGCATATTTAAAGCTAACATACAAAGAAGTTATTTATGGTATAACAATTGCAGAAAGAAAGTCAAGAAAAATAGGAGTTGTCTTGCAGAGCTTCTAGCCAAGCAGATCATGACTGCATGTGTGTCTACTTTTTATGGGATTCTAATTAGTATTCTTAGGCTCTCCTAAGAATTACATAGTAAATTCACATATGGCACACTGAACTTCTCAGTTGAAAGGCATTTGACTAATTACATTATTGACTTAATATTATATTTTAGGTCTTGCATTTTTTACATATATTAAAAATTTAGGAACTTAAATATGAACCTCAACCTCTCAAGATACTAGAAATCAAAGAAATAAACTTACTCTCTAGAAGTTAAATCCTAAAGTCAAAAAACAAAGTTTTAAAGTCATATATAAAAGATAAAATATTTTCCAAGTCTGATGGACTAGAATATAAATTGATTACAAATTTTAACATTTCAAAATAGAAAATTTGAATTGGAAGTGTTTTTGGTCAGCCACAGAAATATAAAGTATTTAGTTCCTTAGAAACAGGACAATCAGGCAGGAGAAGGAAATAAAGGGTATTCAATTAGGAAAAGAGGAAGTCAAATTGTCCCTGTTTGCAGATGACATGATTGTATATCTAGAAAACCACATCGTCTCAGCCCAAAATCTCCTTAAGCTGATAGGCAACTTCAGCAAAGTCTCAGGATACAAAATCAATGTGCAAAAATCACAAGCATTCTTACACACCAATAACAGACAAACAGAGACCCAAATCATGAGTGAACTCCATTCACAATTGCTTCAAAGAGAATAAAATACCTAGGAATCCAACTTGCAAGGGATGTGAAGGACCTCTTCAAGGAGAACTACAATCCACTGCTCAATGAAATAAAAGAGGATACAAACAAATGGAAGAACATTCCATGCTCATGGGTAGGAAGAATCAATATCGTGAAAATGGCCATACTGCCCAAGGTAATTTATAGATTCAGTGCCATCCCCATCAAGCTACCAATGACTTTCTTCACAGAATTGGAAAAAACTACTTTAAAGTTCATATGGAACCAAAAAAGAGCCTGCATTGCCAAGACAATCGTAAGCCAAAATAACAAAGCTGGAGGCATCACGCTACCTGACTTCAAACTATACTACAAGGCTACAGTAACCAAAACAGCATGGTACTGGTACCAAAACAGAGATATACATCAATGGAACAGAACAGAGCCCTCAGAAATAATGCTGCGTATCTACAACCATCTGATCTTTGACAAGCCTGCAAAAACAAGCAATGGGGAAAAGATTCCCTATTTAATAAATGGTGCTGGGAAAACTGGCTAGCCATATGTAGAAAGCTGAAACTGGATCCCTTCCTTACACCTTATACAAAAATTAATTCAAGATGGATTAAAGACTTAAATGTTAGACCTAAAACCATAAAAACCCTAGAAGAAAACCTAGGCAATACCATTCAGGACATGGGCATGGGCAAGGACTTCATGTCTGAAACACCAAAAGCAATGGCAACAAAAGCCAAAACTGACAAATGAGATCTAATTAAACTAAAGAGCTTCTGCACAGCAAAAGAAACTACCATCAGAGTGAACAGGCAACCTACAGAATGGGAGAAAATTTTTGCAATCTACTCATCTGACAAAGGGCTAATATCCAGAATCTACAATGAACTCAAACAAATTTACAAGAAAAAAACAAACAACCCCATCAAAAAGTGGGTGAAGGATATGAAGAGACACTTCTCAAAAGAAGACTTTTATGCAGTCAAAATCACATGAAAAAATGCTCATCATCACTGGCCATCGGAGAAATGCAAATCAAAACCACAATGAGATACCATCTCACACCAGTTAGAATGGCAATCATTAAAAAGTCAGGAAACAACAGGTGCTGGAGAGGATATGGAGAAATAGGAACACTTTTACACGTTGGTGGGACTGTAAACTAGTTCAACCATTGTGGAAGCCAGTGTGGCAATTTCTCAGGCATCTAGATCTAGAAATACCATTTGACACAGTCATCCCATTACTGGGTATATACCCAAAGGATTATAAAACATGCTGCTATAAAGACACATGCACACGTATGTTTATTGCGGCACTATTCACAATAGCAAAGACTTGGAACCAACCCAAATGTCCAACAATGATAGACTGGATTAAGAAAATGTGGCACATATACACCATGGAATACTATGCAGCCATAAAAAATAATGAGTTCATGTCCTTTGTAGGGACATGGATGAACCTGGAAACCATCATTCTCAGCAAACTATCACAAGGACAAAAAACCAAACACTGCATGTTCTCACTCATAGGTGGGAATTGAACAATGAGAACACATGGACACAGGAAGGGGAACATCACACGCTGGGGCCTGTTTTGGGGTGGGGGGAGGCGAGAGGGATAGCATTAGGAGATATACCTAATGTTAAATGACGAGTTGATGGGTGCAGCACACCAACATGGCACACGCATGCATATGTAACTAACCTGCACGTTGTGCCCATATATCTTAAAACGTAAAGTATAATAATAATAATAAAAAACAAACATTTGTACTACACATCCAAGCTCTGCTAAAAAAAGAGAAGGAGTTAGCAAACACATCAGACTATACTGATTCCTGAATATTGGCAATATCATTCCTATTGTCAGATGGTTGCATCAGGTAAAAAAGAAAAAAAAAGCCTAATTTAGATTATTATTCAATTCATCATATTCCTTTGTTCTGATTATTTACACATGAGAAAATTCATCATTTGAATTTGGCTTCCCAACATTGAGATAATGTGCTGGATATATGGGGTAGAAATGTCCTTGCCTCTGTAATAGTTCTTTGTTACTATAGATTAGTGTTATGGTATTCTGGATTTTTGCATATCAATTTCATACTTTGATTACTATGAGTCTACATCAGCAGAAGAAACTGCCACTGGTCTACTAACAATGTCTTAGTTCTAAACCTGATATTGAATTTGGGCAATTAACAAAATCACAAGTGGAATTCTGAGAGTTCTTTTGGAGGAAAGCTGCTAAATTTGTCTCCATTTCTGTATTACTGTATCAGGAAGACAAAAGTTATTCCTTATTTCCACAGGACATATTTTCTTGCACTGATTAACCACAATATAGTCACTGCCTGTTTTTATTTTCCCAGTATATTTAATGCAGTTTATATTTGTTATCATCTCCTCTGAATTTTCTATGGATACTTTCGGGTCTGTGAGTAAACTGTAAGTTTCTCATGGTCAAAGACTAGAGATTGTACATTTATTTTTTACATTTCATAATAAACACAGCATATTAAACAGGGTTTTTAATTAAAATTTGACTGGTCCCTGTTGATTCAATCATCTATTTGTAAGTATAATTAAACCTTCAATTAATGTCTACATATTTTAACAGCCATATATTTTTTTCTCTAATATTTATGCTCTCACTTCTTTAGTCCCTTTAAAGTATTTTCTTAGCTCCTATGATATACTTCTCTTTTATTATGTTTGACAAGCATTCTATTATTGTTCTTAAGGAAAGTTTTGCTTCACATGCTGCATGCCCTGTGTGAATTACCAATGGTCTCCTGAGATGACCAGGACAATATTCTCTGAGTTATCATCTCTCTTGTGGACTGAAGGCCAGAAAGCAAAATAGCTGCTAAAGAGGTGCCTCTATGTGTACTATTTAGCCAGGCTTCTGTGACTGGGTTGGGGATATAGGATCACATGGTAGAGACACAGTTGTATTTTAGGACCAGGTCAAATAAACGGAGAGACCAGTTCCTTCATAGCAAAGATAAAAGATGAAACCGAGAAACAGAAAATAAACAAAAAATGTTGAAAATTATAACAAAGTAAAGAAAGGCACATTTCCTGGTGGTTAATGTGATGGTTGATTTTATATGTGTCAATTTGCTGTGCTAAGGAATGCCTAGACAGCTGGTAAACCATTATTTCTGGGTATGTCTATGAGGGCATTTCTGGAAGAGAGTAGCATTTGAATTGGTTGTGTGAGTAAAAATATTAGTAAAAAGAAATAGAATTTGGCAGAGCAGTGTCTCACACCTGCAATCTTAGTGTTTTGGGAAGCCAAGGAATGAGGATTGTTTGAGTTCAGGAGTTTGAAACCAGCCTGGGCAAGATGGTGAGGGCCCCATCTCTACAAAGAAAATAAATTAAAAGGAACAGACCAAATAGGATCTATCTATCTATGTATTGATCTATATATCTATGTATTGATCTAAGATATAGCTACAAGATAGATAGATAGACAGACAGCTGATTAGATAGATAGATAGATAGATAGATAGATAGATAGATAGATAGATAGAAGAACATTTATTATGGGAATTGGCTTGTGTGATTAGGGAGGCCAAGAAGTCCAAAGATATCCAACGGACAAGCTGAATAACCAGGAGAGTTAGTGTAATTCAGTCAGAACTTGAAGGCCTGACAACCAGAGGAAGTGATTGAGTAACTTCTGGTCTGGTTTCAAAGGGCTTTAATTCAGGGGCTCTGATGTCTGAAAGCAGGAAAATATAAATGTCCTGGCTCAAGAAGAGAGAGAATTTGGTCTATCTCTATTCAGGCTCTTAAGGGTTTGGATAATGCTCACTAACATTGATAAGGGCAAATCTTCTTTACGTAGTCCCTTGATTCAAACACTTATCTCTTCTGAAAACACCTTCACAGACACACCCAGAAATAATATTTCACCTGTTATCCAGGCATCTTTAACCTAATGAAATTGACACATGAAATCAACCATCACATATCCAACCCTTGTTAAGTTGACACCCCTACACATCTCCTTAAATCATACTTAATCTCTAAGTAAAGAGGATAAGAAGGTCATAATTTTACCTACAATGGTACAACTGTTCTGCATACAACTGAGGAGAAACTAATTTATTTCTCAGAAGAGATGGTCAAGTTTTTAAGTGATATTTACTCTTCTGATATTCCAAAATTTAAATACTATGATATAAAATTAACAGCATGTAAATACTGATATAAATTTAAGACATCATGTTATGAGATAAGGAATAAGAAAGGAAAAAATCCAAATATTTGCTTAAATATGTTTATATATACACAATCACATTTGTAACAAAATAATGACATACCCATGAAATATTATAATTCTGGATTCTATAAGGTATCATGTGGTCTTATCTGATCCCCCCTGAACACTCAGTTGTGTTAATTAGCTGGTGTTTTTAAGTACCTTCCTCTAGTTTCCTTTCTGTATTCTCCTTTCCTTTGGAGAGAACTTTACCTCATTACGGTCCTTTATTTAGCAAAGTCACCCAAACTTTTATTAATGAAGGGTTTGGGACATTCATAGGCCTGCCTGGACTGTGTTGTTTTATATTGACTTTAATTATATGGCATAGTAATGCTAAAACACACCCAGAAAAGATCTCCTGTATTCCAGACATACTTTTTCTTACGTTCATTGTGGAGTAGAAGTCCAATTTCCCCTTGAACGTTCAGATCAATCAGTACAGCCAACACCTTAATTCCCTTCTTGGCCAATTGACTCATAGGCATGAGGAGGCTAAAATGATCAGATGGCAGTCTTAATATCCATTTCAATGGAATCATTGTTGTGTTTCCTGATGGAAATATTTCTCCCTCTGGATCTAGACCTTAGGCCAGGAGAGCATAAACCTGTGGGAAGAAGAAGCCAAAGTTTTGCTAGTGGGTCAGTAGAGGTAATGGTGAAAAGCGCCACTTCATTTTTAGCCCTTGATTCCTGGACACATGAATCCTGGCTATTGGAAAAAGAGTAGCATGTAGTGAACACTGATTCAGAGCATCTACAGTCTTCAGTAGAACCTTGTCTCACTCTTTCAAGGTATTGCCACCTGGGTGACATTGTAACTGAGTCTTCAAAATGCTGTTCCACCCTTCTTTCAAACTATATTCTTATGGATGGTGGAGAACATGGTTACACTAGTGATTCCATGAGCATGGGCCCTCTGTCACACTTCTTTTGCTGTGAAGTGAGCTCATTGATCAGAAGCAATGCTTCATGAAATGCCACGACAGTGAATAAGGCATTCTGTAAGGCTATGGATTGTATTTTTGGCAAAAGCATTGTGTACAATTAAGACAAATTTATATCCAGAGTAAGTGTCTATTCCAGTGATGAGTCGAATGCAGAGTAAGTGTCTATTCAAGTGATAAAGTGTCTGCCCCTTCCCGGATGAATATGGTTGAATGTAATTGACCTGGCACCAGCTCCAATGTAATCAATCAATAAAAAATGGTGCCATATGAGGGGTTCAATGTTGGTCTCAATGGCTGGCAAACTGGGCACTCAAAGCTGGTCACAGCCAGGTCAGCCTTGGTGAGTGGAAGTTCATATTGCCGAATCCATGCATAACCACCATTTCTGCCACTATGCCCACTTTGTTTATGATCCCATTAGACAATGACAGAAGGGACTGGGGAAAAAGTTGACTAGTATCTACATAACAGGCCCTTCTATACCCTTGATTATTAAAATCCTACTCTGCTGAGGACATCCTTTGGTGAGCATTCATGGATGTGGACTCAGGTATCTTCATGTTTTTGCCCATTCATAATGTTCTATCCACATACCTCTTTCCCAAATTTCCTTGTCACAAATTTTCCAATTATGTTCCCTCAAAAGTCCCTGACCATCTAGCCACATGAATTGGTATATAATCACAATCTGGCCATTTCTCCTACCAAACAAAGTCCACAACCAGTTGTACTGTGCAAATTTCTACCCATGGAGATGATTTTTCTTCACCACTGTACTTCAAGGATGTCCCACAGAGGGGCTGTAATGCTGTAGCTGTGCCTAGGTATTCTCTTCCTCTGTCAGGTGATTGAAATAATTCTCCATGAGGCTAGGAGAGAGAAGGCAGTGTAGCAGAAGTGGGGACTATGGACATATAGGTTACTTCCTAATGTAATTTACTTGTGCTTAGAGGGCCATCTCAGGCTTGATCATGTATATCCCACTTTTATTTGATAATGGAGTGTTGCTGTGCATGCCCACATTTATGGCTTCCTGGGTCAGGTAATAACCAGTTCATGACAGGCAGCTCAGGTCACATGATAAGTTGATGGCCCATGATCAATTTTTTTGGTTTCTACTATGGCCCAGTAGGAGGCCAAGAGCTGTCTCTCAAAAGGTGAATAGTTATCTGAGGATGGCAGGGCCTTGCTCCAAAATCCTAAGGGCCCGCACATTAACTTACCCTTGGGGGTCTGCTACAGGCACCTAACAGCATCCCTATCTGCCACTGACACTGCAAGCACCATTGGATCTGCTAGATCATATGGCTCAATGGCAAAGCATCTTGCAAAGCAAGTTGAACCTGTTGTAGTGTCTTCACTTGTTCTGAACCACATTCAAAACTAGTAACTCACTTGGTAAACTGGCTGAAGTAATACATTCAAATGAAGGGTATGTTTCATCCAAAATCCAAATAGGCTCACAGCATTGGATCTCTTTCTTGGCTGTAGAAGGGGCTGGATGCAACAATGTATCCCTCATTTTAGAGGATGATAGCGATATGTCCCATACCACTAGGACCCTAGAAATTTCACTGAAATAGAAGACCCTGGATTTTATTTGGATTTACTTTCTACACTTTGACATTCAAATACATATGCAGTAAGTCTAGAGTCATTGCTACTTCTCAGTCGCTAGGTTCAATCAGCATAATGTCATCAATGTAGTAGAACAGTATGATATATTGTGGAATGAAAAGGCAATCAGGATCCCTATGGATGAAATTATGGTACATGACTGGAGAGTTGACCTACCCCTGAGGTAGGGGAACAGTAAAGGTGGATTTATGGCCTTTCCCCCTGAAAGCAACTACTACTGGTAGACTTTATTGACAGGTATGGAGGAAAAAAACCCAACAAAACATTTTCCAGATTAATGCTACATACCAGGTACCCGGGAATATGTTAATTTCCTCAATCAGTTAAACCACATCTGGTACAGAAGCTTCAGCTGGAGTCTTAACTCCATGAGGTTAATCTTACAATAATCCACTGTCATTCTCTAATATCCTTCTGTACTCTGCACAGGTCAAAGAGAATAGTTAAGTGGGGATGTGGTGGGAAATAGCATTCTTGCATCTTTTGAGTTTTTGGTGGTGGCACTAATCTCTGCAGTTCCTTCAGGAATGTGGTATTACTGTTTCACTAGGTAGAGGCAGTTCTAATGCCTATCATTTGGCATTTCTCACCATAATAATCTCACCTCACAGGTCAGGGAACCAATGTGGGGATTCTTCCAGCTGTAAAGTATATGTATTCCAGTTGTGCACCTGGAACTGGGAAAATAATCACAGGCTGGGTTTGGGGTCCCACTGGACACACTGTGAAATGGTCCTGAGATAGAAACTCCATTGATGCCCTGACCTTCATAAGGATCTACTCTGATTAGTAGACCACAGTGACATTCTGTGTCTCCTGGAATTATTGCCAGTTAAGAGCCAGTGTTGGTGGTCCCTGAAGTCTGATTATTTCATTTCCCCAATGCACAGTTATCTTGGCAAAAGGATATAGGTCCCTTTGGGGAAGGCTGGGTGTAATATTAACAATATAAATTTTTGGTAGTATTTGAGAGTCCTTCCTCAAGGGTACTTGGCACCCCATTTATTCACGGGGCTTGGGGGTCTGTTAATTGACTTAAGTATGGGAATTTGAGCGGATTTGAGGAGCCATGAACCTATGGTTTTATGATTTAAGTTATATTTTTGTTCATTTGGCTGGAAAATTATCTGCTTATACAGAACAAGTAAGAGTTTAGTAAGCATCCTAGCAATTTTATTCCTAGGAACACCAGAGGTCTGCAAGGGTCTGAATATTCTGATTGCTGCTTTGACTCTGCTGTCCATTATCGTAGCTGTGCTCATCTTGCCCGTTGGCTTCCGCCACCCTAGGAACCACTTACTCCCATTGCATTTAGGTTTTCCAGTTGAGTGTCTATGGTTCCCACTGTAAGATCTGACCTATAGAGAAGAGGAATCACTGAGATTTTCAAAGATACTGGGGCTTCCCTCATGAATTTATTTCTCAAAATATTGTTGAAAGATAGGACTTCTGAACCCACCTAGTGTGAATGAGTAGGTCTTAAATGATATATCCTCTCTAACATTCCATTCTCTTTAAATCTGCACCATTTCCTCTACATAAAGCTGAGGGAGAGCAGGCATTTCCAATTCACTCACAGTGATGTGCTCTTTAATCCATGTTTTAGCCAGTCAACCAACCAAACAGTTAAAGACCTTTCTAACTCCTTGAGTGCAACATTAAATACAGCATCTCTGCTACTGGGCCTGTATTAATAAATTTGGCCTGATTCAACTTAAGTTCCTTCCACCTTTATTCCACAGCTTTGATATCCATTTCCACACATATTCTCTGGATTTCTGCTGGTAAAAATTAGAAAACTCAAGTAGTTCTTTTGGAGAGTAGCATATCTCCTCATGGGTCACACTTTGTGCCTCACTTCTAGGGGCCTGCTGGGGCATGAGTCTAGTTATAATTATAGAAGAGGGATGGTAGGGTTGGGTCCTGAGGAGAATCAGCAGGGATTTGCATGACCACTATTTCAGGGAAGACCACAACCTTTTCCTCAGGCAATGCAAGCTGAATTCCCTCATAAGGAAATGGAAAGGCTTACTTCAATATGGCAGGGATGCTGCTGCAACTGGAGATAGGAAGGCTGCTTTTGCTGGGGTTAGAAAGCCTACTTCTACTAGCGGTGGAGAGACCACTTCCACTGCCAAAGAAGACTCATCAGAATTCAGATGCTAAATGTTCCCAGCTTCATTAAAGTCTCTCTGCATGTCCCATCTCAACTTATAGGATCCCATGCTTTCCTAATCCATGTTGTCACCTTATCAGAAAACACCCAGTAAGGCTAGGAGTTCAACTTGCCTTGTGATTCAGCCAATCACAGGATGAGGTCCTACATTTGATTTTCAGCACTTGCAGCCCTCCAGTGGTAGGAGATAATGCTCTTTCTCAGGGCACACCTAGAAGCTCTTAAATCACTGATGTGGCTCTTGAGCTTGTAATTCAAATCACTGAACTTATTTTTTTCTTTCATCACTTTGTCCAGTGACATTAGGAACAAGCAACCAGTATCATTATATTTCTTAAATTTCCAAAATGTTAGCAAGTGTCATATACGTAATTGCTTACTTCCTTGCTTATTATAAGTGGTTAATTAAGAGTATCCAATGCACATATTTTGGATATTACACCATGGACTATCAGTGCTCTCTTTACTACTAGAAATAGAATCTTTAATATCTTTAAGTATAATCAGAGTAGAGATCCAATTCTAGAACCCCCTAAATAATTCGGAAAACTCATTCTTAAAATTATGTTCCTCTAGAACCAATTTCAGTATCAAAATCTGTGCAACTCAGGGTTATCCAGAGAAATTGAACAAATAGAAAATATATATAGACAGATATATAGGTAGATGATGAGATATGGGGACATTTATTAAGAAATTGGCTCACATGATTAACGAAGCAAGGAAGTTCTATGTTATGTAGTCTGCAAGCCGGAGAATCAGCAGAGCTGCTCATATAATTCACTCTGAATCTGAAGGCCTGAGAATAAGGAGAGCTGATGCTGTAACTTCTACTTTGAAGCCAAAGGCCTGAGAGCTGGTGAGTGTGGTGGAGGGCTGGGGAAGTGAGGCTGGCATAAATTACAGAATCTGGAGTCTGAAGGCCAGAGAACCAGGAGCTTCAAAGGGCAGAAGAAAATGTTCCAGCTCAAAAAGAAAATGTTCCAGGTCAAAAAATGTTCCTCCTCCTCCTTTTTGCTCTGTTCAGGTCATTAAGGAATTGAGTGATGTCCACCCACATTGGTGAAAGGAAAACTTCTTTACTCAGTCTGAGGTGGGTGGATCACGAGGCCAGAGTTTGAGGCCAGCCTGACCAACATAGTGAAACCCCGTCTATAATAAAAATACAAAAAATTAGCTGGATATGGTGGTGGGCACCTGTAATCTTAGCTACTTGGGAGGCTGAGGCAGCAGAATCGCTGGAACCCAGGAGGGTGAGGTTGCATAGTTTTTCATTTTCATTATTTTTGTTTTTCTATTTCAAATATTTTTGATCTAAGGTTGGTTGAATCTGTGAATGAGGATCTCATAGATATAAAAAGCTGAGTATACATTATGATTTTTCTATATAGTCATACCTATGACAAAGTTTAATTTATAAATTAGGCACAGTAAGAAATTGGCAATATTCACAGTAGCAAGGACTTGGAATCAACCGAAATGTCCATCAGTGATAGACTGGATAAGGAAAATGTGGCACATATACACCATGGAATACTGCGCAGCCATCAAAAAGGATGAGTTCATGTTCTTTGCAGGGACATGGATGAAGCTGGAAACCATCATTCTCAGCAAACTATCACAAGAACAGAAAGCCAAACACTGCATGTCTTCATTTATAAGTGGAAGTTGAACAAGGAGAACACATGGACACAGGGAGGGAACATCACACACTGGGGCCTGTCAGGGAGTGGGGGGTTGGGGAGGGATAGCATTAGGAGAAATACCTAATGTAGGTGACGGGTTGATGGGTGCAGCAAACCACCATGGCATGTGTATAACTATGTAACAAAACTGCATGTTCTGCACATGTACCCCTGAACTTAAAGTATAATAAAAATAAATAAATTAACAATAACTAATAATAAAATAGAACAGCTATAATAATGTACAATTAATAATGTCTCTGATAAGAGATTGACTCTTACCATAGATTTTAGCAACCTCAGCATCTGATTATTTTCTTTCCTTATTAAGTGGAACACTTTCAGATTTTCATTTAAAGAAAATATTTTATGGCTTCCCTTTGGTATATCTGAACTACCTGCATTGCTAGTCTTCTCTTTTGGGGCCATTATCAAGTAAAATAATTGCTTGAACACAAGCACTGTGATACTGTGGCAGTCGATCTGATAAGACAGCTACTAAGTGACTAAAAATAAGTAGCACAAACTTCTTGATATGCTAGATAAAGGGATGATTTTGTGCCAGGTGGGACAGAGCAATAGAGCATGAGATTTGTTAGTATTGGGCATGTTGTTAGTGTATGCTACTCAAAACAGTGCACAATTTAAAAGTTTAGAAATTTTTATTTACATAATTTTTATTTAATATTTTCAGATCACAGTGAACCATGCGTAACTGATACCATGGAAAGCAAAACTGAATAAGTGGGGCCTATTTGGATATGTTCCAAGATAACCAAGAGGATGTCTGAAACCTCACATAATACTAAACCCTATATATACCATTTTTTCTATACATACAGATATATATGTGTGTATATATATATATATATGATAAAGTTTAATTTGTAAGTTAGGTACAGTAAGAGATTAACAATAACTAATATAAAATAGAACAATTATAACCACTGCACTGGAGTAAAAATTATGTGAATGTGATCTCTCTTTCACTCTCAAAATGTCTCATTGTACTTTACTCACCTATTTTCAGACCACAATTGACCACAGGTAACTGAAACTGACAAAAGCGAAAACAGGGATAAGGGGGAACTAATATGTCTGTTGTTTTTTGTTTGTTTTTTGCTGCCACTAACATACTGCTTTGATGACTGTAGCTTTATAATATATTTTGAAATCAAGAAGTGTGATGCTTCCAGCTTTTTTTTATGATCAAAATTACTTTGGCTATTTGGGGTCTTTTATGGTTTCATATAAATTTTAGGATTATTTTGCCCATTGCCTTTGGGAATTTGACAGGGATTACATTGAACCTGTATATTGCTTTTGCTAGTATGGACATTTTAACAATATTTATCATACCAATCCATTAACAAAGGATATCTTTCCATTTGTTTACATCTGCTTTAATTTTTCATCAGAGTTTTACAGTTAGCAGTGTACAGGTCTTTCCTCTACTTGCATAAGTTTATTTCTAAATAATTTATTATTTTTGATGTTATAGTAAATGAAATTGTTTTATTAATTTTATTTTCTCATAATTTATTGTTAGTGTATAGAAATGCAACTAAGTTAGACATTTCTTCAAAGAAGTCATACAAGTGGCCAGCAAATAAAAAGTACTCAGCATCACTAAACATCAGGGAAATGAAAATCAAAACTAAAGTGAGATATTAGTTCATATCTGTTATAATGGCTATTATCAAAACAAAAACAAAAACAAAAATATAACTAATACTGGTGAGAATGTGTTGAAAAGAGAAACTTTGTACAACATGATGGGGATGTAAATTGGTGCAGCCAGTGTGAAAAACAGTATGCTGTTTGCACAAAAAATTAAGAACAGAACTACCACATGATCCAGCAATCTGACTTTTGGGTACATATGCAAAGGATTTGAAATCAGAATCTTAAAAAGATTATCTGCATCCCCAAATTCATTGCAGCATTGCAATAGCCGAGACATCTTTTATACTAAATGTCAATTGATAGACAAATGAATTAAGAAAATGAAACATTATTCAGCTTTAAAAATTAAGAAAATCCTGGCATTTGTGACAACGTGGATGAAACTAAAGGACATTATGCTAAATGAAATAAGCCAAACAAAGGACAAATGGTATATGATACCACTTATATGATAAATATAAAACAGTCACATTTAAGCAGAGAGTGGACGTGGCTACTGGGGGAAGAGGTAAACAGGGAAGTATTATTCAAAGGGTACGAAGTTTCGGTTATACAAAATGAGTAAGTTCTAGGAATCTACTGTACAGCATAGTGCTTGTAGTTAATAATACATCATTATTTACTTAAAAATGTGCTGGCTGGACAGTGGTGGCTCACATCTATAATCCCAGCACTTTGGGAGGTGGAGAGGGGCAGATCACTTGAGGTCAAGAGTTCAAGGCCAGTCTGACCAACATGGTGAAACTCAATCTCTACTAAAAATACAAAAATTAGCCAGGCATAGTGGCATGCGTCTGTTTCCCCAGCTACTCAGGAAGCTGAGGTGGGAGAATCTCTTGAACCTGGGAGGCGAAGGTTGCAATGAGCGGAGGTCTCACCACTGCACTCCAGTCTGGGTGACAGAATGAGACTCTGTCTCAAAAAAAAAAAAAGCTAAGCAGTTACAGCTTATGTTAAGTGTTCTTGTCACATGCAGAAAAATAATAGATAAAGAGGGTGGGAAGAAACTTTGGAGGTGATGGATAGGTTTCTGGCATAAATTGTGGTAGTGTTTTCAAGAGAGTATGCTTATCTCCAAACATATTAAGTTGTATATATTAAATGTGCCCAGTATTTTTGTATTTAAATCATACTTCAATTAGTTGTTTTTTATAAGTCATTTGTGGATTTTAAATGCCAAATGGGGAGTTAAATAATCAGATATATTTAAATCAGCATGTGGGTAGTGAGTGGATTAGAAATATGCTGTAAACATTGTGTATCTGGATTTCACAAAACATTTGGGCATCCTGTACATGATATTGTAAATAAGCTAAGGAAATAAATTTTCATACAGTTTTAAGGACAGAACACCTTTGATTAACAGAGTCAAAGAATACTAATTTTAACGATTTACGTCAATCTGTTGAAATCTAGAGTATGCAGCAGAAACTAGATGTTTGACTCCGATTGTATTATATATCTGATGCCCTCGCAAAAATGTTATATTATACAAAATGCTTATAAATATTTATTTTAGAATATTGCAAAAAGAGAAAAATTAGGAAAATATTATCCACAACTTTAGTGGTTAGATATGAGTACTATTTGTAGTTTGGTGTGTTTCTAGTAAAATTTAGTTTTGTAAATTCTAAAAATTTATTCCTTTAATTTTTTACTTTCAATATATTTTCTATGTACTAAATTGTATATGGTGAGTTTTACATTTGCTTTTTCTTGATGGCAAAGATAATGCATGCTCTTTGCAAAAAATTGGTATAAATAAGTAAATAGATAAAGAATGGAGAGAAGGAAAAAAGGGAGGGAGAGAGGGAGACAGAGAGAGAAAGAGAGTAAGAGAGATAGAAAGAGAGAGTAGAGAGAAAAAGAAAGTTAAAGAAAAACCAAAAGCTACTTAAAATATTCCCAAATTTACCACACTTAACATTATGGTATATTTATTTGATATATTCGTATAAATATTTATTCTCAGATAAATGTCATTATTAGGATGATCTCAACAGACTATCAGCAGTTATTGGTTTGGGTGATAATCAAACCTTGCAAAGTATTACAAGGTAAAGTATGCGGTATGTAGCACAAGAAGCCCATTTTCTATTCATGAGAAAGAAAGTGAAACTGATGAAAATTTCAATAAATTATTTCTAGATTTCTATTCTTGGGCCCACATGTTGAAAGAGAACATCTTTGAATAACTTTGATCTCAAAATAATCTTCCCCGAGAGGCTGTATTTCTTGGTGGTTTTGAACCTTTTAGGTTTGCAGTTGTACTGTTTAAGTTTGACTCCTTACTCTGACTTAAAATGAGCTTTGACAAGTTACTTAATTTCTCTGTGCATCAGTTTCTTCATTAATATTCTTTGGATGTGTCTCCCCTCCAAATCTCATGTTGAAATGTGATCCTCAATGTTGGAGGTGGGGCCTGGTGGGAGGTATTGGATCATGGGGGCAGATCCCTCATCAATGGCTTAGCACCATCCGCTTGGTAACAAGTGAGTTCTGTTCAGTTAGTTCACAGGAGATTTGTTTGTCTAAAAGATTTGAACACTTCTGTCTCTCTTTTATCCTCCCAGTCTTGCCATGTGACAAGCATGCTTCCCCTTCACTTTCCTCCATGACAGCTTCCTAAAACCTCACCAGGAGCAGATGCCAGTGCTGTGCTTCCTGTACAACCTGCAGAACCATGAACAAATTAACCCTATACACCCAGTCTTAAGTATTCCTTTATAGCAATGCAAAAACGGATTAATACTCTTGTCTCAAAATGGATTTGATAATTGTTATGAACTGAATATTTATGTCCCCACAAAATTTATATGTTGAAATCCTAATTCCCAGTGTGATAGTATTGGGAGGTGGGATCTTTTGGAGGTGATTAGATCTTGGGGGTGGGGCCCTCAGTAGTGGGATTGGTGCTTTTATAAAAGGGTACCTGAATTCTCTGCTCCCCATCATGCGAGAATATAATGAGAAGACAGGCATCTGCAAACCAGAGAGGAAACCCACCTCAGGGAGGGGATCTGCTGGACTTACCAGCCTGCAGAACTGTGAAAAATAGATTTGTTTTTGAAGCCAGCCAGTTTATGGTACTTCATTATAGCAGCCTAGACTGACTAAGACAGAAATATTGCCTAGTCACTTGGGTTATTGTAAGAATTTTACAAGTAATGAAAATTCTTGTGAGAAACAGATAGCACTATGTCTGACAAATACTTTGTGTTCAATGAATAATAGTTATTATGATTTAAAACTCAATTTCCAGTCATTTCTCTGTTAGCTGGAATAAGTTTTTCAAGTAGTATGCATTGGTGATACAAATTCTGCTTTGTTACTTTTAAACTATTTCCTTGTTATAATTATTTATTAAAGACAATCTCACTGAGTATAAACTTTCTTGGTCATAAATTTTCCTTTTAGGTTTTCATAGGGCCTATTCCTTTATTTTCAGTCACCTAGTGTTATATATGAGAAAATTAAGATTATGCTACTATCTGATCCTTCATTATTTGGATACTTAAAGATATTTTTTAAAAATAAAATACTTCCCCAGATGAGTTATTGGCACAGACTGCTTTTTGTTGGCTTTGCTTAGAAAGTGGTGAACATTTTCTGTCTTTATGTTGAAATTAAAAATAATAACAATGGCGTACTTCCAAAACCTTTTTTCTAATATGTCAATGTTTCTCAACATTGAAGTAAAATAGAGCTACCCAGTTCTAGAAGTTTCCAACATACAGGTGCACTTTATGCCCTTAATTCCATTCTCTGTTCATTTTGTTTTTGGTGCAATCCACTTCTCAAATCTATAGCTAAAGTCATTTTATGCCCATAATCTTAGAATAATTTTCTGTATCTAGTTGGTCTTTATATACTATTGTGCTCTTGGCTTGAAATATTTACTTACCCACCTCAGCTACATGGATTTTTGATGCTCCTAATAGGGTGCTCTGCTATTGCTAGTCATGTGATCTTGAGTAACTGATATAACTTGTCTGGTCCAAGCTTCTTCATCATTAACTGAGGATAGTATCTATCCTTGTAAGTACTTAATTCATGGAGCTGCTGACAGCACTAAATTATATAACATACGGTGCCTGGTACATACTGATGGCTCAATGAATGATAAAAATCATTGGCGTTCTTGTGTTCATCATTATTTAAATCCAATCACCAGAAGCTACTGTTACCACAAGTCCTTCTTTCTTTGCCCACATCACTTAATTTGGGGGAATTAAATTTTTCAAGGTACAAGGCACTGTTGTCATTTCCATTTCCCAAATCCTTAACAACTTTCTGGGGGAGTTGTTTTTCATAACTGATAATGTTAGTATGGACTTTTTGTTTCTAATTCAGAGGAGATATCAGTGCTGAAAAAAAAGGTCTTGCTTATACTTTCAAGTGGACAAACTTGTATAAATGGTCCATGTTTTATTTATTTATTTATTTATTATACTTTAAGTTTTAGGGTACATGTGCACAATGTGCAGGTTTGTTACATATGTATACATGTGCCATGTTGGTGTGCTGCACACATTAACTAGTGATTTAGCATTAGGTATATCTCCTAATTCTATCCCTCCCCCCTCCCCACACCTCGCAACAGGCCCTGGTGTGTGATGTTCCCCTTCCTATGTCCATGTATTCTCTTTGTTCAATTCCCACCTATGAGTGAGAACATGCCGTGTTTGGTTTTTTGTCCTTGTGATAGTTTGCTGAGAATGATGGTTTCCAGGTTCATCCATGTCCCTACAAAGGACATGAACTCATCATTTTTATGGTTGCATAGAATTCCATGGTGTATATGTGCCACATTTTCTTAATCCAGTCTATCATTGTTGGACATTTGGCTTGGTTCCAAGTCTTTGCTATTGTGAATAGTGCCGCTATAAACATACGTGTGCATGTGTCTTGAGAGCAGCATTGCGTTTTATAATCTTTTGGGTATATACCCAGTAATGGGATGGCTGGGTCAAATGGTATTTCTAGTTCTAGATCCCTGAGGAATCACCACACTGACTTCCACAATGGTTGAACTAGTTTACAGTCCCACCAACAGTGTAAAAGTGTTCCTATTTCTCCACATCCTCTCCAGCACCTGTTGTTTCCTGACTTTTTAATGATTGCCATTCTAACTGGTGTGAGATGGTATCTCATTGTGGTTTTGATTTGCATTTCTCTGATGGCCAGTGATGATGAGCATTTTTTCATGTGTCTTTTGGCTGCATAAATGTCTTCTTTTGAGAAGTGTCTGTTCATGTCCTTTGCCCACTTTTTGATGGGGTTGTTTGTTTTTTTCTTGTAAATTTGTTTGAGTTTATTGTAGATTCTGGATATTAGCGCTTTGTCAGATGAGTAGGTTGCAAAATTTTTCTCCTATTCTGTAGGTTGCCTGTTCACTCTGATGGTAGTTTCTTCTGCTGTACAGAAGCTCTTTAGTTTCATTAGATCCCATTTGTCAATTTTGGCCTTTGTTGCCATTGCTTTTGGTGTTTCAGACATGAAGTCCTTGCCCATGCCCATGTCCTGAATGGTATTGCCTAGGTTTTCTTCTAGGGATTTTATGGTTTTAGGTCTAACATTTAAGTCTTTAATCCATCTTGAATTAATTTTTGTATAAGGTGTAAGGAAGGGATCCAGTTTCAGCTTTCTACATATGGCTAGCCAGTTTTCCCAGCACCATTTATTAAATAGGGAATCCTTTCCCCATTGCTTGTTTTTGTCAGGTTTGTCAAAGATCAGATGGTTGTAGATATGCAGCATTATTTCTGAGGGCTCTGTTCTGTTCCATTGATGTATATCTCTGTTTTGGTACCAGTACCATGCTGTTTTGGTTACTGTAGCCTTGTAGTATAGTTTGAAGTCACGTAGCGTGATGCCTCCAGCTTTGTTATTTTGGCTTACAATTGACTTGGCAATGCAGGCTCTTTTTTGGTTCCATATGAACTTTAAAGTAGTTTTTTCCAATTCTGTGAAGAAAGTCATTGGTAGCTTGATGGGAATGGCATTGAATCTATAAATTACCTTGGGCAGTATGGCCATTTTCACGATATTGATTCTTCCTACCCATGGGCATGGAATGTTCTTCCATTTGTTTGTATCCTCTTTTATTTCATTGAGCAGTGGTTTGTAGTTCTCCTTGAAGAGGTCCTTCACATCCCTTGTAAGTTGGATTCCTAGGTATTTTATTCTCTTCGAAGCAATTGTGAATGGGAGTTCACTCATGATTTGGGTCTCTGTTTGTCTGTTATTGGTGTGTAAGAATGCTTGTGATTTTTGCACATTGATTTTGTATCCTGAGACTTTGCTGAAGTTGCTTATCAGCTTAAGGAGATTTTGGGCTGAGACGATGTGGTTTTCTAGATATACAATCATGTCATATGCATACAGGGATAATTTGACTTCCTCTTTTCCTAATTGAATATCCTTTATTTCCTTCTCCTGCCTGATTGCCCCAGCCAGAACTTCTAACACTATGTTAAATAGGAGTGGTGAGAGAGGGCATCCCTGTCTTGGGCCAGCTTTCAAAGGGAATGCTTCCAGTTTTTGTCCATTCGGTATGATATTGGTTGTGGGTTTGTCATAGATAGCTCTTATTATTTTGAGATACGTCCCATCAATACCTAATTTATTGAGAGATTTTAGCATGAAGTGTTGTTGAATTTTTCAAAGGCTTTTTCTGCATCTATTGAGATAATCATGTGGTTTTTTTCTTTGGTTCTGTTTATATGCTGGATTACGTTTATTGATTTTCATATGTTGAACCAGCCTTGCATCCCAGGGATGAAGCCCACTTGAACATGGTAGATAAGCTTTTTGATGTGTTGCTGGATTCGGTTTGCCAGTATTTTATTGAGAATTTTTGCATCAATGTTCATCAAGGATATTGGTCTAAAATTCTCTTTTTTGTTTGTGTCTCTGCCAGGCTTTGGTATCAGGATGATGCTGGCCTCATAAAATGAGTTAGGGAGGATTCCCTCTTTTTCTATTGATTGCAATAGTTTCAGATGGAATGGTACCAGCTCCTCCTTGTACCTCTGGTAGAATTTGGCTGTGAATCCATCTGGTCCTGGTCCATGTTTTATTTTTAAAGTTGCATCATCTTTGCAATTAGCAACAATTCCTCACAGAATCTAGCAATAGGTTAACTGTTAGATCTTTTTTAATTATGTGTAGGTTTTTTCTGTGTGCAGATTTGTTAATATTTAAATTAAAACCTGGAGAAGTTTTGTCAGGATGTGTTAGAATCATGTATAGTAGAGTTGATGTGTCTACTGCTAATCTTGTTCATCGATACCTTTGTTAGGGCTTCTATGACAAAGTGTCATAGACTAGGTGCCTTAGAACTAATAAAAATTATATTTCTTACTTCTGAAGGCAGGAGGTTTGAGATCAGGTTGCTGGCATGGTCAAGTTCTGTGAGGGTCCTCTTTCTGTTTAATAGATAGCCATCTTCTCACCATGTCCTCACAAGGAAGAAGTGGGGACAAGGGAGTCCTCTGAGGTCTCTTTTATAAGGCACAAATCCATTTCACAAGGGCTCCATCCTCATGGCCTAATCACCTCCCAAAGGTCCCACCTCCAAATCCCATCACATAGACTCTTATGACTCAACACATGAACTTGGTTGGGACATAAAAATTCAGTCTAAAATAATAGGAGACTCTCTCTCCCTCTCTGCTCATATCCAGTTCCACTTTGATCACAGGGTGAAGCTGACTCAATGTGCCATGATCCTTTACCAGGTTACTCATCTACATGTTTGGAGGTATTTGGGAAGACCCTTGATCACCAGGTGATTGGCTGTCCACAGGCTTTCATTCCAAGGCTCTGGTTTGGGAACAGATTTCTCATACATTTTGGCTGAGTCAGCTCCCCATTCTGCTCTCAGGTCTTCTTGATAGAAAAGTCTTCACTTTCATCAGCCTTCCCAGACAGCTCATGATGATCCAGATTTATTTATTTCTTTGTTGTCTTTTCAGGTTTATTTTATTTTTTCTTCCCTTCTTCACAGTTCAATTCTTATGAAAAGTGGCTAACATTTATTGACCTAGATTGTCTTCGATGGGCACTGCACAAAGAATTTTACATGAATCTATTCGTTTAATTGTCATACAAAATATGAAGCATGTATTAGTATTATGTGTATTTTACCAGTAAAAAGCCTTGACACAGTGTAGTTAAGTAAAGTAACTTTCCCAGTATTGTACAACCAGGGAGAGATAGAGCAAGGGATGTGAACACCAGCTTTACCGTTATGTATCACTTATTGTCTCCTGAGGGCATAAAATCTTGCTTGTATGCATGTATAGTATTACATGCATTTAATTTTATTGTGTATTTAAATTTATCACAATTTAAATTTATTGTGATAGCTTGTTCTTTTTAATTTTATGTTATTTTTTGAGTCAGGGTCTCACTGTGTTGCTCAGGCTGGTCTTGAACTCCTGGAATCATGCCATCTTCCCTTCTTAGCCTCCTGAGTAGATGGAATTACAGGCCTGGCCACTGAACCCAACCCCCATTGTTATTGCTTCTGAAGTAAATATCTAAAGTTGAATAATACCTATTCATAAGTGGGGCAGCGAAAAAATACCTGCAGAATTATAGCAACAACACCTAGAAGAATACTTCAAGTTAAAACTCAACCAAAATGTGTTATCATTCTCACAAATTGTACTCGATTTTTTAAAAATACTTTGATGTATGAAATATTCTGAATTTTGCTGATTTGTCCCAGTTCCAAGTAAAAGGTAATATTTGCTCCATCTTCTTCTTTAATAAAAGTTTAATAAATTGCTCATCTTCAATGAAGCAAACTCATTTGGCTGTATTATTGGAAACTTTTAAATATAGTGGTATTATTAAAATGTTTTTGCTCTTAGGTGTAGTTTTTTACTAGATTCTTATGATTTAATTGCATAGATATATGGAGGTCAAGGAAACCTGGGAACAAAGGATGATATGATGATCTAATGTTCTGTTTTATAACCTTAATGTTATCATACAATGTGATAGAAAAATTTCCAGTGCACCGTAAGAATGATTTTTAAGTTAGAGGGACACAATTGAGTAAAAAGAAGTGACTAATCAGGGCATTTATGACTCCATTGAGGTGTATGATTCACCCACTAAACATGTTCTCAAAGTGGTCTGCATAACTCTGCATCTTCATTTTTTTTTTAGAGCTTTTCATTGGTCGTTATGTCATGAAATGACATAAGCTGATCTGTGGCATTGTGAAGACAATGACAATAATTGTCTTGGGATCCTTATTTGTGATCAATAAACTTTGATATGGATAACATTAAGCTCCTTCTTACAAATCAGCTCCAAAGTGCCCGTATTCAAGGCCATCAGTAGCAAATGCCAGTTGGAAGGCAGGACTCTCTAAGGAGAATCATTTTAGAATGCTGTTGTTCTTTCATAACATTTTGTATCTTTTAGTCTCTGAGAGATATGGTCTATGTAAGTTGTGTGACCAGTCCCCATTATTGAATATCCAAGTGAGTGCTTTAGAAATAATTTTTGTTAGTCAATAATAGTGATAAAGTTTAGGCAAATGTGATACATATATATGTGTATTATATACATGTGTATCTGTGTGTGTATATATATATGTATGTATATATATACATATGTATTGTGTGTGTGTGTGTGTGTGTGTGTGTGTGTCTGTGATCAATGTCTCAATTTAACAAAATGAATTTGCCTGAGTATCATATGTTTGACTGCGAGGGTTCTTCAGTGATATGAAGTGTTTTAGTATTCATTTTATCTGCCAGTAAGATTCATTGTCTTGTTTTGTTTCATTTTGTTTTCTGTTAAGAAGCCCTTTCAAAGTGAATGGCATTTAACGTCTCTGTGGAGATATATGTAGTAACGCTTTTGAATGCATGAAAATTCACATACTCAGCACCACAAAAATCCATGAGCAGCAGAACCACCCATTCAGAAAGGTATCTTAAGCACTGATCTTCTGGGAGCCCATGCCTACACTATTTGTAGAAGAGAAAGCTTGCAGTCACTGATGTCTCTGTTCTTTCTCTACTTTCACATTAGATCCCTCGTCAATTCTTGTGTCTATAATACTGGACAACTATTCTATGTCCAACTGAAAAAAGAAGTTGCTTCTTTTTCTCAAGGATTGCTTGAACCTTTCCATTTTTCTTTACCACTTAATGCCTCGTCTTTCACTGTCAGGTGCCCATCTCCTTCCCTTTCCAGTCCTATTGACCTTCTATTACCCCAGCAGAGTGGTCTTTCTAAATTCCAAATCTGATCATGTCATGGTACTGCTTAATGACTATTTTGCAAGGATAAAATCCAAGCTGAAAATATTGGCTTGAATATTTCCATTCATAATAGGATCATATCCTAAATTATATGGCCCTATTTTTTGGCCATTTTTCATTGACCTTTTCTTTCAAGCGTTTTAGCCTCCATCCACAGTGGACTCTTCCTAACCTCAAATGGTTGTATGCATTCCTTCTTTGTAGCTTTGTATGTGTTTCTTATTCTCCCAGCATGTGCCCTGCCTTCCATCTCTACCTGCTGAATACCCTTTCAGCTTTCAAGACACAGTTTTACTTGCAGTTTTTTTTCTGTGAATTATTTTTATATTTTCCCAGAGTTAGTCTGACTTTGAGCCTCCTTAGAACTTTAAACTAAATAATGTATTATGTTTAAAGTGTATTAGAACAATGCCTATTGAAGTAGAATACATTCATTTTAAGTCTGACTGTAGTAGGTCCTTTAGGCTCTGTGCAGTGTTTCTAAGACTAATAGCCTATGGATGCCTGCGATTTCTGCTGCTGATTTAAAATCATGCCTTTAATAAATTTTAAAGTACAGAATTCTTCATGAGCTATATGTTACATTGATGTGGTGACTTTTTCTACTTTTATCTCTAATGAAAACAGTAAGGAGTTTAAAAGTTGTCTGTTTTAAGCCTCCTAATACCACTTGGAATAAAATTAACACCCACAATCATATATTACAATTTATGCATTTTATTTGTCTGCAGACTTCCAACCACCTGAAATTTTGTTCATAACCCATCCAATTTAAATCACTTGGCAATGCTAATGAACCCCACCTGGGAAATACGAAAGAGCCATAGATACCCATTAATAGTTGCAATCTCAGCCAAGCCTGACCACCTCTGCACATTAAACAGCACTCTTTGAAAATGACTTCTGACATATGCAGCTGTTTGAAATCTTATAAGCCGTTTTGCATGAAAAAATTTCAGAAACTTAGATTTTCTATGTTATTTTATGTTTTTGTTACGATTACCTTTTAAAAAATAGACAAATGAAGATCAAAGTGAAATGGTTTAAAAATGTTTGAAGAGGCACAAAACTTTTAAGATCAAAGTCAGCAAGATATTACTGAAGAGGTCAAATATATTAAATGGAGATGTGGAGAAAAATGTTAAAATACTTAATAAGACATTCAAAGATTTTAAGAATAAAATCATTGAAAATTGTAAGAAAAATGTAACATACACACCTAAATGTATTTCCTTCTGATACATATAAATTTGGATCCTTACTTCTGATACCAAAGAGAATTCAGATAGTGAGAGTTTAGATAGTAGGGGATAAAATTTCCTCTAAGAGAATACATGAAAAAATACATTGAACACTAACAGATTAGTGAATTTTGTGTAAGAGATTTTATACTTTTATTAGCATTGTGCATGTCTATACTTATTTTTTAGAAAAATTCCTTATGCAACAATAGTTCCAATTATTTTAGGACCACCTTATGTATAGCCATTGGGAACATGTCTCTGAAGACCATTTTATTTTATTTTTTGAAATGTTTTAAAATTTTCCATTAAATAATATTGATTTCATTTGTAATTACATGGACAATTTGTCTCAAATTTTCAGCATCTTGTTTTTACCAAAGAGAAGGGGAAAAATAAAAAGTATTAGGCTGAGCACACAGTACTAGAGGAGAAGTTTAAAAAACTTGAATTCAATCATTCTACTCTCAGATAATGATCTTCAAATTCTCCACATTCTTGCCCAAGTACTTCTACAACATTCTTGAACTTCATTAAAGACCCATAGCTTCTTGCCCTGATTTTTATTTATTTATTTGTTTGTTTGTTTATTTATTTATTTTAGGAAAGGAGTCCCACTATGTTGCCCAGGCTGGCTTCAAAACTCCTAAGCTCAAGAGATTCTCTTGCCTCAGCCTTCTGAGTAGCTGGGACTGCAGACACCTGCCCACTCGTACAGTTTTTCTGAGCTCATTATTTTCTAACTTCTTATATACTTTTCCTTTTGAACTGATCCGGGTCTTGTGCTTCATTTATTATAATTAATCTCTGGCAAATGCTCTCAGCTTTTTCTCGTATTTTCTTTTCTTAATTCTCTGAGAGTAAAACTCATATCTGGATGATTCCAACTAGCTGCCTTCTCTCTACTTTAATCTAAACATCTGAACCGTGGTATAGACAAGTTATACCACCTGGCAAATTGCTGCAACTTCAAATCACTGTCACCACTGCCAGAATTCACTTAGAATTCTCTGTCAATTCTAGCTTGTTCCCTAATAAGCTTATTTTCTGAAGTAATCATTTCTCCTCTCTGATGAAAACTTCAACATCTGTCTTCTTCCCAATTCATTCTCCATTGATGATTCACCTCATTTTTGATTGAAACAAATAGAAGATATGTCTTGGAAGAGTCTTTTCTTCCCACAAAATAGCTCTATCAACTAGAAGCAGGTTTGGATCCAAGTTAATGGTGACTAAAAATAACAGTGGCTTAAAATAAGTTGGAAATATTTAAATTTACATTCTTTCAGGTCTGAAACCAGGCAGTCCAGGGCTGATAAAAGCACATTGCTTTACAGGTGCATAGGCCTTCATTTTGTTCTAATCTATTCTTGACCCTTTCTTAGCCTCCACTCCCAAAGGCACTTTATGGACTAAGATGGCACCTTCATTCCCAGCCACCATGTTTGCATCTAGCCAGAAAGAAAGTATAAAGGACAAAGTAAAAGTGACATGTGGCATGTGCCAGATGTCTTATAAGGAAGACTCGGCTTTCGTATCAATGCTCAGAACTTAATCACATGGACAAAATTAGCTGGCAGAGAAGCTGAAGAATCTAACAATTATTGTTGGCAATCATGTACCCAGCCAATAAATCAATAAATAAGGATTATATTACTACAGAAATCTAACTGGAAGTTTGCCAGTTTTATTACTCTTTTCCAAGAACAACTACCTTTTGGTTTGGGTGATATAGATGTAGTTGTTGCTTTTAATTTTGTCATCTTCATTATTTATTCCATAGATTCTCAGGTTTTAGGTTTTTGATCTTTTACAACCTTCTACATTCAAATATTGAAATATTTAATTCTCAAGCTTTCTATTCTTCTAATGTAAACAATGATAGCTATATATTACCTTGAAAATACTGCTTTCACTGCACCCCACTATTTTTTTGTGTATGCTTATTTATTTATTTTAATTTGTAAAAATGTCGGGAATTCAACTGCAATTTTGTTACATGGACATATTGCATAGTGGTGAGGTCTGGGCTTTTAGTGTAACCATGATCCAAATATTGTATATTTTGTTCACTATCTAATTTCTCACCTCTCATCCATCTCCCACCCTCCTACCTCCCCATCATTTTGAGACATCAGTGTCTATTATCTCACACTCTATGTCCATGTGTACACATTATTTAGCTCCTGCATATAAGAGAGAACTTGCAATGTTTGACTTTCTGTTTCTGAGTTTCACTTAAAATAATGGTCTCCAGTTCTATTCATGTTCCTGCAAAATACATACTTTCATTCCTTTTTTATAGCTAAACCCACACACACCATATTTTCTTTACTCATTCATCAGTTGGTGGCACTTAGGCTTATTCCATATCTTTGCTATTATGAATATCACTGTGATCAACATACAAGTGCAGGTATCTTTTTGATAGAATGGTTTATTTTCCTTTGGGTAGACACCCAGTAGTGGGATTGCTGGATTGAGTGGTAGTTCCATTTTTAAGTCTTTGAGAAATCTCCATACTGTTTTCCATAGAGGTTGTACTAATTTACTTATCTCCTATTAGTGTATAAATATTTCATTTTCTCTACATCTTTGCCAACATGTTATTTTTGACTTTTTAATAATCATTCTGACTGGTGCAAAATGATATCTCATTGTGATTTTAATTTGCATGTATGTGATCATTTGTGATGTTGAGCATTTTTTTTCATATGCTTGTTGGCCATTTGTATGTCTTCTTTTAAAAAATATTTATTCATGCCCTTTGTCCACTTTTTAACATGGTAATTTTTGTTTCTGTTTTTGAATTGTTTGAATTCCTTGTAAATTCTCTTTTCTTTTACACTCTTTTTTAAGTGGGCAGCTATTTCTTCCGTAATCTTACACATTTCTCTTCCTAATTAATTTCTTCATTTTACGACATTCTGTGGTATTGCTTTAAATATAATCCTGTTATAGTAACTTTTCCAAAAATACAAATACATTATTCTTATTTTAGTAGTTCATTTTTTCTTTTAAAATTGTCCTCAAACCTTTGATAATTTTCCCAATGTTGTCTGGCTTTCACTGTTTGGTAGAAAGTCCAAGTTCAATTGTATTGGGATTTTTCTTTATAATATACTTTTTGTGTTTGATGTTCTGTAGTCTACAAAGACATCTTTTTCCCACCCTGCTTAGTGTATCTTGTTCTTTCTCTCTCTATGGATTTATGCCCCTCACCATTCTAGAGTATACCCAGTCATATTCTCTTCAAAGCTCAGGTCTCTTCCATTTTTGCTAATCTCATTTCTAAATGTCTAATTAGATTTATATTAGAATATTGTACTTTATCTTTTATATTGATTTACTTTCTTTTTTCTTAATAATTTTCTTCTCCTTGCCCTCTGCATTGCATTCTGAATACTTTCTTTGGATTTACTTTCTGTTTCACTACATTTTTCCTCAGCTTTATCTAATCTGTTAAACTTATCTATTGATATTCTAATTTCAATATTTATGTCTTATGTTTCTAAAATTCTCTATGATTCATTTTTATATCTCCTTGGAAATTTTTACACTCACTACTTTCCTAATCACTTTTCTTTAGTTTGATCTTTTATTTTTAATAAAATGTTTTCTACATAATTACTCTTATTATTTATCTTACATTCTAATATCTGAAGTGTTTTTGAGAATCTAAATTGGCTAGGGATGTCTGTTTGTTTTATTTCTCTGACCCTAATAGTTTCATATTCTTTTAAATGCTTGGTCATATTTGATTATAAATGCACACATTTTCATCTTAATTTGTGGGAATTCTGATGGCTTATTTAGGTATTCTTTATTCCAGAGAAAATTTGCATTTCCTTTTGCATGATTCCAAGGGTATTATTTTCCTGAGATGGTTTTGGTCCTTTAAAAGAGGCTAATTATAGGATTCTCTGGCTTACTGTCACTACTTTAACTTAAGTTCAAGGTTGAATCTTTAAGCTGATGTTAGCATTTGCTTCAGACCCCCACATTTTACAGCTTGCTAGTAATTGTGGCTTGGTTTGCGTTTGTTTTCCACTTAGAGAGGATGTTCCATAGATATGGTATTTCCTTCTTGGTAGCCCAGTAATTCATTACAATGATGTTTAACATGGAATCTAGTTATATTATGTTAGGATTCTCTTCAAATTCCCACCCTATTATATTTTCAGGCAACTTCTTCCCATAATGTATTTGTTGTCTTTATTGTGATTGATTGCTTTCTTTCATGGTTCTTTTCCTATTTGGGAAGGCTTACGGTTTTAGCATCTACAAATATTCAACAATTACTTAAAATATAGTATACAGAGCATAAATAACCTTTTACTGTCTCCAATATACTATACTATACTGGTTGTTTATTCTTTAAGTTGTAAATAAAAATTTCAAACACAGCAGTTGTTCATTAATATTCACTGACAGTAAGAATAAAGTGTGAATCTTCACATGTCTAAAAGAAATTTTTCCTCATTTTGGAAATTAAATTTAAAAAACTAATTTAATGAGAAGGCACTTTGGGCAGCCAAACTTTCATATAAATATGTTTTGTAAATCATATGTTTCATAACAAATTTTGGTTCACTTTTTAGATTACAGTTTATATATCAAAATGTTTACTAATATGAAATGTGAGTGTATATGAGTATGCATGTATGAAATTCTGAACTATGTATTCACCTCATTTAATTTCCACTCCAAATTTGTATATACATATTAATGATGCCATTTTATAGATGAGGATATCTCTGATCAGAGAATTTAAGTAACTTGTTTAAACTCAAACACATGCTCTGCCTAATCTTATTTTTCCGTTCCCAGTTGAGTCGACTTCTCATTGAATCATTACAAAGCGCATTTTTTTCACTTCATAAAATATTTTTGCCTGATATCACCAATCAAACTGGATCATTAAATTTCACTTCCCTATATTATCTGTTTTGTCTGTATTGTTTGGCTTATTTATAATTTTGGAGACAAACGTACATAAAAATAACAAAATTATATAAAGTCATTTTTAATATTTTTGTGAGTCAATCTGTCAAATGAAGTACAGCATAATAGTACTGTTACTGACAGAAAATTAATCATCATTTTTTATATTTGTTCACATCTGTGTCAAGTGGGATTTTACAAAATAATTTAAATTGGGCATTGTTTTGGTAAATTACCGAAGTACCATCCAATATTAGATATCAAGATTGGATAACAAGACTCTTTTTGATAAAAGTTAATTTAAATTATCTCACAAACTATTTTCATCTAAATATCTCAAATAGCAAATATCTCAAATATTTCAAATAGCAAGTTATAATGTATTTTCTTTCTTTCCCTAAGGAGCAAGTGGAATTAATTGGTCTATCCAATAAAAGTGAAAAGGAAATGTTTTTATTTCCCATGTATTATAATTAATTCATATGACTATAAACAGTATATTTTAGAAAAATTTAAATGATACAAGCATTATAAGAGTATGAAAATGAAGTTACATAGAAATCTTAGTTTAAAGATGAAAAAATATTTGAAAAGTCAATATTGTATTAAGAAACACATATATGTTACATGGCTATATTGGAAATTATTATATCCATTTTATTTTCTTCACTTAAATTCTTAACCTTTGCTTCTGATAAAATTAAAGTAACAGTGATGTGATTTGCCCTCACATCTGAAAAATTCCTTCCCTGCCAAAAAAATCAGACAAAAGGCATGAAGTGACATTTTTAAGACACTAGAGATGGCTGGGCGCGGTGGCTCACGCCTGTAATCCTAGCACTTTGGAAGGCCGAGGTGGGTGGATCACCTGAGGTTGGGAGTTTGAGACCAGCCTGACCAACATGGAGAAACTCCATCTCTACTAAAAATACAAAATTAGCTGGGCATGGTGGCACATGCTTGTAATCCCAGCTACTCAGGAGGCTGAGGCAGGAGAATCGCTTGAACCCGGGAGGTGGAGGTTGTGGTGAGCCGATATCGCACCATTGCACTCCAGCCTGGGCAACAAGAGCGAAACTCCGTCTAAAAAAAGCAAAAACAAAAAAGACACCAGACATCAGGCAACAGATGACAGAGACCTTTTAAAGGCAAGAAAAAAATGAAGCAAGTGCTATAGCTTTGACAGAGTTTCTAGGCTGTAGTCATAGAAAGATAACTGAAGCAGAGGCTAAATAATTGTATGAGTTTAGAAGATAGAGCTGAGAGTCCAGAGAAACGAAGCCACTGTAGTTCATAGGACAGATGATATGGTTTGGCTGTCTCACCACTTAAATCTCATCTTGAATTGCAGCTCCCATAATCCCCACATGTCATAGGGGGACCCAGTGCAAGGCAATTTTGAATCATGCTAGGGGGGTGGGGGGTTGCCTATGCTCTTCTCATGATAGTGAATAGGTCTCATGAGGTCTGATGGTTTTATAAAGGGCAGCTCCCCTGCGCACACCGTCTTGCCTGCCACCATGTAAGACCTGCCTTTGCTCTTCCTTCACCTTCCGCAATGATTGTGAGGCCTCCCCAGCCATGTGGATCTGAGTCCATTAAACCTCTTTTTTAACATAAATTATTCAGTCTCAGGTATGTCCTTATAGTAGTGTGAGAACAGACTAATATAACAGATCACCAGAAAAGAGAGAGTTGCACAGAGAGAGAGAACACTGGAGATATGCAGATGGTTCACCTTGAGTTTTCTGAAAGTTATTCATCAGAGCAAACATCAGAGGAAACTACTCCCATCTTGGAAGAGAACTTTCAAAATGGACAGAGGAAATACTGGCCATTCCTCCAATAGGGGTGGTATCAATGCTTATTCCTATGAACCAGACTAGTGAAACTCATAATACGTAGGGCATTGAGTAGAGAACTCAGGAAGCTCTTGCTCAAGTAGTGTAGAATAATTAGCCAGAGACTCAGCCCCATTCCAGAACTACCTAAAAGTCATAGAAGCAGGGCATGAAAAAAAGCAAAATGTTTCCAAGTAACTAACTACATGCCAAAACAAAGCTCAAAAACTTACAGGAATGAAAATGTACCTAGCACTCAATAAGGTAAAATCCACAGTGTTTGACATATAATCAAGTATGACTCAAGGCAGGAAGACACAACACAAAATGGCAAGAATTAGTCAATAAACACTGACATGGACTTTAGATTAACAGAAAATGACACTGAAATAGCTATTATAACTGCATTACATATGTTTAAATAAATAGGTAAATAGAGACATAGAAAATATAGATAAGATCCAATCAAACTTCCAGAAAAAAAACTATAATGACTCAGGGATAAACATGCTAAATGGAGTTAATGGCAGATTAGACATGACAGAATAAAAACTTACTAAACTTGAAGAGAGCAGTAGAAACTATTCAAAATGAAACAGAAAAAAAAAGTTTTTATTTTGAGCAACTAGAGGATAGATTTTCTCTTACCTGAGATGGGAATAAAGGAGTGTAGCATGGTGGGTTTTTTTTTTTCTTCAGATATGTTTAGTTTTGAAAGCCATTAGATGTGTAAGTAGAGATATTACACAGGAAGTTATAAAATTATATATGATCTAGTGTCTTGCAGAGAGGTCTCAGATGAAAATATTAATTTGGATATTGTCAGCATATAGGTGGTGTCTCCTTAGGGCTGGATTCAGACAGAAAACATAAAATTCCTGAACTGGGAACACTGAAATATTAAGAGTTTGGTGAGAAGGAGCACAGACAGCAAAAGAAAATGAAAAGAAATTTTGGAGGGGTAGAAAAATCAAGAGTGTGATGTTTTGAAAGCTAGGTGTATACAGAAAAGTTATCAAGGATAAGGGTGAACACTCATCTTGGTTAAATGGTACAGAATGGTCTAATATAAGAAGACTGAAAGTGACCATTAGATTTAGCCAAGTGAACGTCATTGGCATACTTGACAAGAGTAGTTTCTGAAAAGTGGAAAAGTCAAAGCCAGATAAGTAAATTTAAGAGAGAAGGATTGACAAAGAAATTGGATATTGACAGGATAAAGATGCTTCAAAGTTTTGTTTCATAGAAGTCTGAGTAAATGGGACAGCCCATAGTTGGAAAATAAAAGAGAAGACTTTTTTAAAAAATGAGAAAAACTTCACCATGTTTATATGCTAATATAAGTGTGTTCAGCTACATGGAATCAGGGGCAGAGTGGATGGTAGTTTGGATTTAACCAGGCTGTGCCCTGCAAGGAAGGGAGTGTGCAAAAATGATAAGGGATAAGAGTGACATCCGTTACTTATTTATGGAATTATATTTTTTCTTTTTTATACTTCCCCATTTTTCAATTGTCAATCTACCAGAGTTGTTATAAATTAGAACTTTTTGTGAGAAAGTTCTGAGTTTAAATCTATTCCCATTGCAAATGGGTGTAATACTGGGTAAATTAATTAGCCTCCCTGTTCCTCAGACTCCTCCTCCATAAAATACTCTTAATAACATTATCTATTTCATATGATTATTAGGGAATTAAATGAAGCAATGTATATAAAACATAATGCAGTGTCTTGAACACAGCACATAGTAAAATCACAATTACTGCTGACAATTTTATAGTTATTATATTTATGGTCCATTACTCATTTTTGATATAATTGTATTCTTCTTAATAATTTAAATGATGTAATTGTAAATTAAGAATTGGTCTTTTGCCTACCATTTGTGTTTTTGGTATTTCTCCCAAGTTTGTTTTAAATTTTTGTATTACCCTACTTTGAATGTATTCAAGTTTTATGTCATTAAACCTACTGATGTTAATTTGATGTCCTTCTGCTGCTTTTAAACTTAGAAACAGTTGTCTCATAGAAGAATCAAACTAATTATCACATAAATATTTCTTTGTAACCCCTTCTCTATTTAACTATTTAATCAATTTGGGAATTTTTCATGGTGACCAATATCTATGATAGGCCATCTATCTTCAGTTTTCTGTGACCTACACCAGTGGTCTCCAACATTTTTGGCCCCAGGGGCCAATTTTGTGGAAGACAGTTTTTCCACAGATGTTGGGTGGTGGATGCTTTTGGGATGAAACTGTTCCATCTTAGATCATCAGGCATTAGATTGTCATAAGGAGCACAGAGCCTAGATCCCTCACACACGCAGTTCACAATAGGGTTCGAGCTGCAGAATCTAATGCTGCAGCTTATCTGACAGGAGGCAGAGCACAGGCATAATGATTTCCTGCTGGCCACTCACCTCCTGCTGTGCGGCCTGGTTCCTAATAGTCCAGGGAACTGTAATGTTCCTGGCCCAGGGGTTGGGGACCCCTGACCTACACAACCTCTTTTTCTTGAATTCATGAGAAAGCACATTGTGTTAATTCATTCACTTGACATGTTTTTATTGAGCACATACTAGATATTGGGTAACATGCAAGATCCTAGAGATAGACTGGCAAATGAGACAGACATCACCTTTTCCTTCATGTAGTTTAACAAGAAAAACTAAAACTAACTAACAGTGTTAAAATTGTGATTGGAATGGCATGAAGGGATCAAAAGAGAATAGATGAATATGGAAAATATAACAGGAGAAAACTACTTCTTAAAATTTGGTCAAAATCTTATTCTAAAAGATGATGCTGATGAAAACACTGGAAGCATGAGAAGAAACTTTACAGTGACAATAGCCATCAATTCCTCCCAGAATAGCAGGTAAAAAGTTGGAATGGGACAGAGTTATTCAAGAAAAACAAAGAAACTATAATGACTAGAGCAGGGTAAGAGGGGACATGATATAGTTAGAGTCAGGGGACAGATCTTGCACAACATAGATCATAAGAAGTAATTATAATAACACTGCATAATAAATGCTTAACAAATAAATGAGCAGTTAAAATGTACTACTGTGCTCTTGAAATTTGCATCACATAACCAAATTGGTTTTTATGAATTGCTGTTGAAGCCTGGCTGGCTTGTTGGAAATCATTTTTATATTAAATAAAAATGAAGTTTTGATTTTTATAACCATTCCATTTGAAATTAATGTTTCCCAGAGGTACTGCTATTACTGTTATGACGGCAGAAAGCGTCTTTCAAATCTAATACTATACATTCTGTGTAATATAAAAAATAGATTTTGAAGACTATAAATGACTCTGATCAAGATATAAGCTGGACAGAATTCTCATATATCTTTCTTTAGCAATTCACTACTTCCAGAAATAAGAGTTACAGAACAATGAAAGGTGGTTTCATTTAGAATGATAAAGGACCTGTGTGAAAGAGATCCTTTATATAATTGTTCAGTTTTGCTCAAGAAAACATTCTTTCAGAGATGCTGACTTTTCAGAATTCATAAAAGATATTGAATGTTATAAATTACTTTTATTTATAGGATTTTACTTGTCTTAAATCTACTACTACTAACATCATTTATTGGATGAATACCATGTGCTGGACAGTGCATATAAGAACTTTTTCAGTATTATCTCCTTTATTTATCATAATAACCCTATGAGAGGTATATTATCACTTTTTTTCAAGAAAGGACACCAAAATTCAGATGAATTAAGTTACTCTCCCACATTTTTAAAGCTAGTAAATATTAAAGTTGGGATTTAAACCCAATTTGATAATAATAGCTACAGTTTAATCTTTCCATTAGAATCCCTTTATATACAACTTTTAATTTTTCTTCCTTACTCCAGCTTTGGTGATCTTTGATTCATTTTAAATAATCATGTAAGAGCACTATTATTTGGTGTGTTAACAAAATGGTGACTTTTGCTTTCTAAAATCTTTATGACAAAACATTAAGTTGCAGAAAGTTTTTTTAATGTTGTCCGTTTATATTAAATTAACAGTAAATGTAAGCAGTCATTTTAATCATGTTGTTACTGTAAGAGCCTTTTAAGGAAGATTGTATATTAGGTTTTTTTACTCTGCCCTCATCACTCTGACCTTGTGGTGGATGGTGAGGAACAGTGTTCAGAAAAAGACCCCTCAAGGCAAAGAACATCTAGACTAAGAACTGAATGATGAGAAGGTGTTGGGCAGGAAACAAAAAGATTCTTCAGAAACATGGTATGTCAAGCATATGAGTGGAAAGGAGTCACAGGAGTACCATGCAGGTGAAGTATAAATTGTTGACCTGATGGAATTTTATGTTGAAGAGATAAGGGTCAAGTCAGAGAATCTTGGAAGCTAACATGAGAAGTGTGGACTTCACTCTAATTACTTTGGAGAGACAGTAAAGACTTACTCATGGTAATAATATTTCCAGAGTTTCATTTTATAATCACCCTGACTACAGTGGGGGTAATGGAAAGAAGGAAAAAAAAAAAAAGGACAACTAGGGATATTGTTGCAGTGATCCTAGCAACAAATGAAGTTATCTCAACTAGGTGCAGGAAATGTGGGCATACATAGATTTGAAAGCCATTTAGGAGGATTGAATGAATAAAACCCAGTGACCAATTAGATGTAAGCCATAAAGGAAGAAACAAGATTTTAAGATTATGTCTATGTTTCTGGCTTCAGAAACAGGATGAATAACATAGGGCACCCCTAACTAAACAAGAGAGCACAGGCAGACACATATTTGGTTGGAGTGGGGAGGGGAAAATAACCAGTTTGTCCTTCCTGAATTTGAGATAGCTCTCTCAGATCTGAAGATCCTTACAGTGATCCGAGGTAGTCCTAAAGACTTGGGAATAATCAGAAAATCAGTGATTCATGAAGCATTGGGGTGGATGTCTCTGAGAGAGTCAAGGGAATTCTTAGGTGCTAACATGGAAGAACACTGGCATTTATAAAAAGAACATAAATATTGATGTCTCCAAATAATATGAAATAGAAGAACTGATCAGGGTCACTATGTTTGTTAAAAATTTACTATTAATAAGAAACCTTAAAAATATTAACGTTATGTCACTTCCCAAGCATTCCTGAGTTGACCTTTGTTGCTAGGTTAATGGACTGGTTCTTGAGTTATAATATTCCAATATGTTCATCTCGTTAATCTCAGGAAGACATGCTGAAAATGGGGAATGTGAATGTTGAGTTCAACCCCAACGAATTTAAATGTAAAGTAAGTTTAGGACAAAGGTCCAATTCGTCCGAAATTAAAAATTGGTTTGGATCCCTGGTTTGGATCAAGTTCTTGTATTTTGACCTCATTTGAATTGAAGGCTCAAGATACCTAAAGAGCAAGTCTATTTAGTAAAAAATAATTCAAAGAAAAATGTTGTACTGTACAGGTGTTGTGGAGATGTATGATTTAAAACTTTGAAAACTTGAGAGCACAAACACTACTTTATTTTCTCTCTTCAGATATGATATTATTATAGTTTTAGAAATTAAGAGAAAATAGTGTTCTGGTTCTCACTTTATATTCATTAATTCATTTATTTACCCACATTTTTTTAAAAAAGGAACAGTGCATGATTTTCAGCTGTATTTGATATACATAAACAATGTATATTTATGGATATTTATTTATTTTAATTCTCTTGCAAAGCAATGAATAATTACATGATTTTTTTAGATACTATTTAATAGTACCAATAATTCTTCCTCTCTTCCATTAGTACAAGTAATCAACAAATGATTATACTCATGAAATTTCCAGCAATGTATGTTTTAAGTCAATAACCTTATAGTAGAACAAGTAAATACCATGCTTCTGAGAATTCTGATCATTCTGTTGTAGGATGTTTCCTTAGTTCAGCTAGACGGGATCCTTGTCCATCCCACGGCCACAAAAATTTAAGCTCACAGAAGATTTAAAGGGTGAGTAAAGCCAGGTTTTATTGGGGGAAAAGGAAAAAAGGGAGAAACAGGGACTTTTTAGGTCAGAGTCACTGTTAGAGTGTTTCCCACCCTCAGCTTGAATCCCAGGTTCCCACACAGGAAGAGAAGGGGTTAGGCTCCTCCCTGCTGCAAAAGTCCTCAACTTCCTGAGGCTCCACCTCCTTGGGCAGGCTGGTTGGAGTTGCTCCAGGAAACCCCTCCCACCTGGCTGTCTGAACTCTTTGGCTCTCTCCAAGTCATCTATTTTACAACGATTGAAAATATAAGTAAAGAAAATAATTGGAGGATTGCATGACATTTTCAACTGTATTTTTCTGAAATGACAGAAATTTTAGTCTGTAATTACAAGCCATTGCTAGAATTTTATTTTGATCCAGTCTCATTTTTATAAATCTTGCTAGCCTGAGGTACAGATCCATCTTTATGGCTGAATATAACCACAAATCTTACCGTGATGGAAAACTGTTAGGAATAAAAAGTGTCATGTTTTATTTGTGCACTAGATTTCATTCTTTTAAAGGTCCCACATTCTGTTGGTTTGTTGAGCAGGAGTACAGAATAAAATGTGACATGTTTAGGTGTGATCATTCATTTTGCTCTCTATCTCGAATCTACTAACACCTTGAACACTGGTTATTTTGCCTTTGTCAAGTAACTGTAGGCTATAAAAAAAAGTCCCACTCAGGTGTTAAACAAATGGAATAAAGAAAAGTCCTGTTACTGGAGATTTAGTGTATATATGCTACAGCATGCCTTTAATTACATCATTGAATCATTGGATCCACTCTTCTAGGTAGGAATAATTGTGCCCATTTTACAGATCAGGAAACTGAGGCCCAGGCAGTTTATATAATAGCTTAAAATATCATTGCTGTTAAAGGGTAGAAGGAGAAGTCAAAACCTCTCAGCTTCTAAGACCACATTACTCCAATTTTCTTTTAGTTTGAAATTTTATGGGTAATGTTTGTGCATGGTATTTCAGAAGCATTTTATAATAATTATAATAATAATCAGTACATACATGATGCTTATTATGTGGCAAGCACGAATTCAGTACTTTACATAAATTAACTCACAACAACCCTATGGAGTAGATCCCATTATGATTTCCTTTTATAGTTAAGGAAGAGAGTTTAAATAATCTGCCAAAAGCCATCTAGCTAAAAATTTCAGAATTGAAATTCAATCTCATTGAATTATTTTAGGGGCATGAACCCCTTTAAGAGTAAATTTGGATACAGTAATTTGAAAACAATTCCATGAGTTTCTGAATTACTGAACTTGACCAAGAACTGTATCCTTACAGGAGTTCATCAGTCCTGAGGTTGGAAGATAAACCTTAAACTAAATTTTAAAAAGCTATACATAAATCCAATGCAGAATATAAAGTGAATTATAACATTTATTATAAATAACTATAAAGAAGAAATGCAGTAGAGAAAGGAAGCAAAGAAATGGCAATCAAAAACTACAACTGATGGAATCAGCTTGCAGCACTAATGGAGAGTATTATTTCCTTTTACGTTAAATATATTTTTGTTTAAGCAAAATTCTATGATAGCCCTAATTTGGCTTTAAAAAAGTGGGGTCAGAGGAGATTAGGAGAAAAGTAGTTCCTCCTCTCACCCTGAACCAAGAAGACAATCATCTGCAGATAAAAGAAGGGTTTTGGGTGTCCAACTGAGTGGGTGAAGAGACATTAGTTTATCTGAATTATAAAGGAAAAATATTCTCAGGCTGGAAGACTTAGACCATCTCAACTGACATCTGTGTTTTCACTGGAAGCTGTAATATGGATGGACTTTCTAATTCAGAGGCAACATATCTTGTCAGAAGTCTCCATCTGATTGAACATTAGTGACAGCAAGCCAAAGAGTAGTTTGGATAATGTAAAGGAGTAGTTTTTTTCCTTGTCACATGTATTTAAGGATTTAACTGTTAAATTTCTCTTTAATCATGATGCGTGATCTTGGATTCCTTACAATCCCCATCAGGCCAGAGAACATTCATTCTACACATACCATGAATAATATAGCATTTCTGAATAAGATGTCAGAACAAGACCTTTAACAGTCAAGCAATTTTGAACTTGAATAACTTGGAGAAGTTTTATGATTGTTAAAAGTTGAAATATAACACTGTACAATAAAATTTTGATTTTCATATGTAAAAATATTGATTTTTCAAGATTCATTCTGCTATTTGCGATAGATTCGTTTGTACTGCTTATGTTTTAAATCATGCATGTAGTTGTTGATAGTTTTTAAGCATATTTATAAAGTATATGTTTTTAAATTTAAAAAAAAATTTTCAATATCAGAGATATAATGATTAATTAGCTAGTCGTTTATTATGCTCAATACCCAAATATATACCAAGAGTATAATGGATGAAATAATTGTGGCAGAGTCACATAATGGAACATGATACAGCTGTGTACAGATTGAGAATAAACAAAATCACATGTAACGCTGTAGATAAATATGTATGATTTCATTAGTTAAAATTTGATAAAACTAATCTGTATGTTTAAATTAATTAACACATGGGGTTATAAACTAGAGGGAGTTATGAGGGAGTTTTCTTGGTTGATAATAATGTTCTCTTTGGTTGGCTGATGGTTACATAGGTGTGTTCAATTTGTGAAAGTTCATTTAGTTGTACACTTCTGATTTATGCTTTTCTGTGTGTGTATTCTATATAAAATAGTTTATATTTACTTTAGAAAATATATGTTAATATAAACACATGTATATATTTATACACACATATTAAATACAACATCTTGAATGTCTGTATCTTGTTTAAAAAATAGTCTACAAATGATAACTGATGAGTTTTGAGAAATAGGCTTGCCAATAAGTAAGTACTAAATGCTCACCAAAGGTATAATTACTGATGGACTATTTTATTTTTGTAAATATTCTATACCTAAGTAATAGTTATTTTTTTCTCCAAAGTGCTTCAGAAGAATTGTTAATTTTTTAACTGTGATTACTTCCAGTTCTATTTGTTATTCTAGAAATGAAAACAATATGTACAGATATACTTTTAGTTGAAGAGACATTGATAATTTATGCCTTGAGAGTTGATAACAAAAGATATCTCCAAACTAGTTACCCGTGATTACCAATAATTTATTAAGATGTAGTCTAATTTCATTATTTTAGACTATTTTTCTAAAGCCTTTTTGAAAAAATATGTCATTATGTAGTATGTATTTTAAAAGCTCCATAAATCGTCTTTTTGGTATAAAATAAATTAAAAATAAACAAATCTATAGAGTTCTGCAATTACATGGTTACAAGTGAGAATTTTTCTCAATTTGTTTCTGAGATCTTTAAGGTCTAGGAAAGTTTCTTCATCATTTTGTAATCACCTCCCATACGTAAAATAAGACTCTGTTTTTGAGAGATTTCAATAAATAATTGACAGTGAGTGGATGAATGCTGTTGGACCTTCCATTTTGCTTGTAGGTTTTTATCCTGATAGAATTCAATGGCCCATGCTTGTATTATTCATGTTCTATGGCGATTGGATGGGAAGGACTGAATGAAGTTACAAAGGAAATACAGAACAGAAAGAATACCTGACCTAAAGATGCTGACTCCCCATTTGGTGCTGAATAAATAGTTTTCGTTCTGGATTTACTTTAATTTTACTATCAAGTCATTTTCATTTTGGCAACTTTCTCAGGTTTGGCTGAGGAAATATGTCTAGACTTTATTTTGTAATCTCAATACTACTTCATTTCATACCATCGATGATAAAAATGAGCCTAGTTTGGGTTTTGTTTCTAGTCCTTTCTGTCCATCAGCAAAAATCTGTAGATTGGAGAAACCAAAAAGAAATTTAACCTATATGTCCAGATAATCCAGGGAAATAAAAAATAAAATAGCCATACACTTACGCACAGTTTACAATTTTTCAGTATATTTTAGGACAAAAATATATTTCTGGCATGAAAAAATAATCGCCTAAATATAACAGTCTCTTCACTATCCTAATAAGTACCAAGCACTTTAAAAGTATGTAAATTTAAAAATTAATTTGCTTTTAGATATTATTATAAGGTTTTTCTGAGTCGAACTGTCTCCCTTAAAAAGATATGCTGAAGTCCAACTCTCTACCCACAGTGGCCACCAAAGAAAGTCCTTATAAAGTGACCATATTTGGAAAAGGGGATGATTGTATATGTAATAAGTTAAGATGAGGTCATACTGGAGTAGATCGTGACCTTAATCTAAAAGACAAGTACCTTGTAAGAAAAGGAGAGAGAGACACATAGAGAACACCGTGGGAAGAAGCAGGTGCAGAGGTAAGGCAGTGATGGGAAGAGAGAGGCAGAGCTTGGCGTTATGTTACCACAATGCAGTATCTAAGACTTACTGGAAGCTGAAAGAGGCACAGAAAGATTCTCTCCTAGAAGGTTTGGAGGGAGCATGGCCCCATCAACACCTTGGATTTCAGGTTAACTAGCATTCAGAATTGCAAGAGAATAAGCCATTCAGTGTATGATACTTTGTTATGGCAGTCCTAAGAAACTCTTGCAAACAACATGTTAAAAAACATCATCAATGATCTGAAGAAAACATTCCTGAGACATATGCCAAATACAACATGGTCAAGTTTGTAGGCTAGCAGTGGGAGTTCTGGTTAGTGGCATTATGGAGGACACTTCTGTGGTGGTTAAAAACTCACACTTGAGAATCATTTTTAATTTATTCTGATATTGATCCTTTGAGCTTCATCAATTTATATTACCCTTTAGAGCCTTATTTTTCTCATAATAAAAAGGAATCTAAATATTTGTACTGCATAGCTTCTGAAGATTAAATAAGTTTAATGTGAGAAATCCTTTAAAAGGGGCCTGGCAATTTGAAAATGCTTGACAAGGATTCAATACTCATTTCATTGTTTTTCTCTATTCCTCATTTTTTATGAACAATTGTATAACACTTTTGTAAAAGTAACAGTTATTGCCAAAATTATATAAAAAAGAATAATAAAGATTATTTAGAAAATTTCTAACATTTATCGAGAACTTACAATGTGCCAAACACCATGTTAAGTATCATGCATGCATTATCTCCTTTAGGCTTCAGGTGTATTATAAGATGTGTATTATTTCAAGTCACCTATTACATATAAGGCTTGTGAGGTTCAAAAATGTGAAATAAATTAACCAAAGACCTGAGGTTGGGAAATGACAGAATAAATCTAAGTCATTAAACCTTCTAAAGACATTTTGTTAATTACTATGTATATTACCTGTTGGATCCCTCATCAGTCCCTCTCCACTGCCAAATAACACAATCCGTATCAACTGATTATGCTCTGTGTGTTGTTAACAGTGTTGATGTAGTCAAATTTAGCTTGCCGTTCTTTTAAATTGTGAGATTCAAGCTAGAAAAGAGGAACTGTCTCACATCTCTATATTTGCCAGAAATCCTAATTTAGCACCTATGGTTTGAATCCCCTGCAGCCCTCATTCTTTTTATTAACTTCTTATATCATTTCATTGGCTTTGTGTAAGATACCAGCTTTTAGACAAGGCTGTGTACAAGCTGAAATGTTGACTGAATTTCATTTCATAGTCCAAATTAGAGAAGCATAAAATGATCTTCTCACACTGAATATCACAAACATCCCTTGTAAAGTTTAACTGTAATCTTTTATGCAATATTTTCATTTAACATAATCAGATATGAGCAGACTTCAATCTCCTTTTATTATGCCAATATGTAAGACTGTGATCCCAGGAGTTTAGAGGTAGTTTAAAAGCAAAAAATAATTTTACCAGTTATGTGGACATATTTCTCTTACTTAGCCACAAATATTATTAATTACTTTTTTTCTACCTTTTCTTTTCAGGTAATCCAATTTTATCTGTTCTTATTATGTCTCTTTGGCAATAAATGACCTGATAATTACAAAATGGCTTTCCAGCAAATGTGGAAGATTTGTTTTTCCTAGAGGAAGATTTTCATTCTAGGAGCGTGTGTCTGAAGAATTAGATGTTTTAGAACCTATTAGACTACTTCCTGATTTTTGTTTACATCACTTTTTTAGATGTTGCAGAAAATAGATAACTTCTTCATATCTTCTTTTTCTTAGTTAAAAATACTTATTGTTTTCTTTGTATAACAACTGTTAAGATGAATATACCAAAAAATGGCTGAAACACAAGAGAAATTTATTTCCTGTTCACATAAAAAGTTTACAAATGAGTGTTTCTGATCAATAAGTGGCTCTATACAAGATGATTTAGGGTCTAGGCCCTTTCACCTGTGACTCCACCATCTCCAATATATGGGTTTTGGGTTTGCAATATTAATCTTCATCAATTTGACAGCTGACACAACACTGTTGCAAGTTGCACATATAAGATGTTTATGGGTCAGTTCAGATAGTGATAGATACTGTTTTGCTTAAGTTGCATTGGCTAGCAATATGTCAAAATTGCCAAATCTGTGTGCAAGTAAGCTGAAAAATGTAGTCTAACAGTGTGCATGAAAAGAAAGGTAAAAAAGTTTGGTGACTAGCTTTGCCAATCACTCTCACTTCTTTTTTTTTTTTTTTTTTTTGAGATGGAGTTTCACTCTTCTTGCCCAGGCTGGAGTGCAATGGTGCAAACTTGGCGCACTGTAACCTCCGCCTCCTGGGTTCAAGCAATTCTCCTGCCTCAGCCTCCTGAGTAGCTAGGATTACAGGCATGCACCACCATGCCCGGCTAATTTTCTATTTTTAGTAGAGAGAGTGTTTCTCCACGTTGGTCAGGCTGGTCTCAAGCTCCCGACCTCAGGTGATCCACCTGCCTCGGCCTCCCAAAGTGCTGGGATTACAGGCGTGAGCCACCGCACCTGGCCCACTCTCACACTCTTGAACTCAAACTACAATGCAAATGGTCAACAGCAAAGGATTAGATGAAGATGATCTTTACTACTACACCTAGAGAAAGAACACTTATCCACACATAACAAGCCAATGAAATGGGAAATTTTCAGCAATCAAAACAGTCCAAGTGAGTCACATCCACATCTACTGCTAGCAAAAGCCATTTTAAGGGAGAATAGTTTTGTTTTCTTTCTTTTTTCTTTTTTTTTTTCTTGAGAGGCTCTTGACTTGGGAGATAAAATAAAGGGTTGTGATGTAGAAAAAATCAGTCTGTTATTACCTTCTTTTATTTTTTCCCACACTTGAAAAGCAGTCTTTTTGCTTTAAAGTTGTGATACTGAGTGCTTATTTTGAATGACACATGTGAGTGGATCAGAAAAGCTGGAGAGAATGGTATGCTACACCCTGTAGTTACTCCTGGAGTATTCCATATACATCTATTTTCCTTTAAGAGTGAATTTAAGATTTATAAGTTGTTAAATAAAACATTTTTAAGACCTAACATAAGAGGGGACAGTATAATGCATTATTTTTAATACCATATTTATCACACAATTGTGGAGTCTTTAGAGGGAAAAATATTGAATAAGGTTTCTTCCTTGTAGCCTCTTAAATCATTCACCCACAGATACTCATATACATGCATTTCCACACATAAAGTTAGCTTAAGAAAGATCATTATCTACTTATTTAGTTAATGAGTTTTATAAATAATGCACTTTTCTTAGAACAAAGTGTAAGCAAAGCAAACCATCTGACATCTTTAAACCACTTATAGAGACAATAAAAACCTAAAGTCTGTGATTCAAGCAAATGCATCTGATTGCAGCCGATCCGAGGAGATTTCATCCCTACAACACTGCAGGATCACAGCCAACATGAAGTTCCACAGTTGCTAGGTACAAGCAGTTACAGGCAAACTGATCCTACAGCTGTTCAGACACAAAGGGAACAGTTAACTTTCAGGCTTGGGCCATTTTACATGACTGCAGAGGATCTGGTAATTGTTTACCCCTGCAATCTCACTTTATAATATCAAACCTCACATTTATACCATCAATCTCATTCAATGTATTTTTTTTCTAATGATATTTCTTTCTCCTTGCAATATTCTTTTCCTCTCTATCTTTTCATGCATAATTTCTTTGGCCATTCAGATCTCATCTCCTGCATAATTGTATTAGAAAGATCTTTCCTGAACACCATCTGTAATATTTTGCCCTTCATCCCTACCCTCCTTTAATCACTGTCTATCAAATCATTCTGTTTTGTTTTCTTGATGGTGCTTAAACTGCCTGAAGTTGTCTTATTCCCATATATATATATACACACACACACACACACACACATGCACATATATACACATATATATACACATACATATATATGTATATATATACATATATATGTATGTATATATACATATATGTATGTATGTATACATATATATACATATATATGTATACATACATACATATATATGTATATATATACATATACAATACATATATATGTGTGTGTGTATATATATATATATATTTTTTTTTTTTGAGATGGGGTCTTGCTCTGTCACCAGGCTAGAGTGCAGTGGCACGATCTTGGCTCAATGCAACATCTGCCTCTTGGTTTCAAGCAATTCTCCTACCTCAGTTTCCCAAGTAGCTGGGACTACAGGAACGTGCCACCACGCCCAGCTAATTTTTGTATTTTTAGTGAGATGGGGTTTCACCATGTTGGCCAGGATGATCTTGATCTCTTGACCTCGTGATACGCCCACCTTGGCCACCCAAAGTTCTGGCATTACATGTGTGAGCCACCACACCCGGCCATTTGTTTCTTATTCTCGTCCTTGTATTCTACACTTGACAAGGAATGTGTACTTGTCAATCATGTTCCTTGTTGATGTATTTCTAGACCCAAGACCAGTGCTTGATATATGATAAGTACACAGTCAATATTTGTTAAATGAAGAAGACAGTAGGTGATGATAACTGAGTTAGAGAAGCTGATGTTAGTTCTTCTAAGTATGAGGGTGATGTGGAGATTGATCAATAGGTTGCATATTTTCTCTGAAATACACTTTGGTTAAAAGACTGTGAGACTCTCACCAAAGCTAAATGAATATGTAAGGCACCAACCTAATATCTTTATATGGTGGCTTATCAAGGAAACTGTCTTCTCTTTAATATTCTTACTATTCTGACCCTGGTAGAATTATCTTTATATCTCAGACATCTCTGAATTATCTTGCTAATACCAGTTCAGAGAATTGGTTAATCAGGATAATGCACAAGTTAATTAATTCTTTGTGAATGTCATTATGTCACATGGAATAATGAAGCTTTGTAATTATCAATGATAGCAACAATAATTTATATATATCAAAAATTTAATTAATAATGAATAGTAATCATTATTGGTTCAATATACTTTGTAAACAAAGTGTTACAGTCCTTGTTTACATATGAGAACATTGAGATTTAATGAGGTTAAGTACTCTGTAGAAGGCTATACAACTGAACAACTGATAATGGTGAGGCCAGTTTTTCACCGCAAGTTTTGCTGGTGTTAAGGTTTTTGCATCTTAGTCACATTGTTTGATTGTCATTAAGAGTACCAGCACCAAATGTTTATCGAGTCTTATTATGTCACACAGAGCTGAAATATGAACCCAAAAGTCTCGTTTCAGAGCTCATGTTTTTAACCAACACTCAGAGATATTTTGTATCTTGTTCTAAATGTTTACTCTCATCCTCACTAGAAATATATCGATCTTGGTACAATTATTCTCTTTGCATACATTCTTTAAAGGCTAAGTTAAACATGATTATCTAGTCAGGATGTCTTTAAAAGTGCATTCAAGCAAATTTTGAAAATGTATAAAAATGACAGATTGGAGATTATAAATCTAATTGATGCTTGTAAAAAGATTTAAAAAAAAAGAAAAAGAAGAAAGAAAAATCACCTATAATCCCTCCTCTCTAGAGATATATATCTATTATCAATCAATCAATCTTTGGATTAGGAAACAAAACTGCACTGAATGGTAAGAGAGATGAAAATTTAAAGGCTCTCCAAACCAATCAAAAGGTGTTTTGGTCATCAGAAAACACCACTGAAGCCCCTTAGTTTTCTTGTGGTGTTATGGAGAGAAATCACCAAAATATGCATAGAAACCACTACATAGCCAGGTCACTTAAGCTTTTGGCACCTCAGGTACTCCTTTGAAATATAAGATTAATAAGCCCTTGCTTACCTGCCTCAGGGATGTTTAAGGATAAATTAGATTATAATTTAAGAAAAAATAGATGAAGAAAGTAATACATGCAATGATAAAGGTTTCAAACAGATTAAAATATTTTGTAATTATAGCCCAGAGTATCAGTCTCATATTCCAAAGTAAAATTGTCAAGGTCGGTTTCAGGTCCTGGAGGCTGCCAGTAGTCCCTTGCCATGTGGCCCTTCATAGGTCCTTGCACAAAATGAGAGCTTATTTCCTCAAGGCCAGCAGAAGAGTCCCTGCTGCTTTGTGTCTCTTCTTTCAGGAAAGATCTGGGCCTCTTGAAAAGGGCTCACTTTAATAGGTTGGGACAGGCTTTTCTCTTTTGCTTAACTCAAAATCAACTGACTAGAGACCTTAATTACACTGGCAAAATCCACTCATCTTTGCCATATTCTACTGGTTAGAAGCAAATTATAAACTCCGTGCACGCTAAAGGGGAGGGCATTGTATTAAAATAACCTGTGGTCATCAGGGGTAAAATTTGGGGGGACTTTTAGAATTCTGTCTGCCACAGATTCCTCAGTGTGATGCTTGCATTTAAATCTGCTTGTGATATTTTTTCTATAGATATTTTAAAATTTTAGGTAAATAATTTTAGCAATTGTTTTATTTCTACTTTTTGGGTTTCTGTCTCCTTCAGTAAAGCTTTCTGCATTCTAATATGAGAACAATATATAATGTTTAGCCTTTTTTCATGCTTTTTTTTTCCCTTTACATAGTTGTTTATTTTATTTTATTTTATTTTTTTATTACTATTATTATTATACTTTAAGTTTTAGGGTACATGTGCATAATGTGCAGGTTAGTTACATATGTATACATGTGCCATGCTAGTGTGCTGCACCCATTAACTCATCATTTAGCATTAGGTATATCTCCTAATGCTATCCCTCCCCACTTCCCCCACCCCACAACAGTCCCCAGAGTGTGATGTTCCCCTTCCTGTGTCCATGTGTTCTCATTGTTCAATTCCCATCTATGAGTGAGAACATGCGGTGTTTGTTTTTTTGCCCTTGCTATAGTTTTTCATGCTTTTAAAGCTTTGTTTCCTTTTTGTCAGTCATGTTTGCATTTTTTGCATTAATTCTGTCACATCTAGAATTGTGTTGTTGTTGTTAAATGGTGTTGATACTTGTCCCAGTGCTATTTATGGCATAATCTATTTTTTACTCTCTAATTTAAAATGCTAACTTTAGTATATAATAAATGCTGTCAGTAGTTCATTCTCTTGTTAAATCTTGATTCTATTTCATGCCTCTGTCTACTCTTTTCTGTATCAGAACAAAATCATTTTTAAATTCTGTGGCCTTTTACATGCATCTGCTCTCTTGGAGGAATAGTATCCACTGGTTTCAATTATAATATTCAGAATTTTCTTGGATAAACATAAACTAAATATTTATTTTCCATATTTATTTAGAAGCTAAATTAACTAAAATTTTACTTTCCTAACTAAAAATACTATTGATAATTTTAATAGGATCATAATATTACATATTAATTTAGGAATAACATACTGTAATAATAATATTGTATATTTTATCAGTGAATAAAATATTTGCCTTAGTTAACTTTTCCTTCTCTTAGTAAATTTGCTTTTAGAGATGTTTCTGTATTTGATTAAGTAGATGTCTTAAACTTTACTTTCTTGTTTGATTTTTCCAGATGGAATATTCTCTTATACTTTCTAGTAGTTTATTATCTCTATTGATTTTTTAAAATAACTTTGTGACAAAAACTGTTATTTAAATATCTTATTGATTTTAATAGTTATTCATTATTTATTTTAAAGTTTATAAATATATAATTGAATAAAATGAAAATAATGATATTTTTGCCTCTTGCTTTTTCAATTTTATTTTTCACATGACAAAAGATACTGAAAAGTACAACCAGAAAAATATTAAGTAATGACAATGATAGCGAGTGTTCTTATTTTTATTTCTTTCTTCAACTTTTATTTTACATTCAAGGGGACATGTGCTGGATATGCAGGTTTGTTACGTAGGTAAACGTGTGTCATGGTGGCTTACTGTACAGATTATCCCATCACCCAGGTATGAAGCTCAGCATCCATTAGCTATTTTTCCTGATGTTCTTCCCCAACCCCATGAGTGCCCAGTGTGTGTTGTTCCCTGCCATGTGCCCGTGTGTTCTTATCATTCAGCTCCCAGTGAGAAAATGCAGTGTTTGGTTTTCTGTTCTTGTGTTGGTTTGCTGAGGTTAATGGCTTCCAGCTCTATCCATGTCCCTGCAAAGGATATGATCTTGTTCTTTTTTATGACTGCAGAATATTCCATATGTGTATGAACCACATTTTCTTTATCCAGTCTATAATTGGTTGGCATTTGGATTGATTCTGGGTCTTTGCTATTGTGAAGAGTGCTGCAATGAACATACACATGCATGTATCTTTATCACAGAATAATTTATATTTCCTTGGGTATATATCCAGTAATAGGATTGCTGGGCTAAATGGTATTTATGCCTCTAGGTCATTAAGGAATGACCACAATATCTTCCACAATGGTTCAACTAATTTACACTCCCACCAACAGAGTAAATGCATTTACTTTTTTCTGCAACATCACAAGCATTTGTTGTTTTTTGGCTTGTTAACAATAGCCTTCTGACTAGCATGAGATGGTTCTCATTGGGGTTTTGATTTGCATTTTTCTAATGATCAGTGATGTTGAGCTTTTTTCCATATGTTTCTTGGCCACATGTATGCCTTTTTTTGAGAAGGGTCTGTTCAGGTCCTTTTCCCACTTTTTAATGAGGTTGGTTTTTTTCTTGTAAATTTAAATTCCTTGTAGATTCTGGATATTCGACTTTTGTCAGATGGATAGATTGTAACAATTTTCCCCATGCTGTAGGTAGTCTGTTTACTCTAATGATAGTTTCTTTTGCTGTGTGGGAGCTCTTTAGTTTAATTAGATTCCATTTGCCAATTTTTGCTCTTGTTGCAATGGCTTTTGGAGTTTTTGTCAAAAAGTATTTTCCTGTGCCTATGTCTTGAATGGTATTGCCTAGATTTTCTTCTAGGGTTTTTATAGTGTCTATAGTTTTATAGTTTGGGTTTTAGTTTTTAATCCATCTTGATTTAATTTTTGGATATGATGTAAAAAAGGGGTCAATTTTCTGCATATGGCTAGACAGTTCTCCCAACACCAGTTATTAAACACAGAATTATTTTTCTTTTGCTTGTTTTTATCAGGTTTGTTGAAGATCATATGGTTTTAGGTGTCTGGTCCCATATCTGAGTTCTCTATTCTGTTTCATTGATCTATATATTTGTTTTTGTACCAGTACCATGCTATTTTGTTTACTGTAGACTTGTTGTATAGTTTGAAGTCAGGTAGTGTGATGCCTCCAACTTTGCTCTTTTTGTTTATAATGGACTTGGCTATTTGGGCTCTTTTTTTTTTTGGCTCCATATGACCTTTAAAATAGTTTCTTTTCTAATTAGATGAAGAATGTCAATGGTAGTTTAATGGGAATGGCAATGAATCTATAAATTACTCTGGGCAGCATGACCATTTTCACGATATTGATTCTTCTTATCCATGAGCATAGAAATGTTTCCCCATTTGTTTGTATCCTCTCTGATTTGAGGATTGGTTTGTAGTCCTCCTTGAAAAAGTCCTTCACTTCCTTTGTTAGCTGTATTCCTATGTATTCTATTCTTTTATTAGCAATTGTGAATGGGAGTTCATTCATGACTTGGCATTTGTTTGTGTATAGGAATGCTAGCGATTTTTGCACATTGATTTCATATCCTGAGACTTCGGTGAAGCTGCTTATCTGCTTAAGAAGCTTTTGAGCTGAAACGATGGGGTTTTCTAGGTATAGAATAAGTTCATCTGTAAACAAAGATGATTTGACCTCCTCACTTCCTATTTAAATACCTTTTATACTTTATCTCTTTGTCTTGCATGATTGTAATGGCCAGAATTTCCAATACTATATTGAATAGGAGTAGTGAGAAAGGGCATCCTTGTCGTGTGCCAGTTTTCATGGGGAATGCTTCCAGCTTTTGCTCATTCAGTATGATATTGGCTGTTGGTGTGTCATATATGGCTCTTACTATTTTGAGGTATTCCTTCAATACGTAGTTTATTGAGAGTTTTTTTTATTATTATACTTCAAGTTTTAGGGTACATGTGCACAATGTGCAGGTTAGTTACATATGTATACATGTGCCATGCTGGTGTGCTGCACCCATTAACTCGTCATTTAGCATTAGGTATATCTCCTAACGCTATCCCTCCCCACTCCCCCCACCCCACAACAGTCCCCAGAGTGTGATGTTTTAAACATAAAGGGATGTTGAATTTTATCAAAGACCTTTTCTGCATCTATTGGAATAACCATGTGGATTTTGACTTTAGTTCTGTTTATGTAATGAATCACATTTATTGATTTGCATATGTTGAATCAACCTTGCATCCCAGGGATGAAGCCAACTTGATCATGGTTGATAAGCTTTGATGCCCTGGTGGGTTTGGTTTACCAGTATTTTATTGAGGATTTTTGCATTGATGTCATCAAAAATATTGGCCTGAAGTTTTCTTTTTTTGTTATATCTCTGCCAGGTTTTGGTATCAGGATGATGCTGGACTCATATAATGAGTTAGGGAGGAGTTCCTCTTCTTCAATCTTTTGGAATAGTTTCAGTAGAAATGGTATCAGCTCTTCTTTGTACCTCTGCTAGAATTCCACATTGAATCCATCTGGTCCTGTGCTTTTTTTGGTTAGTAGGCTATTTACTACTGTCTCAATTTCCAAATACGTTTTTGGTGTATTCATAGCTTCCATTTCTTCCTGCTTCAGTCTTGGGAAGATGTATATGTCAGAGAATTTATTGATTTCTCCTTGATTTTCTAGTTTCTGTACATAGAAGTGTTTACAGTATTCTTTAATGTTTGTTTGTATTTCTGTGCAGTCAGTAGTAATATCCCCCTTATGATTTCTGATTGTGTTTATTAGATTCTTCTCTTTTTTCTTCATTTGCATAGCTAGTGGTTATTAATTTTTTTAAAAACAACGAGCTTCTGCATTTGTTAGTTTTTGGGAGGGTTTTTTATGTCTCTGTCTGCTTCAGTTCACCTCTGATCTTGGTTATTTTTTGTCTTCTACTAGCTTTGAGGTTTGTTTGCTCTTGGATCTTTAGTTCTTTTAGTGGAGATGTTAGATTATTAACTTGAGATCCTTCTAGGTTTTTGATGTGGGCATTTAGTGCTGTAAATTTCTCTCTTAACTCTGCTATAGCTGTGTCCCAGAAATTCTGGTATGTTGTCTCTTTGTTCTGATTAGTTTCAAAGTACTTCTTGATTTCTGTCTTAATTTCATTATTTACCCAAGAGTCATTCAAGAGCAGGTTGTTCAATTTTTACCTAGTTGAGTGGACTTCTTTGATTTGAGTTCTAATTTAATTGGGCTGTTGACTGAGAGACTGTTTATCATGATTTCAGTTCATTTGCCTTGGCTGAGGAGAGTTTTACTTCAGATTATGTGATCAATTTTAGAGTAAGTACCATGTGGCAATGAGAAGAATGTATACTCTGTTGTTTTTGTATGGAGAGTTCATTAGATATGAATAAGGTCCACTAGATCAAGAAGGGAGCTCAGGTGCTGGATATCTTTGTTAATTTTCTCTCTCGAAGATCTATCTAATATTGTCAATGGGGTGTTAAAGTCTTCCATTACACGTGGGAATTGTGGGAATTATAATTCAAGATGGAATTTGGGTGGGGACACAGCCAAACCATATCATTCCACCTCTGGCCCCTCCCAATTCTCATGTCCTCACATTTCAAAACCAATCATGACTTCCCAGCAGTCCCTCAGAGTCTTAACTCATTTTAGCGTTAACTCAAAAGTCCACAGTCCAAAGTCTTATCTGAGACAAGGCAAGTCCCTTTCACATATGAGCCTGTAAAATCAAAAGCAAGTTAGTTACTTCTTAGGTACAATGGGAGTACAGGTATTGGGTAAATACAGCCATTCCAAATGGGAGAAATTGGCCAAAGCAAAGGGGCTACAGGCCCCATGCAAGTCCAAAGTCCAGCAGGCAGTCAAATTTTAAAGCTCCAAAATAATATCCTTTGACTCCATGTCTCACATCCAGGTCATGCTGATGCAAAAGATGGGATCCCATGGTGTTTGGCAGCTCCTCCTCTGAGGCTTTTCAGGGTACAGCCTCCCTTCTGGCTGATTTCATGGGCTGGCATTGCGCATCTTCAGGTTTTCCAGGCACATGGTGCCAGCTGTGAGTGGATCTGCCATTCTCAGGTCTGGAGGACAGTGGCTGTCTTCTCACAGCTCCACTGGGTGGTGCCCCAGTAGGGATTCTGTGGGGGAGCTCCCACTCCACATTTCCCTTTTGCACTGTCCTAGCAGGGGTTCTATGTGAAGGTCCTGCCCCTATAGCAAACTTCTGCCTGGGCATCCAGGTATTTCCATATATCCTCTGAAATCTAGGTAAAGGTTCCCAAGCCCCAATTCTTGACTTCTGTGCACACACAAGCTCAACAACACATAGAAGCTGCCAAGGGTTGGGGCTTGAACCCTCTGAAGCCACAGCTTGAGCTCTACATTGGCCCCTTTCAGCCATGGATGGAGTGGCTGGGACACAGGGCATCAAGTCCCTAGGTTGCACACAGCAAGGGGACCCTGGGCCCAGCCCAAATAACCATTTTTTCCTCCTAGGCCTCTGGGCCTGTTATAGGAAGGGCTGCTGTGAATATCTCTGACATGCCCTGGAGACATTTTGCCCATTGTCTTATTAATTAACATTTGGCTCCTTGTTATTTACACAAATTCCTGTGCTGGCTTGAATTTCTCCTCAGAAAATGCAATGTTCTTTTCTATCACATTGTCAGGTGGCAAGTTTTCTGAACTTTTATGTTCTGCTTCCCTTAGAAAACTGAATGCCTTTAACAGCACCCAAGTCACATCTTGAATGCTTTGCTGCTGAGAAATTTCTTCAGCCAAATACTCTAAATCATCTCTCTCAAATTCAAAGTTCCACATATCTCTATGACAGGGGAAAAATATTACTAGTCTTTTTGCTAAAACATAACAAGAGTCATCTTTGCTCCAGTTCCCAAAAAGTTCCTCATCTCCATCTGAGACCACCTCAGCCTCAACTTTATTGTTCATATCACTATCAGCATTTTGGTCAAAGCCATTCAACAAGTCTCTAGAAAGCTCTAAACTTTCCCACATTTTCCTCTCTTTTTCTGAGCCTGTACCAACCTCTGTCTATTATCCAGTTCCAATGTTGCTTCCACATTTTTTGATATCCTTTCAGTAGCACCCCATGCTACTGGTAACAATTTACTGTATTAGTCTGTTTTCATGCTGCTGATGAAGACATACCTGAGACTGGGCAATTTACAAAGGAAAGAGGTTTAATGGAAAACTCACACATCCATGTAGCTGGGGAAGCCTCACAATCCTGGTGGAAGGCAAGGAGGAGCAAGTCATGTCTTACATGGATGGCAGCAGGGAAAAAATCTTGTGCAGGAAAACTCCCATTTTGAAAACCATCAGATCTCATGAGACTCATTCAGTATTATGAAAACAGTGCAGAAAAGACACACTCTCATAATTCAATCACCTCCCATCAGGTTCTTCCCATGACACATGGGAATTTTGTGAGTTACAAATTGAGATGAGATTTGGGTAGGAACACAGTCAAACCATATCAGTGCCCCTGTATTGGATGCATATATATATATATGTGTGTGTGTGTGTGTGTGTATATGTGTGTGTATATATATGTGTGTGTGTATATATATATGTTTGTGTGTGTATATATATATATATATATATATATATATGATTATTAGCTCTTCTTGTTCAAATGAACCTTTTACTGTTTTGTAATACCTTTCTTTGTCTTTTTTGATCTCTGTTGGTCACAGTCTGTTTTGTCAGAAACTATGATTGCAACCCCTGCATTTTTCTGTTTTTCATTTGCTTGGTAAATTTTCCTCTATCCCAATAATTTGAGTTTATGTGTGTCTTTTCATGTGAGATAAATCTCTTGAATACAGCATATCAGTGTGTCTTGGTTCTTTATTCAGTTTGCCATTCTGCATCTTTTATTTGGGGCCTTTGGCCCATTTACATTTAAGGTTAGTATTGTTATGTGTGACTTTGATCCTGTCATAATGATCCTCACTGTATATTTTGTAGACTTGTTTGTGTGGTTGCTTCATAGTGTCACTGGTCTGTTTACTTCAGTGTGTTTTTGTAGTGGCTGGTAGTAGATTTTCCTTTTCATATTTAGTGCTTCTTTCAGGAACTCTTGCAAGGCAGGCCTGGTGGTGATGAATTCCCTCAGCTTTTGCTTGTATGAAAATGATCTTATTTATCTCTCATTTAGGAAGCTTAGTTTAGCCAGAGATATAAAACTCTGGGTTGAAAATTCTTTTTTAAAGAATGTTGAATATTGGCCCCAAATCTCTTCTGGCATGTAGGGATTCTGCTGAGAGGTCTGCTCTTAGTCTCATGGGTTTTCCTTTGTAGGTGACTTGGCCTTTCACTCTGGCTACCATTAACATTTTTACCTTGGAGAATCTGATGATTATGAGTTTTGGATTATTTTCTCATAGAGTATGTTTCTGGGGTTCTCTGCATTTCCTGAATTTGAATATTCACCTGTCTTGGTAGGTTGAGGATGTTCTCCTGAAGTATATTTTCCAACTTGATTCTATTCTCCCTGTTGGTTTCAGGTATTCTAATCAGTCATAAGTTCAGTCTCTACATAATCCCATAATTCTCAGAAGTTTTGTTCATTTCTTTTTATTCTTTTTTCTCTATCATTGTCTATGTGTCTTATTTCAGAAAGATAGTCTTCCAGTTCTGAGATAATTTTCTCTGCTTGGTCTATTCTGCTATTGATACTTGTGATGGCATTATGGATATCTCATGCTGTTTTTCAGCTTCATTGGTTGGTTATGTTCCTCTCTAAACTGGCAATTCTGGCTATCAGCTCCTGTATTGTTTATCATGATTCTTGGCTTCTTAGCATTGTGTTACAACATGCTCCTTTAGCTCAGCTCAGTTTATTATTACTCACCTTCTGAAACCTATTTCAGTCAGTTCAGCCATCTCAGCCTCAGCTCAGTCCTGTGCCCTTGCTGGATAGGTGTTGCAGTCATTTTGAAGAGAAGAGGCATTCTGGCTTTTTAGTTTTCAGTGCTTTTGCATTGATTCTTCATCTTTGTGGGCTTATTGACCTTTGATATTTGGGTTGTTGACCTTTGAATGAATTTATTGTGGGGTCTTTTTGTTGTTCTTGTTGTTTTTGGCTTAGCTCCCTGGATTTAGCCCCCTTCCTAGGGATATGCACAGACAGATTTTCCACCTTGTTAGGGATCTGGGGACTGAAGCACATAAAACTCCTGGGTCTCTGCATGCCTGAGCAGCTGCTCTGCCAAGACTTTGCACAGCTCTGTGTATTGGACCCAAGACCCTGGTAGCATGGACTCATGAAAGGATCTCCTGATCCACAGGTTGCAAAGATCTGTAGGAGAAGTGTGGCTTCTGCGTGGGGTTGCACAATCACACACCACCTCCCCTGGCTGGGAGTGAGGGTTCCCTTGGCTCCATGCTGCTCCTGGGTGGGCTATTGCCCCCACCTGCACTTCTCCTTGCTCTCTATGGGTGAAACTGCTTGCTTTTCAGTCCCAATACAAGAACCTGGATACTTCGATTGAAGGTGTTGAATTCACTTGCCCCTTTTTCTTTCTCTTTGTGAGTGCCACGGACCACATCTGTTTCTAATCAGCCATTTTGCCTAGTTCCACAGGCTGTACAAAAGCATGGCTGGGAGGCCTCAGGAAACTTACAACCATGATGGAAGGCAAAGGGGAAGCAAGCATGTCTTATCTTGGCTAAGCAGGAGAGTGAGGGTAAGTGTTCTTGACTAGTTATTTTACCATTGGTGTTATATGTCACCATAAAACATTATTCTGGTAATTAGATAGAACTTTATATCTTATGAAACCAAATAAATAACAATTTGACCCATTCTAATAAGCACTTTCTTAAAGCAAGTTTTGGTATTGTATTTCATCAATTATTGTATTTAATTCTAGAAAGTCAACTATGTTTTTCTCCATCATATTATTATATTGAATATTTTATATTAATAAAATTCTCCTGTTCATGATATATTAGTTTTTAAATGCTGCTGCATTCTAGCAATATTGTATTGAATTTTTGCCTCAGGATATGTAAGAGAAATTAGACTACTTTCCCCTTCCTTCGATCTTCTTTTACATTACTTGTTTTGATATGGTTTGGCTGTGTCCCCACCCAAATCTCATCTTGAAACGTAGCTCCCATAATTCCCACATGTTGTGGAAGTGACCTGATGGGAGATAATTGAATTATCAGGGTGGTTTTCCCCCATACTCTTCTCATGGTAGTGAATAAATCTCACAAGGTCTGATAGTTTTATAAGAGGTTTCCCTTTTTGCTTGGCTCTCATTCTCTCTTGCTTGCCACCATGTAAGAAATCCCTTTGCTCCTCCTTCATCTTTCACCATGATTGTGAGGCCTCCCCAGCCATGCAGAACTGTGAGTGAATCAAAGCTCTTCCCTTTATAAATTACCCAGTCTCAGGTACATGTTTATTAGCAGTCTGAGAACAGGCTAATACATGTTTATTCATGAATTTATTCTTTTCCCTATTCTCTTTCCCCCTTTTTGACAACATATTTTGCCTGGTGATTACTCCTCTACATTGTTTAATTGTTATCCCTTTGCTGATTGCCTCATACCTGCAAATCCATCATACATCCTTTTCCAAGCTACACACTTGCTGAACTGTATAGGATTATTTTCCTGAGAATAAATCGTAGGCAGCTGAAACTTAAAATGCACAAAATGGAGTTTATTACTTCTTCCTCACCTTGGCTCCTACAACCCTTTTGTTCTTTGCCATTTGATACCAAGTAAATCATAAAATACTTACTATTATACCTGCATTTTAAGGCCTTTCATGCTGTAGACCCTAGGTATATTGGCTTGAAATACGCTGTGCCCTCCTTCTCTCTTCCCTTTCTGCTACCCCATGGTCAACTGCCTTTATTTAGATAACTTAAAGAAAGACATTTCGGTATACTGGGTAAAATCAAGGACTCTGGCACCAGACTGTTTTTGTTAAAATCTGATTCAAACACTATCTGCCTGATGGAACTCTCTGCCTCATAAAATACTACACTCCTTTATAATATTTTTATAATGATTTAATTATATGCATATAAATTAGTGGGTGATATTGTTTGGCTGTGTCGCCACCCAAATCTCATCTTGAATTGCAGGTCCCATAATTCCCACATATTGTTAGAGGAACCCAGTAGGAGGTAATTGAATCATAGGGATTGGTCTTTCCCATGCTGTTCTCCCTATAGTGAATCAGTCTCATGAGATCAGTCTCACACGATCCTTTATAAAAAGAAGTTCCCTTACACATACTGTCTTGCCTGCTGCCACATAAGGCATGACTTTGCTTCTTCTTTGCCTTCTGCCGTGATTGTGAAACTTCCCCATCCATGTGGAACTGTGAGTCCATTAAGCCTCTTTCCTTTATAAATTGCCCATTCTCAGGTGTGTATTTATTAGCAGCATCAGAACAGACTAACACAGTGGTACCTAGCAAAAAGTAAGAACCAAGTAAATATTTACTCTTATTATTCTGGGCTCAAAATTAGCTATGTCCTATTACAAAATCCAAAACACTCTGGCAACAAAAAATGTCTTGGGATTTGTTTACCAAAACTCTGACTTGTGATCATTTGGAAGAAAGATCTGACCTAAAGTAAGGTAAGACTATTCTCTTATTTACTAATTAAAGTGAATATTTGCATTTCTCTGTTGAAATAGAAATGTTTTAAATACTGGGGTACTATCCTAAATCTCATTAGTAATGTTACAAAATATGTTGTATATGCTCTTTTTGTAAAATATGAAAAATTCTGAAGTATAGAATACATGTGGCTCCAGGATTTCAGGAAGAGGATCATCAACTATATTAACTTCAGATTTTAGCCTTCATATCACTTTGTTGTTAAAGTCTTCTCTAAATTCCAAAGCGAATTTAGAAATATCTCCAAATGTTGCAATGATGCTCCAAGTTTTTCCTTTTAGAGCGCCTTTTGAACTTTTTATATGTGCTTAGAAAGTGTGTGCTCTGGTACCCAACATAGTAACTGGCACCTGGTAGGTACTGAGTAATAACTTATTGCAGACTATCTGAATAAATATATTGAAGAGAATGTCCCTATACTAGATCAAACAGCCACATTAATATTTGTTTAGTGCCTTATAGGCATCAGATTTGATGCTAAGATTGCAACAATGAATGAGAAACAGAATCTGTCCTTCAACCACTTGTAACACACTGGTTGAGACAAGAATATTGACATTTCATTCGGTTTAAATAGATTTTTGCTTTAATTGAGAAATCCACCATGGGGTGCTTTGCGTGCTTTTGGGAAGCACCTTTGGAATTCTGGCAATATTTCCTAAAAAAAATTAGAAAGACATTTTACCTAAAGAGGAAAGGAGAAAAAGTTGTGAACTCTACAACAGGAATGCAATCTAAACAAAGAAAGCTCATAAGCAAAAGCACAAAATTCTAAACCTATTAGATGAGTTACAGAAATAGCAAGAAAAATCCCTGGTGATAAGAAGTGGTAGGAGAAGACTTTTAACAAGAGTCAGAGTCAATTAACTTATCTCTTGAAAGTTAATTAATGGTTAGTTTTTCATTTGTGAAAAATAATTCAAAGAGCAAGTGAGATTTTGCTTGAGAAAAATAAACTCGTAATCTATATTAATTGATTGATTCTTCCACTGAGGACTCATTAATTTGGAATTTTCTTTTAACTAACCAAAGTTATTTGATAATTTAGTTCTATATCCTTTGGTTTCCCTATCTGAAAATTACGTTGCTTACTTTCTGCTTCTTAAAAAAATGACAAGAGGAAGTACAAAATGATTTTTTGTCTAAATAGGTACCTTTAAAAATGCAGAGTATAATAAAAGTCTAAGTCACATTATCAAGACCATTGGAGTTTAGAATATTATCTATTGTAATAATTTTGTTAGCAAGACTTTAAGAGATAGTTTAAAAATCTTAAATTATTGTTCTAAGGGAGGACATTAAGATGAGGATTTACTAGAAAATCTTTAATATGAGTAAGAAAAAGAAAAACATAATCAGATCTAGATCTCTGGAGAAATCCTCTATGTTGTTTACTTTTACAATCCTTATATAGATTCATTATTATTATTATTATTATTATTATTATTATTATTATTTTGAGACGGAGTTTCACTGTTTGTTGCCCAGGCTGGTGTGCAGTGGCGTGATCTCGGCTTTCTTCAACCTCCACCTCCTGGGTTCAAGCAATTCTCTTGTCTCAGCCTCCCGAGTAGCTGAGATTACAGGGGCCCACCACCATGCCCGCTAATTTTTGTATTTTTAGTAGAGACAGAGTTTCACCATGTTAGCCAGACCTCAGGTGATCTGCCTGCCCTGGCCTCCCAAAGTGTTGGGATTACAGGCGTGAGCCACTGCGCCCGGCCTCAACATTATTTTATTCAAAATACAGCTATTTTGCAATGTCAGCAAAATGAGGCATTTGAATTAACGTGGAGAAAAGAAATGATAAATAACAGGACTGGATATTAGACCCTATTTTAGCTTCAGACCTCAGATCACTATTCTGGAATTACAGGTCTCTGGTTCATCATAACTTCAAAATCTTGCATTGAAAATATGGATTGGTTTTACTGCCGTGTTTTGAAACAATTTCTTTTTGTAAAGACAGCAATGAATTGTTTTTTGCTGTTTGACTCCTAGGCATGATGTTGACTTTTTTATATAAGCAAAACCACAGTAAGTCAGAGGCTGTGTCCACATGATACCACTAGTAATCAACTGAAAACTGGTTATATTAAGCTATAAGAGGGAAAAAATATGGACAAATAAAGAAATATTCCTTTTTATATCTTTTAAAATAATGCCATTGAACGCTTGGCATTATTCAATATTAAAGTGAGATTGTATCTATAAAATTTTGAAAGGCAGAAGGTAAATAGAGTACTTATTTGATTGAAACAACAGAGGAAGAGTCATTTATTTGAACATTGCTTTCAAAATATTAGCTGTCAAAACTCTGGTGTAAAAACAATGAAATAAAAAATTCATAAGTAATTTTTAAAAATGTTATGAAGCCACTGGAATATAAGTTCTACATGGGCAGTTACTTTGTGTGTGTTTTATTACACAAGGAATTCCCAGTGCCTACACAGTACCTGGAACCTGGTATGTGCTAAAAAAAAAAAATGTTAGTTAGAATGTGAATAAATGTTCTCTGAAAAGGAATTTGGAGGAAAAATACATTATTTCCTTGAAAAGTTTGTAAACTGGGGAGACACAGCTTTTGTGTAAAATGAAGGTACATTCCAGAGAACAAAAATGGAGTTCAGAATTTATAGCAAAATTTCCTACTCAGGTTCCCAATCAGGTCTGGTGGGTCTGGTTGCAAATAAAGGATTCAGGCTCACTTAGTTCTGATTAGTGGGTACAGCTCATCCCTGATTGGTTCATATAGTTAAGCCCCGATTGGATAGGACAGGTGATTTCTGATTGGTTTCCAAGTCCCAAATTGGAAATCTCTGTCAGATATTTCTTTCAAACTGCCAGTTGGTGGGGAGGGAGGGAGGATCTGTTTGCAGTTTATCCTGGCACTAACAACAAAGAACTAGTTTGGCTTGATTGTAGAAAGTGGGGGTCCTGTGATACTTTGACATCTTTCTGGGAACATAGAGCACATGATCATGCCCTCATCCAGCTATGGCTTCCTGGTTCTGATTTAAATCTGAATACCTCAGCCGTGGGGAATGCATCCTGTCTGTTAGCTGGGACATAGTTTAACAGAACAAATGAAAGAACAAACACAAAATGAGACATTTGATAAAAAGGAAGGAGAAGAGTACTTACATGTTTCTCATAATTGTGTTATATAATCCTCACAATAAGCCAGTGAAGTGGATATCATCTTGATTTAATAGATGGGAATATTAAAGCAAAGCTACGTACCTTATCAAAGTTGTGTATATGTATTTATATATATGTGTGCATATGCATCTATATCATCTTACTTCTTATCTACCTCTCCATCATATCTACCACCATGTCTAAAGGAGAGTAGATGCTAAATATATGTGAACCTCCTTCTCTCATTCTCTTATTAACAGTCCTATATTTACCATGCAGATTAAATAAAATCTTCCTGGAATGGATCAACATTTTAGCCTTTTAGAGTAATGTAAAGTCACAAGGTAATTTAAACAGCACAATTCTTTTTCTCTCTCTCCCTCATAATGATAATTGATTTGGCTAGCTTCTTTCCAAGCAACTTATAAAAAGACTTTGTGTCTGAAAGATTATAGTCACCAGACTCATTCAGAGATTTTATTCATTCCTATCAAACACTTGGCATTTCTCTATATTTCACACAAATTACAATGTAATATATTTTTCACATTATTTGAATTTGTGTCTAGGGATGTCTAAAGTCCAAGAGCTTAAAAGATAAACACAATGAATCTGAGAGCTAAGGAAATATAAAATTTAAAGGAATATATTCATTTTGATTTTGCTAACCTTTCCCCACAGACTTTGAATAAAATTACTTCTAGAAAGGAACAAGTGCTCAGAGGCTTTAGGTTTTTGAGCAAATTAGGTCAATACATAAACTGTGGTTAAATGCATCCATAAAAATGATGACTTAAAATTCAGATACACTAAGAGGAAACATTTATCAAGTCATATAGAAGTTTTTCTTGTAAAACTTAGGCATCTCAATGTTGTCTATTTTGGGATTATTTAGTCAGGCATATTGAATTATCTCAATATATCATTCTTTTGGAACTTATTCTTTTTTTTTAGTTGTTGTGCTGAAACTTTAAATTTTATTTGTATAAATTTATGGGGCACAAGTGTAGTTTTGTTACATACAAGGCAGGACGTTAGGTTTTCCATCGCCTTAATAACATACATTGTACCCATTAGATACTTTCTCATATTTTGATATTATTTAATGGAATAGTTTTCTTTTCTTTTCTTTTTTTATTTTTATTTATTTTATTTATTTTTTATTATACTTTAAGTTTTAGGATACATGTGCACAACATGCAGGTTAGTTACATATGTATACATGTGCCACGTTGGTGTGCTGCGCCCATTAGCTCGTCATTTAACATTAGGTATATCTCCTAATGCTATCTCTCCGCCCTCCCCCTCACCCCACAGCAGGTCCCGGTGTGTGATGTTCCTCTTCCTGTGTCCATGTGTTCTCATTGTTCAATTCCCACCTATGAGTGAGAACATGCGGTGTTTGTTTTTTTTGTCCTTGAGATAGTTTGCTGAGAATGATGGTTTCCAGCTTCATCCATGTCCCTACAAAGGTCACGAACTCATCATTTTTTATGGCTGCATAGTATTCCATGGTGTATATGTGCCACATTTTCTTAATCCAGTCTATCATTGTTGGACATTTGGGTTGGTTCCAAGTCTTTGCTATTGTGAATAGTGCTGCTATAAACATACGTGTGCGTGTGTCTTTATAGCAGCATAGGAACTTATTCTTAATAAATATTTCAACTCCTTCACTCTGATATGTGTTCACTTTGAAGATATTTTAGGTCTTTTTTTGCTAAATACTGGGAAAAATCTTGGAGTGTATTAACATTTTAGCCTTTTAAAGGAATGTAAGGTCATAAGGTAATTTAAACAGCACATTTTTTTTCTCAAAAATTAAATCTGATTCACTTTGTTTTTCCAATGGTGAAAATATTACACATTTTTTTCAGAAGAGAAAACAATTAATTAGGTAAAAATTACTGATCAGATTGATTATAAAGTATTTATTGTTATACCACCAGCCACAAGATATAGAAATTTAAGTATAATACAGTGCTTTGAAATATTTAAAAAATATTTGGCAAATTAATTTATTCATTCTCATCCACATATATTTTCCAGTTGAGAAATTATTCACATATATTTGTGGTGTTCATTAAGGCTATTAACATACATATATTATCCTTCCAAGTTTTATACGACTGTGTGACATGTTTGGCTAATGGAATGTATGTTTTTTCTGGATGGAAATGTTACAATCCAGTTCATGGTTAATAATATTTTATTCCCTCTGCTGCAGTGTCCTTGAGAACATATTGAGATGGCGTTTCCTTCAGCCCAGGTTTCTGAGTAACTACCATGAGCTGAGCAACTCTGCTGACCTATATTGTACATGGAACATAAGTGAAAAACATTCTGGGTGTTTTATTCCGGTGTTGTTAGTTCCCACAGTATAATCTATCACTATTACTTGGAAATAATATTGTTTGTGTATATAAATTATATTTATGGGTATGCAAAACCATAAAGTTATATATTAACATGATTGCTAGTAGTTTGATCTTTAAGAAAAGACAAGACAAACATGATGCATTGTGTTATAGTGCCAAGGAATAAGCGATTAATGTTTGTGAATTATGATAATGTTAATCAACATCTAGACTTATGGGTTGTTGAGAAAGTACAACCCGACTATAAATACTAACCGTCTAGTTCACTAAAGAGGCATAGCAAGCACTCTACAGACATCAATTTTCTTCTTTCTTTAACTAGTAAGATACTTAGCTATCTAATTTTGAGCAAGAATTTAGAACTTGACTAAAATGAGCATTAACCATTGGAATCCCACTTCAACAATTGGAATCCCAGATTATTAAACTAATAAAAATTCAGCCCTTGCTTTCAAAGGGCTATAGTTTTTAATTAAAGACAAATCAAAGCATAAAGCACTAAATGATCAGTGATCTACTTTCTCTAGAATAAGTTAATCACACTGGATGAGTTTATATGTATTGATCATTCAGAACTTAATGTAAATAATAAATTATGTGTGTGTATGTGCCATAAAATGACTAGCATGTCAGAGTTGATATATAATATATGCCATGATTCCTCCTTCCTCCATGCTTATACGTATACTGTTCAGTGAGTGCCTAGAAGGTACGAGGCACTGTAAGCAGATACAGTCATTATTCTTCCAGATATGCCCATCTGTCTATTACATTCTTATTTTGCAGGTTTATAAAAGATGTTTTGTTAACAATTTCCTATGTTTGAACTTTCTAAATAGTTTCTGACATGTATAAATGACAAAAGAAGCAACTAAACCTAATCTAGTTTTAACTAGTTTCATATTATACATTTTGTCATGATGAAAGTTGCCATTTATATACAGGAAACATCCCAGTTCTGACATATTTCTGCCACATTTTCTTCTGCCACAACCTTAATTTTGACCTTTATCATTTCACACAGAGATAAGCATGATGTAGTTTAACTAGCTGCCTGCAGCAGGTTCCTTTTGCTCTTATCTAGTCTGCATTAAGTCAAGTAAACTTCCTATTTCTACTCTGTACAAATACAACAAAACCAAACAAAACAATCCTCACAATAGCAGGAGTCAATACTCTTTGACTAGCCTCAAATCTCTTCTGTATCTCTGTATCTAAATGCTTACCAACCTAAATATCCCTATTTCATCAAAGTCATCAGTTGCTGACCTGCATCTCAGCAAGTGTTTATTTTTCTGTATACAGGTTAAGTTCCATTATAAGATATTGATTTCCTCACTAAACATTTAAATAACTTTCATCCCATAAATTTCATGTGTTATCTACTATTCCTTGAATAGTATTATGAATTTTTTTGAGTTATGCCCACGTTATTTCTGTAACTAAATTATAAACACATTGAGAGTATCTCCCCAAAATATCTGTAATTTATTACAGATGTGTAATTATCAATTAGATTCATTAGTTTCTTTTTTTATTATTTTATTTTTATTTTTATTTTTTTTTTTGAGATGGAGTCTTGCTCTGTTGCCCAAGCTGGAGTGCAGTGGCACGATCTTGGCTCACTGCAAGCTGCACCTCCCAGATTCTCGCCATTCTCCTGCCTCAGCCTCCTGAGTAGAGACAGGGTTTCACCGTATTAGCCAGGATGGTCTCGATCTCCTGACCTCGTGATCTGCCCGCCTCGGCCTCCCAAAGTGCTGGGATTACAGGCGTGAGCCACCGCGCCCGGCCTATAAATACAATTTCAAGCCAAACTTTGCCAGTGTGTGGAGAGTTAAAATTGCACATTGAGGGAGAATAATGCCTTTCTCACTCTCTTGAACAAAGCTAGAAAAGGAAAAGAAAGTATCAATAATTATAAAGTCCCAGATGTTTTATGAGCAGGAAGTCAGTCTGTCTACATCCCTGAGAATCTGAGAGGTCAGTAGAAAGAAGGAAGAAAATTATCTCAGTATACAAATACCACCTATTCAACTGATTAAATACTAGAAATTAGAAGATTGATTCTAGAAGTGATCGCATATCTACTTTCATTTTTTTCTGGATCACCTTTAATAAATAAAAATTTCAGGTTCATATTTTGTTATTATACTTTAAGTTCTAGGGTACATGTGCACAATGTGCAGGTTTGTTACATATGTATACATGTGTCATGTTGGTGTGCTGCACCCATTAACTCGTCATTTACATTAGGCATATCTCCTAATGCTATCCCTCCCCACTCCCCCCACCCCCCAACAGGCCCTGGTGTGTGATGTTCCCCTTCCTGTGTCCAAGTGTTCTCATTGTTCAATTCCCACCTATGAGTGAGAACATGCGGTGTTTGGTTTTTTGCCCTTGCAATAGTTTGCTGAGAAGAAGTTAAATCCCTGAACAGACCAATAACAGGATCTGAAATTGAGGCAATAAATAGCCTACCAACCAAAAAAAGTCCGGGACCACACAGATTCACAGCCGAATTTTACCAGAGGTACAAGGAGGAGCTGGTACCACTCATTCTGAAACTATTCCAATCAATAGAAAAAGAGGGAATCCTCCCTAACTCATTTTATGAGACCAGCATCATCCTGATACCAAAGCCTAGCAGAGACACAACGAAAAAAGATAATTTTAGACCAATATCCCTGATGAACATCGATGCAAAAATCCTCAATAAAATACTGGCAAACCAAATCCAGCAGCATATCAAAAAGCTTATCCGCTATGATCAAGTGGGCTTCATCCCTGGGATGCAAGGCTGGTTCAACATATGAAAATCAATAAATGTAATCCAGCATATAAACAGAACTAATGACAAAAACCACATGATTATCTCAATAGATGCAGAAAAGGCCTTTGACAAAATTCAACAGTCCTTCATGCTAAAAACTCTCAATAAATTAGGTATTGATGGGACGTATCTCAAAATAACAAGAGCTATCTATGACAAACCCACAGCCAATATCATACTGAATGGACAAAAACTGGAAGCATTCCCTTTGAAAACTGGCACAAGACAGGGATGCCCTCTCTCACCACTCCTATTCAACATAGTGTTGGAAGTTCTGGCCAGGTCAGTCAGGCAGGAGAAAGAAATAAAGGGTATTCGATTAGGAAAAGAGGAAGTCAAATTGTCCGTGTTTGCAGATGGCATGATTGTATATTTAGAAAACCCCATCGTCTCAGCCCAAAATCTCCTTAAGCCGATAAGCAACTTCAGCAAAGTCTCAGGATACAGGTTAATATTTGTAAAATATTTCATATCGAAAGCTAGACCTGGTTTTGAGACTATTTGAGAGATGACAAAAAAAATTAGTTTCAAAAAAAAAAAGTTAGAACTAAATCACCACAGTAGAAAATGTTTTGGGAAAGAGATTATAACAGAATTCTGTGATCATTCTTTCTCTTGGCATTAACCAAAGATAGCATTAATTCCTGTTGAATCTTAGTGATCATTATCTAAGGGCCCCAAATCCCCGATGTCCAGTACACAGAGAGAACAAACTTCATTCAATTGCATGATGGTTTAGTCATGAAACTTCTACAAGTTTAAAGTCTCTAGATTGGACTACCGGATCTTCTTTGTATTTGGAAGCCTAATTTTTGTAATGTCTTACCTCAAAGCTTGACACCAGTTAAAGTGGCAAGGACAGATTTTTATCAGTCATAACTATTGCAATAGGGAAAATAATACAGCATGAACTGAACTCACATTTGTATAGAGGTGACTTGGCATTTTAAAGAGAAAATGACAGAGTAGGGAAGGGGAAAAGCATGAGATCAAATTCAGAGAAGTAAAAAAATTACAAAAATTTAATTAGTGTAAATGCAATTGATGCAGCTGTGTCTGCTAGCTGGCAATTACTGAAGTTAGGATTCTATTCTCCAGCAGAGACTTGGAAACAGAGGCCCTATCCTTAGATGTTGGCTGAATCCAACAGTAAATTGTTTTGACAGCCTTGACTTTTTTCAAGAAGGCACTTTAAGGGGTGTGGGGATGGACTAGCATCCTATTTGGGATGTAGCCTTCAGCTATTAGAACTGTGTTACTGCTTGTTCAAATTTTTATAGACCAAGGTTGATGCCTAGTGGAGAAGGGTCAGAGGAACTGACCTAGAGTTCTGTACTGAGCAGCTCTCCTCTTCTCCCCTTTCCTCCTCTCCCATGCAATCCACAAAACTCCTATACTTGGATTGCCTTCTCTCATTGTTCAACCATAAATGTTCCTTCATGCCATGCCCCTAATCAATTCTACAGTCAAGGACCAAGTTTTCTCCTAGAAGATTGATTTGGCCAGGCTTGGTGGCTCACACCTGTAATCCCAGCACTTTGGGAGGCCAAGGCCGGTGGATCAGCTGAGGCCAGGAGTTTGAGACTAGCCAACATGGTGAAAACCCGTCTCTACTAAAAATACAAGGCATGGTGTTGGGCACCTGAAGTCCCAGCTACTCGGGAGGCTGAGGCAGGAGAATCGCTTGAACCCCGGAGGCGGAGGCTGCAGTGAGTTAAGACTGCAGCACTGCCCTCCAGCCTGGGTGACAGAGTAAGACTCTGTCTCAAAAAAAATAAAAAATAAAAAATAAAAAAAAAAGACCAATGTAACAGCCGGTAAGTTGTTTCATTCACTGTGCTTGATAACAACACTACCTTTGCTCTTTTATTTATTTGTTTTTTAAACGTTTATTTTACGTTCAGGAGTACATATTCAGGTTTGTTACATAGGTAAATGTTTGTCATGGGGTTTTGTTGTGCAGATTATTTCATCACCCATGTATTAAGCCTAGTAACCATTAATTACTTGTGTTGATCTCCCTCCTCCCAGCCTCCACCCTCCGAAAGGCCCCAGTGTCTGTTGTTCCCCTCTATGTGTCCATGCGTTCTCATCATTTAGCTATCACTTACAAGTGAGAAAATGTGGTATTTCATTTTCTGTTCCTGTGTTAGTTTGCTAAGGATAATGGCCTCCAGCTCCACCCATGTCCCTGCAAAGGACATAATCTTGTTTTTTTATGGCTGCATAGTATTCCATGTTGCATATGTACCACATTTTCTTTATCCTGTCTATAACTGATGAGCATTTAGGTTGATTCCATGTGTTTGCTATTGTAAAAAGTGATGCAATGAATATATACATGCATGCGCCTTTATAATAGAAGGATTTGTTTTCCTTTGAGTATATACCATGTAATGGGATTGCTGGGTTGAATGTTATTTCTGTCTTTAGGTCTTTGAGCAATTGCCACACTGTCTTCCACAATAGTTGAACTAATTTACACTTCCACCAATAGTGTAGAAGCATTTCTTTTTCTCTGCAACCTCGCCAGCATCTGTTTTTGTTTTTTTTTTTGACTTTTCAGTAAGTCATTCTGATTGCTGTGAGATGGTATCTCACCGTGGTTTTGATTTGCATTTCTCTAATGATCAGTGATGTTGAGTTTTTTACATATAATTTTTGGCCACCTGTATGTCTTCTTTTGAGAAGTGTCTGTTCATGTCCTTTCCCCACTTTTTAATGGGGTTTTTTTTTCTAGTAAATTTCTCTAAGTTTCTTATCGATGCTGGATATCAAACCATTTTCAGATGCATAGTCTGCAAAAATTTTCTCCCATTTTGTAGGTTGTCTGTTTACTCTAGCTTCTGCTGTGCAGAAGCTCTTTAGTTTAATTAGGTCCCATTTGTCAAGTTTTGCATTTGCCACAGTTGCTTTTTTTTTTTTTTTTTTTTTTTTTGTAGGGGGCAGGTTCTCACTCTGTGTCATCCTGGCTGGAGTGCAGTAACATGCACAGCTCACTGCAGCTTTGACTTCCCACATTGAAGCATTCCGTCATGCCTTTGTCTCCCCAGTAGCTGGGACTACAGGTGTGTGTGACCATGTCCTGCTAAATTTTTAAGATATTTGTAAACATGAGGTCTCCTTATATTGCCCTGGCTGGTCTTGAACTCCTGGGCTCAAGCAATCCTCCCACCTTGGCCTCCCAAACGCTGTGATTAAGGCTTGGGCCACTACACCTTTTCATTTTCTTTTATAGAAGGGAAGAACAACACACTACTGTGAAAGAGCTCCACATTTCCCATAGCTTCAATACATCTTTGATTTTAAAAATCTTAAAATATAATAATAGCAGCAGCAAGATTAATGTTTATGCTGATGATGTGCAAAAGTCCAAAATAAAAAGTGGCTTTAATTACTTTCCAGTTGCTCTGAAAACATAGAGATAATCCAATCCACAGAGAATACTGGTCACTATAGCTGTGTGGACAATAGCTGGAAAGAGTCTGATTAAGTTCTCATGTATATAAATGGTGGTATCAGTAGTTAACAGTGTGTATTAAGTACCAGATGGTGTGGAGAAGACTAAGCGTTGATGTCATTGGCCCAGCAAGTTGTTGTTCATCTGATGCAAGTATTTATATTGGAGATTTACTCTCAGAAAAATCAGTCTCTTTCTCTCCTGATTTCTCCTTTATGTCTTCTTTTGTTTTTTAAATCAGATCCTTGATAGGAAATTCTTATTTTTTTAACAGAGTGAATTTACAGACATGAAACATATTTATATTTGTATTTATTTTTTATAACTTAAAAACATTAACATCCGTATATATTTTCAAAACGTTTCTTCGTTTTCAGCCTAAGCATATAATTTTTGTGAGTTACCTTTCATGATCTATCCCGGGATTGGTCTCATTTTAGTAGTTCCAAGTCCCTAGATTTCCATTATCGTATTATCTCTGTTGGGCGGAATACTTTTTTGTGTTCAGCCATAGATTCTCCACTTTAGCCTTAAGTCCGTTTTTACTTCTGTTATGTATATGGGTGCCATATTGATAGTATCTAGACAAGAAAGATTATTTTCTCCTGTGTTCCAGTGACACATTTCCACTTTGTACTTAAACTATATTATCTGCAACATGCAAGAAAGTTTCTATGCCAAAAAAGTGAATTCTGTTCGCTTTTTTAGTGTCTTTCTGGTATGTACATTTTTGAATTTTGTCTGTTTTCTTTGTTCTAGGTATATCCGGCCCCTCACTATCCCTTTGGTCCATACATGCTATGTCTGCCTTTCTTTCTTGTTTCTTAACTTATGTCACAGCCTTAGTGTGTGACATCTGGCATAAACACACCTGTAGGTTTCATGCTGGAATTCTTCTTCTTGTGGCTTCACCTGTAAAAAGTATCAACAATCAATTTTTTTTTCCATTCTCAGTTGTGAAACGTGACGCCCATTGTCATTTCAATTTACTTTTCCTCTTTTGTGACATTTCAATTTGAGAGTTTTTCTGTATACTTATACAGATATAAGTATGCAGATACATTATTTATTTGGCAAGTTTTCTGTGACCATTGACCTACTTAAAACAATTATTTAGCTCTTTATACATTCTGCTACTACTGTATTTCATGTATTTCAAGTATTTTCTAATGGTTTGTGATTTGTCTTTTCGGTTTTTTTTAGGTTTGAAATTAATTTGAGAAAATTTGACTTCTTTATATTACAAAGGCTTCTTCTATTCCAGAATATTAAATATTATCAATTTAGGTCCCTTGTCTATGGGACATTAACTAAAGTGTCAGAATTTTTAAAATATAGTCACTACACATTGATCAGTTTCATTCCTAGAGTTTCTTCATAAGCTAATTGCTGTTTTAATTTTTAAAATTTAATGTACTCCATACATTATAGGAGGGCTGTAATTTATACAACATTTTGTCTGGTCATCTTAACATACATGTATTTAGTGCCCAGTGTGTATAATGCGATTTCTAAACTCTAAGGGTATATTGGTAGATAAAACATTTCCTTGCCTTTATGGAGTTTATATATCAATATCTATAGTACATTTAATAAAAGGTGCAATTCTTCCCTTTCAATATTTGCATGTTTGTATGCTTTTATGTGTATGCATGTGTGTTTTTCTTATTGAAATATTTCTAGGTTAGAAATAACTCCTACTATTATGACTATATGGTCATATTATTACTTTAGTCAGTTCTAAACTTTATGCTGTAATCACCAACTATATTAAAATACAGACTTTGATTAATAACTTGATATATTTCACTATGCATACAAAGTAATTTAGATTCCAAATATCACTTAATTTTGTAGCTATTGTTTCTTATATGGTTTGTTTGCTATGTTTATTGAAATCATTTAAAAAATCTTCCTTGCATCTCAAGGAATTCTTTCAAAACTCTCCAAAACATAAGATAACAAACTAAAAATTAAGACTTGTTATTACATTTTAACTGAAGATATCTGTTTATTTTCTAAATTTAAAGTATTAGTGGAAATACAGTTTTGAATTAAACAGATATCATTCAGAAATTTAAAGATATTATTTTATTCCTAATATTCAGTGTTACAAGAAAGGAATTTAATGGAAACTTTATTCTTATTTCTTTAAAATAACTATTTTCTTTCCCTCTTGGGGCTTTTTATCTCATCATCTCTATAATAATAGTATCAGTTTGTTAGAAGTTAAAAGAGTTAGAGGAAAGAATAAAGTAATAATTGCTCAGCATTTGATGGAGTTTTTCAATCTGAAGGCTAGTTCCAGGAAAATTATAATCTTAACTTACACACACACACACACACACACACACCAAGCTAAACAACAACAATAAATAAAAACAACATATGTTTCTTGTCCTCAATTGTCTTTGTTCTTATGGAAAACACATTAATTAGATATCCAAAAATCTCTTTTAGATTAATCCTCTAGGTTTTTGAAGATTTCTCTGATTTTTCTGTTAGATAATAAATGTTAGTTTTAGTCAATTCCAGACTAATAAGCGTGTATACCTTATATTTTTAAATGATAAGTGTACTATATTGTTTATTACTATTTCCTTTTTCAAGACAGTGTTTTATCTTTTTTTAGGAATTAATTGTTTTCAAAATTGCTCTGAGAATTTTTAGTACAATTTTCTTTGACTCAGGATTCTCTAGAGGGACAGAACTAATTGGATATATACTTATGTGGGAGTTTATTAAGTATTAACTTACACGATCACAAGGTGCCACAATAGGCTGTCTACAACCTTGAAAATCAAGGAGAGCCAGTCCGAGTCTCAAAACTGGAGAACTTGCAGTCTGATGTTGAAGGGCAAGAAGCATCCAGCATGGGAGAAATACGTAGGCTGGGAGGCTAGGCCTATCTCTCCTTTTCACATTTTTCCACCCGCTTTATATTCACTGGCAGCTGATTAGATGGTGCCCAGCCGATTAAGGGTGGGTCTGCCTTTCTCCGCCCACTGACTCAAATGTTTATCTTTTTAGGCAATACCCTCACAGATACACCCAGGATCAATACTTTGCATCCTTCAATCCAATGAAGTTGACACCCAATATTAACCATCACAAGTCCACCCCTTGTCAACTTGAACCCATACACATCTCCTAAGATTATATATAATCTTCAAATAAAGACAATAAGGTCATAATTACACCTAACATAACGCAACTATCCTTTGTACAACCAGAAATGCACCAATCCCCAAACAAAATACTATTACATAAAGTTAACAGTACTTAAATGTTGATATGAAGTCAATAAATCTTATATCACATGATAAAGGAAAATGAAATAATATAACGATATTTTCTTACTACAAGTGTATATATGCACAAACACGTTTTTAACAAAAGAAGGAGGAAATACTCATGACAATTACAGTACTGGTTTCTGCAACTGGTCACTTGGTTGTAGCTGGTATTGATGATTACCTCCTTCTACTACCCTTTCTGTACTCCCTTTGCAGTCAGCAAGCAACTCAGCAGGCCATGATTTTTTTTTTCCCGGTGCAGTCACCCAAACCTTCATTCCTGAAGGGTCTGGACCATTTGTAGTCCTGCCTGGATTGGGATGTGGTAGTTTCCCACTGACCCTAATCACAGGGTATGGTAATGTGAAGAGATGCCCTATTGGATCTCCTGTATTCCATGCATACTCTTCCTTACCTTGGTTATGGAGTAGTAGACTGATTTCATCTTGGTAGTCCAGGTAGGTCACTCCAGCCAACACTGTAACTCCCTTCTTAGCCTGTTGACTTAAAGGTAGGAGGAGCCCAAAGTGTCCAGGGGGCAATCTTAACTTCCAGTTTAATGGAATTGTTGTTTCTCCTGGTGGCAGTGTTTCTTTCTCTGGAATTAAGACCTCTACACCAGAAGAACATCATGTCATGGGAACAGGAAGCAAAAATTTTGCTAGTGGATCACTAGGGGTGATGGTGAGTGGTGCCACTTCCACTTCCACCCCTTGACTACTGGACCTGTGAATCCTGGCTATGGGAGAAAGAGTACCATATATTGGATGCTGATTCAGAGCATACATGACCTTCTGGAGAACTTTGACCCAGCCCTGCAAAGTAATGTCACCCAGTTGGTGTTGTAATTGTGACTTCAAAAGGCCATTCCACCATTCTATCAATCCAGCTGCTTCAGGATGATGAGAAACATGGTAGGATCAGCGAATTACATGAGCGTGAGCCCACTGCCACACGTCTTTAGCTGTAAAGTGAGTGCCTTGGTCAGAGGCAACGCTGTGTGGAATACCATGATGGTGGATAAGGCATTTAGTGAGTCCACAGATGGTAGTCTTGGCAGAAACATTGCATTCAGGATAGGCAAACCCATAGCTGGAGTAAGTGTCTATTCCAGTGATGATAAACCTCCTCCCTTTCCAAGATGGAAGAGTTCCAATACAATCAACCTGCTAGTTGATCACCCCAGGAATGGTGCCATATCGAGGGCTCAGTGTTGGTGTCTGCTGCTGGCAAATTGGGCACTCAGCAGTGACATTAGCAAGGTCAGCCTTGGTGAGTGGAAGTCCATGTTACTGAGCCCATGCATAAGCACCATCCCTGCAACCATGGACACAGTGTTCATGGGCCCATTGGGTGATGACAGGGGTGTTGGGGATGGCTCCTGAGGAGAATCAACATTATTTTGCCTAGCAACTGCCTCAGGGGAGGCCATCACTGTTGCCTCAGACAGCACAGGGTTTATCTTTTCAGATATAGATGGAAAGGCTGATGGCAGCATGGGTCAGGGAGGGGATGTTGCCACTACTGGGGACAGGTAAACTGTTCCTTCTGGAAAAAAAAAAAAGATTCATCAGTGTTTACAAGCTCAGTGTCCCCAGCTTCATCAGGGTCCTCTAACACTTCCCCATTCCAAATTGCATGGTCCCATTCTTTTCCAATCAATGTCCTCTTTTTAACAGTAGACACCTGGCAAGGCTGTGCATTACATTTCATTGCAGGTCAGCCACTTGCATGATAAGAGCTTGGGTCTGTTTTTCCACAATTTCAACTCTTTCTCCACAGGAGATAAGACTCTCACTCAGGGCAATCTTAGCAGATTTGAGGTTCAGTATCAGCTTCTGAAGCTAGAAGACAGAATCCATGAGTTCTTCATTTTCTTTCATCACTTTGTCCACTGAACATAGGAGCAACCAATCAGCTTCATTATGTTCCTTGGTTCTCCACATATGGTCAAAGGTATTATGTACAGAGTCACTAAACTCCTTGCCTTTCATGACAGGTGGATCAGCAGCGTCAATTGCATTTATTTTGCATAACTCTCTAAACAGTTCATGCCAAGGACTATCAGTGTTCTCTATACTAGTGTAAGTAGAGCCTTTAGCACTTTTGGGTGTAATCATATTAAGCAGCCAATTCCAGAAACCCTAAAACCAACAAAAGAACTCCAACCTTAATATTCTGTTCCACTAGAACCACTCCTGGTACCAAAATCCGTATTAGTCAGGCTTCACTAAAGGGACAGAACTAATCATATATATATATATATATATATATTCATAAGTATTAACTCACAGGATCACAAGGTCCCACAATAGGCTGTCTGCAAGCTTGAGGAGCAAGGAGAGCCAGGCTGAGTCTCAAAGCTGAAGAACTTGGAGTCTGATGTTCCAGGGCAGGAAGCATCCAGCACAGGACAAAGATGTAGGCTGGGAGGCTAGTCCAGTCTCACCTTTTCATGTTTTTCTGCCTGCATTATATTCACTGGCAGCGGATTAGATGGTACCCAGGAGATTCAGGGTGGGTCTGCCTTCCCCAGCTCACTGACTCAAATGTTAATCTTTTTTTGGCAACACCCTCACAGACACAATCAGGATCAATAATTTGCATCCTTCAATCCAATCAAGTTGGCACCCAGTATTAACTTTCACAGTACTGAAGGAAAATGCAGATTGATTTACATAGCTACCTAATGTAGGTTTCCATTGCAGTGGTATAAGTTGATTCCTCAAAGAAATCTCATCCCATAATTGAAGTGGGGGGGGCTAGAATGATGTCTGCATTTTCTGTGTAAATGAGTGAAATGTTGTTTGGCAAGTTTCACTTTGGAGTACATAGCTTGAGAGCAAGAAGCCCAGTTTTGTGCTCCCCTAATTGCCAAAATAAAGATGATTTTATTCTTGTAGTATTGACTATTAACTATTTTGGGAGTCCTAATTTCTAGAAGCCCTTTTCTACATATTATAATATTTTAGGCTCCAACACACACATACTAATATACCTATTTAGACAGCTGTGCTGTTGTAATAAATTTAATTCAGGGGAAGGTGTATTATTAACAAAATAATGATCCTGAGAATTGACTAAGGGGCCCCTTTTTATCTCTCATTTTTTGACTCTAATTTTGGAATATTTTGAAATTATAATAATCAATGCAGTAACTTGCTCTGGTATGTGCTTTGCATTGTAGTATTTTTTCTTCTATGTTGTTTCTTCATAATCATGATTGCAAAGATTGTCAATCTCCAAAAGTTTTAAGACATTTATGCTGTATTCATGATTCACTTTTGTTTTCCAGGGTTATTTCAGTTTTTGCTTTGTTTTGTTTTTGTTTTTAACAAAAAATAGCATTTCCAAAAATTCATGATGTATAGGCTTGGAGGAAGCATAGTTTTCTGGGTTCTCTGTCTTGATCCAATCTTTAAAATATCCAATCTTAGTAGGTAAAATAATGTACAATCTTTTTACACAAAAGTGGCATTTGGGTTTTATGGACACTGCAGTTTGGCCCATTTGGAGGCTTATTCCAAATCCCTTCTAGTGTGCTAAAACTATATTTTCTAGATTTCCTTGGAGCTAAGATTCTAGATCTGATTTCAGCCTTGCCCACCAGATGAATTACTATGACATTTGAATTTAAGAATGATCTAAATGGAGTGAGAGGTGTACACATTTTTCCCCCTGCTGAGGAATTAGTGATATGGCTCAGAGTTCAACATTGTGGAAAAAGATTCTTGATTCCTGGTTATTACTGCAAAGCAGTGTGCTTTGGGGACCAATAATTCCAGGGGTCACTTTCTGCTTCTTCAGTTTTCTGATTGTGAGAGAGGCTTAGGGACCCCTTGGGAATAGGTCCCTAACATAGAAACATTCTGTTTCTATGTTTCTTCCCGTTTAACATTCTTGAAAACATTAAAACAGTGCCTGGCACAAGTTAAGTACTCAAGAAACTTAAAGTACTATTATTAATCAAAGTTTTGCTTCTTCTTACTCTATACCTAGGCTCTATGAAAGCTAGGACTGAGTCTGGTTTAATATTTTACACAAATGTTGTCTTAGTGAATAGAATATATAAGTACAAAAGAAAAATAGGAAATCTTAGTCTAAATAAGTGGTATTATTTACAAATTTATGGTATAAACCTACGCTGGATTTAAATTGTATATTTAAAATATACAACAGAGACTTTATTTCTTTAGTAGTGAATACATTTGGAAGAATATTTGCTTTCCATTTCCACAAAAATGAAACAATGTATTGAAATGTATTCATCAGTGCACCCTATTAATATAAAGGGCACTAATGGAGAGAAACTAAATATGCATGATCATATTCAACCAAGGATACTAAATAATTATCAAGAAAAACACAACTTATACCATGTTTAATAAAAATAAACCTGTTGTAGCAAATGAAAAATCATTTTTCTTAATAGTATGATTTTTTTTAATATAAAATAGTTACCCTATGACTTCCCTTTGCATTCATTAAGTTTATTACTGGCAGCATGAGTATGGCAATATTTTAATTAGATTAAAATTGTCTTTTCAAAGCAACTGAAGAGTAAAATATGGAATTTAAAAAGAATCACACTTGAGAGAGGATCCTTAATATTTAATTAACTTTCTTATTTTATATGTCTTTAGTAGCTGCAACTACATTAAGCATTAAAAATAAGGTGCTCTAAAGGGAGTTATACAACAATGTAAGAACAAGAGCAATTTGCTTAAAAATAAGTTGAGAAAATTGTTTATTCCTAACACTTTATTGGTCAATTTAATTGTTTTAGATAGACATAAGTTTATATAGAAAACCCCAACAATAGCTCAATCACACCAAGACAGGCATGCTAGGAGGATATTGTGATGGTATGTTAACTGTAAAATATTTTGTTACTTAAACACAAATTATATATATAGTATATTTTTATGGCTACTAATTGATTAAGACCATATATTAGAGCAGTGTTTCTCAAACTGTGTTCCTTCAAAATGTCATAGAAGAGGTTGTCGTTTTTGGATCATGTGAGAAAAAGGATGAAACAACAATGAAAGAAGATGAGGCTGCATAACTTGTGCCTTTGTTCACCCAGTTCAGGTCTATTTTTATCCATTGTTTATATTGAGATTTGTGGTCAGTTTTCACTGGAGAACAGGGCTCCATAACTAAAATATGACATACAAAACTTTGGAAAATAAACTAAGTATTTACAAACAATAGATGTAGTTCAATCTCTATATTTTCAAATGAGGGTACTCAAGCCTGAAAACGTCCTTTGATTAATTCCAAAGACACAATTTAAGACCAATTTCTCATCCATGATCCGGTCCTCATTATGGAATGACACATTGCTTTTATTTTTGTTAGTCTTTATTCATTCAGACTTTATTCATTTTATGTCAACAAATATATTCAGCCTCTCCTGCATTCCATGCATAGTGTTAAGCACTGGAGACATGAAGATGAATAATACACAATTCTCTCCCCTCCAAAATCTCAGTTCATTTAGGGACAGAGAGTCAATGTAAATGTTAAAAATACTTGGATAAATGCTGCTGTGATGTACAGCATACCCAAATAGAATTCAGGTTTGTTAAGGCAAAATTATTTGAGAAAGGGCCATTATTCTAGGTTTTGTTCACTCCGGGTATCACATGAGGTCATGGGTGAAATTTTCTACTTGTGGCATCATGTCAGAGCTCAAAAGGTTTCAAGTTTTGGAACATTTTGGGGTTTTGATTTTTGGATTAGAGACGCTTAATCTGTATTTCCATACCTGATAAATTATGTTCACCTCAATAACACAGTGATCATCTAATCTTTGAGTAAGCTTATACTATCTTTAGAGATTATGATAAAGACACTTGAGCTGATGTTTGTGAGACTGACTTCTTCATTACTATATTTGAATGCCCTGAGTATTAGTTGTAATCATAAAAGTTTTGTCAAAGAAGCCATGCATCTAATAACTAAATTAGAAAGAACAAATAAAAGTCATTGTGAGGATATATTTAAATTTAGGTGGGTAATTAGTTTTATTTATTTGGTTTATTCAAGTCCCAAATTTCCTTTGTAATTAATGAAATCAATGATTTTTTTCCATTGGTATTCAAGTTGCAAATTTCTTCTTTGATATTTTGTGAACATCATGTTACTTAAATGAAACAAATATGCTCTTGGCTTTAAGTAGCTGCTTAAATCTTTTTGAAGTATAGTGGAAAACAGCAGGATATTAGAGTTAGGAAGTGCTGAGATTTCAATATCAAGCAAGTTAGCTTATTTAAGTCTTCATTACTCTATCTATAAAATAGATATAATACATTCAACTGGAATAATTCTTCTTGGGATAAATAAAATAATAAATCTACAAAAAGACACAGATTCTACCAAAAAGTAATTGTTCATTTAGTGGTAATGATTATTATTTTTTCTTCTGATATATTCTCAATTTTAATTACTTAGTTTGCAAATACAAATATTTTAGAATAATATAATATCAACTATTTTATTTATAATATTCCAGAAATTTTCAATTGGTGATTTAGACACAGTTTTATTTTCTATGTCTCAATTTTCTCTCTCAACTGTGAAGTTTACGCTTTTCTCTCTACATGAAAAGGTATTTGACTAATAAGTCAAACTATGAATGCTAAACCAGTGTCTCCAAACTACTACATGTTTGTGAAGAAGACATGGCTAGAATACACGATAGCAAAGTCCATTTTTATTGTAATAAAAGCATCATAATAAAAAGTTGTTCCTAAAACATGTTCTGTAGAGTTTTAAAAGTGAGATAATCTAAGAAAATAAATATCTAATAAAACAAATAAAACAACAATAATGAAATGGAGATGGAGATTCTGTAACTAATACTGAATATTATCTATACTTCTTGGAGATTCACAGAACACACAAGGCTTTGAGAATTGCTATAGCAAAGAAATCTAAGTCTCCTTGGATATTTATATTTATTTAAATTAAATAATTATTTTGCAATAAATTTTGACATCAAGGAAATCTTACAGAATTAATTTTTTTTGTAAAACATTTTGGGAAATCCTGGTATAAGGCTTTGACACTAAACACTTATATGGAGTTTTGAACTTTGATGAACAGGGTTGGACTACACATACTTGTCCCAACAAGACTGTATGTATTCCTTTTCTATCGTTCTCATTGAATAGAACAATTTGCTTTCTTGACTCCTTTCTAATAGACTCAAAGATCTCATTTTAATTTTTGTGATCTTAATGACAAGAAGAATAAATTACTAATAAACTCAAATGAAGGGGACTCGTGGCACAAGGTATATTTCTTTCTTTTTTTTTTTTTTTTTTTTTGAGACGGAGTTTCGCTCTGTCGCCCAGGCTGGAGTGCAGTGGCGCGATCTCGACTCACTGCAAGCTCCGCCTCCCGGGTTCACGCCATTCTCCTGCCTCAGCCTCCCGTGTAGCTGGGACTACAGGCGCGCGCCACCATGCCCGGCTAATTTTTGTATTTTTAGTAGAGACGGGGTTTCACCGTGTTAGCCAGGATGGTCTCGATCTCCTGACCTCGTGATCCGCCCGTCTTGGCCTCCCAAAGTGCTGGGATTACAGGCGGCACAAGGTATATTTCTAATCTGATAATTAAGTTCTAGGTTATATTTATGAAGGTGCAGCAATTTGATGAAGACATAGTGGGAGGTCTCTGAATTTCAGTGGAGGTAGATATCAGAAATATAACAGAATAGAAAATGGAATTGTTGTTAAAACACAGATAAACTTACACATTTGTTTTACATGGGAAAATTTAAATAAGGTATATAAGAGTGTGAGTAGCATATAATAGGCGCATGCTAATTCATAAATTCCTTCATTGTTGGTATTCTCAACTTTTTATGATGATAAACTACTATTTTATATTTAAATGTATATTTATTACTAATTTTTTATTTCTACTTATTTTTAATTACAATTTTAAAGCATGTTTTAAATTGCAAAGTGTTCTTGCATACCAAACAACTAATACTTGAAATAAGTATTTTATCAATTTTACACATCATTATTTTGAACTCTATGGTGCTAAACAATTTGTTTATACTTACCTGTCTAGAAAAGTACAAGAACAGAGAATCTAAACTGTAAAACATATTCTCAATAACATTTCTCATCCTAATAATTTCTAAAAGAAAACAAATTTTCTTTTCTACTTGTTAGTAGCAGTTTATTTTCCACAGGGAGCTTTGCAGGGATCATTATCATATTTTGCTACTTAATTTGATTTGTCATCTGTTTTCCAAATAACTTCAGTTGCATAAACGTATCTTTTAGTCTCTTGGATGATGCTCAACCATCATAGATTTTTATTTGTCAGTGTTTTTAAAGTAGGGATATACATAATTAAAATAGTACAAATGTAGTTTAATTACTTGTATTCAATATAAACTTTGTTTTTCTTGACGCTTATATAAGATTTGTATTAATTTAAATTTTGATAGGTATATAGGTGTTCTTCACTTTCAGACTACACCATTGAATTATGTTAAATAATTTTGAATATGTAGTTGCATAAAATATGTGGTATTTTTACTTCTTCAAATGGAATATAATTACACTAATCTCTTCCTTTCAGAAATTGTGCAATTATTATTTTTTCTTCTTTTCTGTTTTTTTTCCCCCTTTGGTCATGTGACAAAGAGCAACTTTTTTTTTTAACTAAGTGTAGACTTTTGTTTCTGCTTAGGAGGTAAGAAGCTGTGAATAATGTCATCACCATCCTAAAATTAAAAAAATGAATAATTTAAAAATCAGTATTTTTCTTGAGCTTATCAGAGAGTTAAGGTTACAAGGCAACTAAGTAAACTGATTTCCAAAGAGGACAGATGAGACATAAGAATTATTTCACTTTTAGCAAAGCACAGAAGAAAAGGGAAATCAGCGTACAATTGAATAAGGAAAAATTGATTACAAGTTTAAGAAGTAATTAAAGGCTAATTTCGGGGTAATGTGTCAGTGTGGAACAGGTGAGGACCCCCAGACAAATGAGAGTCATTTACTAGGAAGCTCCTCTTAACAGGACTTCACCCTTTGGGAAGAGGCAATGAATGAATTTTTGTTTTTTCCCCTAAAACTTCCAGAGATAGTACAGCTCTGCCAACATCGTGATTTAGGCCTGTTGATATGGATTTTATACTTCTGGCCTCAAGTACTGTGAGAAGAATTTTTTTTGCTGTAATCCATTACGTTTGTGGTAATTTGCTATAGCAGCCAGAGGAAACTAATACAAGAGTCTTGAGGGATACTGTTCAGTAGGCCTTTTTTTTTCTCTCCTATAAAATGAATTGGAAATTCCCAAATTCTATTTCCTGGAAGAATTTGTGTATCACTGATGCTATTTCTTCCTTTAGTGTTTGTTAGTGTTTGCCAGTGATGTCATCTGGGCATAAAGCTTTCTTTGTTGGAAGGTTGTTAACTATAAATTCCATCTTTGTAATAGATATGTAATCAATCCTATTATTGATTTCTTCTTGAATGAACATTGGCTGTTTTTCTAACACAAAGACATTTTGCATTTTATTTACTTTACTACATTTATTGGCCTAAATCTGTTCATAACTATTCTTTATTACCTTTTTAATGTGGGGTTGGCCAGATCAGTCGCACTACCTGTTTTTACATGCTCAATGAGGTAAAAATTCTTTTACATTCTAGAGGGTTCTAAAAATAAACAAAATTACAAGAATATGCAACAGAGACTGTGTATGGCCTGAAGTCTAAAATATTTACTTTAGGTCTGTTTTTAGAAAACATTTGCCAATGTTTGCTTTAACATCCATAGGATCTAAAGATGTCCTCTCTTTCCTTCCCGATTTTTGAATCATTTGCATCGTCTCTTCATATTGTGATCAGTTTGGCTAAAGATTATAAATTGTATTGATCTATTCAAAGAATCAGCTTTTGCTTCATTGATTTTTCTCTAGTGTCTTTTCACTTTTAATTTAAATGACGTGCTATCTTTATTATTTATTATATATAATAGAGTAGCAGAGAAGGCAAAGTCTCCCTAATCCACATTTTTGTTCTATGTAGACCTCTGAAACATTCAATGAGGCTGACCTATATAGAGGAGAGCAATCTGCTTTACTCAGTCTGCAGATTCAAATGTTAATTTCATCCAGAAACACCCTCGCAGACATACCCAGAATAATGTTTAACCAAATATCTGCGTACCCTATGTCCCAGTCAAATTGACACATAAAAATAACCATCAGGCCGGGCGCGGTGGCTCACGCCTGTAATCAGCACTTTGGGAGGCCGAGGCGGGTGGATCATGAGGTCAGGAGATCGAGACCATCCTGGCTAACAAGGTGAAACCCTGTCTCTACTAAAAATACAAAAAAATTAGCCAGGAGCGGTGGCGGGCGCCTGTAGTCCCAGCTACTCGGGAGGCTGAGGCAGGAGAATGGCGTGAACCCGGGAAGCGGAGCTTGCAGTGAGCCGAGATTGCGCCACTGCAGTCCGCAGTCCGGCCTGGGCGACAGAGCGAGCCTCCGTCTCAAAAAAAAAAAAATAACCATCACACATAAATTGGACTGTAGAACTAAACCTTAAACCTGCAAAACTTCTAGAAGAAGATATAAGAGGAAATCTTTCTGAGCTTGAATTAGGTAAGTAGTTTTAAAAACATACAAAGTACAAATGATAAAAGCAAATTGATAACTGTACTTTATAAAAATGATAATCATTTGGCCTTCAAAAGGTACTGTAAAGAAAATAAAAAGATGAGATACAGACTTGGGGAAAGTATTGGCAAATTATATATTTATTAAAAGAATTCTATCTAGAATCCATAAAGAACTCTCATGATTTAGTAGTAGTAATAATAACAACAATGAGAAGAATACCCTTATTAAAAATGAAAAATTGTCATTTTTTTCCAAGACGGCAGATTGGAGGTAGTGTTAGCATACCTCTCTCATCTAAAAGGACAGAACAGCATATAGAGATTCACACTGTAAACTTTTTTCCAGGAAGAAATGCAGGAACTTAACAGGAAAACTGAAAGAATCCACAGACCCTGTGCAAGAAGCAGCAGACTATACCCTGCTCCATAAAAAAGGAAAAAAAATGTAAGTCCTCAAAGTGTAAGAGAGGGGGATACTACCTCCGGAATACAAATCCTCACTGAGGAATCTGAAAATTCAGTTCATGGGAGAAAGCCTTACCCCTATCCAGAGCTGAAACTGATTTTGGAAGTGAAGATAAGTATGAGAGTAGAGGCAGCAGTGGGAAGTGCCTTGCAGGCATCTCCAGTCTCCAATATGGACCCAGGGGAACTCATTCCTGATTATATTTCACGGGGGCCCTTGGAGAAGTCAGTCAACTACCTCAGGGAGGAGTTGCAGGGTGAAAGAATCTCCCAATTGAATTTCGTGATATAATCTCAAGTAGGGATGAACTCCCTTGACCAGAACTTGGGGAACAAGCAGGAAGTAAACTGCAGACACAAGTGCAGGAGCTCAACACCTGGCCTTGGAGGCAGAGAGGGAGGGCATGACCTGATAGGTGTGGTTGCTATCTCTGTGGGGAAGGCTTATGGCCTGGGGCAGGTCTGATTTCTGTCCATAGACAGCCTGGATCTCAACCCAGTGCTGTTAGGGGAGCACTGCAAAAGTGAGATCTGTCTTGCCAGCTGCATGGGAGCTGGGTGAGGCTTATTGCCACTTGCTAGTCCCCTCTTCCTTTGAGAACTCTTCTGTGCAGGATAGACAGTTATAGTCCCCTCTGGAACATTACCACAGTTGCCTAAGAACCACATCCTGACCCTCATTGGGGATATTGCTTGCCCCTGCCAAAGAGAGTCAGAGTACACACCCTCCTGATTCTGCTCCCAAGTAGTTGTGCCTTTCCACTCACTCTGGTAGCTTAAAACAAAAGACTTAAACCTTTGGAAGCTTTATAGCTCCACCCATCACCTGAGAAACCAAAATACTTTCCCGGGGCAACTTAGGGCAAGCTCAAATTCCACTGCTACTACCACAGCTGATGCAAGCACCACTTCCTGGCTGGAGGCCAACTGACAATCCATTACAGCACCTCTAGGTAGAATCACACTGTGCCCACGAAGGAGAAAACTGTTGTGTAACCTCAGCTATAATCACTGCTTGCAACACCCTGGCTAACCAGAGGTCCTGAGTCTGTCCATATGACCAATTCAATACAATTATAACAAGCATTCAAGAAAGCCAGCAAACTACGCCAATCTACAACCAAGGAATCGCACAGTCTAACTCACTCCTCTGCCACCTCCATCAGAGCTGATGCTGGTACCCACTTCTGGGAGACATGAAGAAAGGTCACATCACTGGATACCTTGCAGATATGCCTCAGCACCAACCTGGAATGTGGTAGTCCCGCTGGGTGGCTAGTTCCAAAAGAGCAATAACAATCACTGTTGTTCAGCTCTCAGGAGCTCCTACTCTTAGGGGAAGGGAGACAGCATCACATCAAGAGAATACCCAGTGGAACAAAAGAATATGGATGGGAAGCCTCCAATCTCATATTTTTCTGCTGGTGGGAAGTTTCTTACAGCAGAGACACAATTGCAGTGCTGGGCACAGCAGGGCAAGTCTGCACTTCTACTCCAACAAGCAGGCAGCCTTTGTGCTCGTGAAGGATTTTGGAGAATGGATGCTTGTTCTCCACTAGTCCACCACTGCAGACACAGCTGAGGCTTCTCCCATGGGTACTTAGTGTGGATGCACTTTATAGGGAGCCTTTCTGGAAAAGTTCGGGGTGATTGCATCCCCAAAGTTTCAGGCTTGCATGAGAAGCAGAATCACAATTCCTCTCTACTTGGAACATCAACTTTTCTACAGACAAAAAGAGAAGTCTATTTTATCTCAATAGCTGGAACACTGGGACAGCATTGAGACTGGGAGGTGGATAGCTTTCCTGCCTGTCTGGCAGGGGAGATGAGGTAACTCCCATCCTTCACCCGATAAAACCTCAGTATATCGAATTGAGAGCTCCCCCAGCCACTATCATCAAGGCTGGGACTTCAGCCCACCATGGGGCATTGCATCTACCCACCTGCTTTAGCTACAGCTAGTTCCTATCCAGGAATCCATCCCATACTGGCCTGAAGCCTGATCCATCAACTCAGTAAATAAAATACTGGGAAAAATAAATCAATAAGTAAAGTGTTCACAATAAGGGAATGAGATACACTTCAAGGGATTCTTGCCATTTCAACCCCAAAGGAAACAGTCAACTTGCTACACACAGATACTGTGGATGTAGTAGTACATAACTACTACAACCAATGTGTGAGAAAGCCAACAAACAAAGACTCTCGATAGCTAAGGAACTCATACAGAGTCTTCACCCCTAAAATAACCAAGAACCAAAATAGGCTAGAATAAACTATAAACATTAAAGTCATGTCCTTAAGAGGGAAGAAGAGAAATTTTAAAAAATGTAGCCAAGTCAAAATGAATTCAATAACAATTTGAAAAAATAGTCTACTCAAATGAGAAGGAACCAGAGAATTAATTATGTAATATGACAAAACAGGGTTCTATGGTACCCCCCTAAATATCACACTACCTCCCCAACAATGGATCCAAACCAAGATGAAATCTTTGAAATACTAAATAAAGAATTCAGAAGGTTGATTATTAAACTACTCAAAGAGATGCCACAGAAAGGTAAAAGCCAGAGAAAGGTAAAATTCAACATAAACAAAATTTTAAAAGAAAACAATTCAGGATATGAATATAAAATTTTCCAGTAAGATAGATATCATAAAAAAATCAGAACTTCTGAAAATGAAAGACAAAAAGACATAAAAATTCAATGGAAAGCTTTGGCAATAGACTAGAACAAGAAGGATAAAGATTTCAAAGCTCAAAGATAAGGTTTTCAAATTAACACAATTAGACAATGATTTTTAAAAAATCGAAATTGAATAAAGTGTCCAAGAAATATAGAATTATGTAAAATGGCCCAACTTATGAATAATTGGTTTTTCAAGGGAATAATTGAGGATAACTATCCTGGCCTTGCTAGAGATTACTTAGATACCCAAATTTAAGAAACTCAAAGAATTCCTAGGAAATTAATGGCAAGAAAGATCACACCAAGGTACATAAGAATCAGGCTATCTTCTTATGTATCCTTATCTTTAGTCTCCTTAAACAGAATAATTGTCAGCCAAGAATTTTGTATCCAGCAAAATTAAGCTTCATAAATTAAGGAGCAATAACGTGTTTTTCAGACAAACAAATGCTGAGAAAATTTGTCAGTACAAAACCAGCATTACAAGAAATGGTAAAAAGAGTTCTAAATCTTGAAACAAAATTCATTATGCACCAAAACAACCTCCAGAAAGCATAAAACTTACAGAGCCTATAAAACAATAATGCAATGGAAAAAAAGTTCTAGGTAACAAATAATATGATAAATAGAACAATACCTCATACCTAAATATAAACATTGAATATAAATCACCTGCATGTTCCACTTAAAAGATATAGAATGGCAGAATGAATAAAAAACCACCAACCAAATATCTGCTGTCTTCACAAGACTCACCTAACACATAAGGATTCATATAAACTCAAGGTAAATAAGTGGAAAAAGATATTCCATGCAAACGAAAACCAAAAGCAAACAGGATTAGTCTTATATCAGACAAAACAGACTTTAAAGTAGCAACAGTTAAAATAAAAAGATGTAAAAGCACATTACATAATGATACAAAGTTCAGCCCAACAAGAAGATATCACAAATCCTAAATTTTTATGCACCTAACGCTGGAGCTCCCAGATTTATAAAACAATTACTACTGAGCTTAAGAAATGAGATAGACAACAACAAAATAATAGTGGGAGACATCAATGCTTCACTGACAGCACTAGACAGATTATCAAGCCAGAAGGTCAACAAAGAAACAATGGATTTAAAGTATACCCCAGAAAAAATGGACTTAACAAATATTTGCATAACATTTTCCCCAACAACTGCAGAAAGTACATTCTTCTCATCAGCACGTGGAACATTCTCCAAGATATACCATATCATAGGCCACAAAACAAGTCTCAATAAATTTGAGACAAACAAAATTACATCAAGTATCCTTCAAATCACAGTAGAATAAAACTGGAGATCAACTACAAAAGAAACCCTCAAAACTATATAAATACATGGAAATTAAATAATCTGCTCTTGAATGATTTGTGGGTTAATTAAATCAAGATGGAAATTTAAAAAAATCTTTGAAATAAATAATACTGACACAACTTACCAAAATATTTGAGATACAGCAAAAGCAGCACTAAGAGGAAAGTTCACAGCATTAAATGCCTACATGAAAAAGCCTGAAATAACACAAATTGACAACCTAATGTCACACCTCAAGGAGCTAGAGAAGCAAGAATAAACTAAACCCAAACCCAGCAGAAAAAGAGAAATAAGAAAGATCAGAGCAGAATGAAATAAAATTGAAATTAAAAAATACAAAAGTTAAATGAAACAAAAGCTGGTTCTTTGAAAAGAGAAACAAAATTGATGTATCATTAGCAAGATTAACCAAGAAAAGAAAAGATCCAAATAAGCCCAAGTAGAAATGAAACCAGAGCTATTACCATGGATACCATAGAAATACACAAGATAGTTCAAGGCTACTATGAACACCTTTATATGCACAAACTAGAAATCTACAGGGAGTGGATACATTCCTGGAAACACACAACCTTCCTAGATTCAATCAGAAAGAAATAGAAACCATGAACAGACCAATAACAAGCAGAGAGATTAAATCAGTAATAAAAAAAAATTGCCAACAAAATAATGTCCAGCACCAGATGGACTCACAGCTGAATTCTATCAGACATCCAAAGAAGAGTTTGTACTAATCATATGATAATACTCCAAAAGATAGAGAAAGAAAGAATCCTCCCTAAGTCATTCTATGAAGGCAGTAACACCCTCACACCAAAGGCAAAAAAAATGAAATATCAAAAAAAGAAAACAATAGACCAATATCCCTGATGAACATAGATGCAAAAATCCTCAACAAAATAATAGACAACCAAATCTAATGGCACATCAAAGAGATAACACATCATGATTAAGTGGATACAGGGATGGTTTATCACAGGTAAGTCAATAAATGTTATATATCACAAAAATGGAATTAAAAACAAAACACATATGATTAACTCAATAGATGCAGAAAAAGCATTTGAATAAAATCCAGCAACCTTTTATGATAAAAATCCTCAACAAAGTAAGCATAGGAAGGATTTACCTCGAAGTAATAAAGCCATCTAGGACAAACCCACAGCCAACATTATTCTGAATGGGAAAATGTTGAAAGCATTTCCTCTGAAAACTGGAGCAAGACAAGGATGCGCACTTTCACCACTTCTATTCAACATAGAACTTGAAGCCCTAGCAAGAGCAATCAGGCAAGAGAAATAAATAAACGGCATCCAACTTGGAAAAGATGAAGTCAATCTTTCACTATTCATTGATGATATAATCATATGCTTAGAAAACCCCAAAGACTCATTCAAAAGGCTCCTAGATCTGATAAACAAATTCAGTAAGGTCTCAGGTTACAAAATCAATGTATGACAACAACCAAGCTGAGAGTCAAACCAAGAACTCAAACCCTTTTACAACAGCTGCAGAACAAAATAAAATACCTAGGAATATATTTAACCAAGGAGATGAAAGATCTCTATAAGGAAAACTACAAAACACTGCTGAAAGAAATCATAGATGACACAAATAAATGAAAACATATCTCATGCTCATGGATGGGAATAATCAATACTGTGAAAATGACCTTACTGCCCAAAGCAATCTACAGATTCAATGAAATTTCCATCAAAATACCATCATCTGCAAGACACGGTGGCTCATGCCTGCAATCCCAGCACTTTGGGAGGCCGAGGTGGGTGGATCATCTAAGGTCAGGAGTTTGAGACCAGCCTGATCAACAAGGTGAAGCCCTGTCTCCACTAAAAATACAAAAATTAGCAGGTGCTGCCTGCCTCATGGTGGCAGGTGCCTGTAGTCCCAGTTACTTGGGAGGTTGAGACAGGAGAATTGCTTCAACCCAGGAGGCAGAGGTTGCAGTGAGCTGAGATCGCGCCACTGAACTCCAGCCTGGGTGACAGAGCGAGACTCCATTAAAAAAAAAAATCATCATTTTTCACAGGACTAGGAAAAACAATTCTAAAATTCTTCTGAATCCCAAAGAAGAGCATGCATAGCCAAAGAAATACTAAGCAAAAACAATAAGTCTGGAGGCATCACATTACCAGACTTCAAATTATACTACAAGTCCATAGTTGCCAAAACAGCATGGTACTGGTATAAAAATGGGCCCATAGGCCAATGGAATAGAATAGAGAACCCAAGAATAAAGCCAAATACTTATGGCCAACTCATCTACAACAAAGCATACAAAAAGACAAATTTGAGAAAGGATACCCTGTTCAGTAAATGGTACTGGCAAAACTGGCAAGCCACTTGTAGAAGAATGAAACTGGATTCCCATCTCTCATCTTGTACAAAAATCAACTCAAGATGGATCAAAGACTTAAATCTAAGACTCAAAACCATAAAAACTTTAGAAGATAGCATTGTGAAAACTCTTCTGGGCATTGCCCTAGGCAAAGCATTTATGACCAACACCCCAAAAGGAAATACATCAAAAACAAAAATAGACAAATGGGACCTAATTAAACTAAAAAGCTTTTGCACAGCCAAAGAAATGATCAGCAGAATAAACAGACAACCCACAGAATGGGTGAAAATATTCACAGCCTAAGCATATGACAAAGGACTAGTATCCAGAATCTACAAAAAACTCAAACAAATCCTCAAGAAAAAAAAATCCCATAAAAAAATGGGCAAAGAACATGAACTGACATTTCTCAAAGGAAGATGAACTAAAAGTCATAAAACATGAAAAATGCTCAGCATCACTAATCATTAGGAAGATGCAAATTAAAATCACAATAAGATACCAACTTACTCCTGCAAGAATGGCCATAATTAAAAAGTCAAAAAACAATATATGTTGACATGGAATTGGTGAAAAGGGTACACTTGTACACTCCTTATGGGATTGTAAATTAGTAAAACCACCGTGTAAAACAGTACAGAAATTCCTTAAAGAACTAAAAGTAGATCTACCATTCGATCCAGCAATCCCACTACTGGGTGTCTACCCAAAGGAAAAGACACCATTATATGAAAAAGACACATGCACATGCATGTTTATAGCAGCACAATTCACAATTGCAAAGATACGGAACCAACCTAAGTGCCCATCAACCAACAAGCAGATAAAGAAAATGTGGTATATATACACCATGGACTACTATTCCGCCATCGAAAGGAATGAAAGAATGTCTTTTGCAGCAACTAAGATGGAACTGGAGGCTTTTATTCTAAGTAAAGTAACTTAGGAATGGAAAACCAAATACCATATGTTCTCACTTATAATCGGGAGCTAAGCTATGAGGATGCAAAGACGTACAAGGTGATATAATGGACTTTGGAGGTGAGGAGGAGCGGGGTGAGAGATAAAAGACTACATTTTGGGTACAGTGTGCACTCCTCAGGTGATGGGTGCACTAAAATCTCAGAATTCACCACTAAAGAACCCATCCACGTAAACAAAAATCACATGCACCCTAAAAACTACTGAGATACAAAAAATAATACTAAAAGTAAACATTGAATGGATTATTCACTATAAAAGAGATATAGATGATAAACAAACACATGCAAGAGCAGCATTATTTATCAGGGAAATTTAAATAAAAACCAAAATGAGATTTTATTACACATATATGAGAATGGTTTTTAAAAACTGCAGTATCAAGTGGTGATGATGAAGATGAGGAACCGCTCTCGTACATTGCTGCTAGGAATGCAAAATGGTACAACCGTTTGGAGAGCAGTTTAATACTTTGCTTATAATATATGAAATGTATATACGTACATAATGTAATATGAACCCAGAAATTGTTCTTCCAGACATCTACCCAAGAGAATGGATATGTTTATAGCAGTAACTGGAAACAAGGTAAATATCCAAATATCCATTAACTATTTAATGAATAAATATGCCTTGGCCCATCTGTACAATGCAATACTGTTCAGCAATAAAGGGAACAAAATATTGATAATATTTAATAAGGCAAAATCTCAAATTTATTATGTTAAATTAAGGAACAGACATATAAGACTATAGACTTTATGATTCCATTTATATTATATTCTGGAGAAGGCAAAAACATAGGAACAGAATTCAGGTTAGTAATTTCTAGGCACTGGCTGTTGGAATGAACTGACTATAAAGATGCATAATGAAATTTGTGGGGAGTGTTCTATATCTTCATAGTGACAGTGGTTACAAACGGTCAAAGCCAATGGAATCATACACGCAAAAGGATGAATTTTACCATTTGTAAATTGTACCTAAATAACCATTATTTTACATACCTAAATAGTTTTTATAGCCATTCCAATTGCATTTTAATTACATCATGATTTTTCAGAACAATTTCATCAATTTCCCATATAAGTAAACTTTATCTCCCAGCCTCGTGTTTTTCACTGTCTTGAAGAAGATGCCTTTTAATCTCCCTTTAGGGCGACATTGTTCAATTTAATCTATACTCTCCTTGCGTGGTTGATTTACCAACTTTGAATCTCACACAAGGTATTGCTACCTAACAGGGTGAAGTAATGTGAACTACAAGGACATAAAAATTACGGCCCTCCTGCATACTTGTCAGAAGTAAATTCTAGCAATGTGCTCCATTGAGCCACACAGATGGTTGATAAAATTATCTCAAGGTAGCTATCTCTGTCGCGAATTCCACTATTAAAAAAATTAAAAACCAGACATCTAAGGCTATTACATATGTAAAGTAACATGTGAAAATGGCAGTATTTGACCTTGTTTCTTACTCATACTGTATTTTTTTTTTATTCTAAGGGTACATAAAATTTAAATGATGTTGGTTGTGTGTCTAGAATAACGATCAGTATACTGGCAAATTAATGGCTATATAAATACTTACGGCATTAGTTTTTAACCTTTGAAGGAACCCTTTATATGTAGTCAAATATTTGCTGCATCAATGATGAGATGGAATCTAATCTCAGAAAAAATAATGCATAATATTTCTATAAAGACGAGTTCAAAGACTATGAATCTCATCCATCATTTCATTAAGAGTCATCAGCTCTAAGAGGTAGCTCACCCATGTATGAATGATTATATGGACCTATAAATACTTAAATTCTAGGAAATATTTTAACATTCTTAGAAAATGATAAATTAAAAAACAACAATTAATTCATTTATATATTCACTGAAAAATTATATAGTGAGTACATCTTGCCACTGTATTTGGTATCAGCAGTTTCAAATGCAGGTCTCTATTTACATAACAATCTCTTGAGAAGCTTCTTTAACATACATATTTCAGGATTTCACCTATTGAAACTCTAAATCAGATTGTACCAATTGCAGGCATTCTATTTTTACAGGCTCCACTAGGTCTTTCTGTTAAACAGCCAAGTTTGGAGCAGCCAAGTTTTGGTTCAAGAGTAAACAATTCTTGAGTCTACTTTTCAATGTTTATAAAGGTATTAAATTATCTAACATGTTATTTAATTTAACCTTATTTTTAATAAAAAATTACTGATTATAAGTTTATTCTTAAAGACTATGACAGATATTTTCATGTCTTTATAACCATTTCAGCCATTTGTTTTGGGCAGAATAATTCATAGGCACTTTTAGCAGTAATTAAGGGGCTCTTACTAAATGAACTACTGACTTCAAATAACTAATAGCGTATTGCTAAAATAAAATTCAGTTTTCAGAGAATAACACAGCACTATCATAATGCGTATGATGGAAGAAACATCATTGAAACTGACTCTAAAAATCTGTAGTATTAATCAAGTATTAGATTTTGGAGAAATACTTACAATATTATGCATATATGTCATATAAATCCATATAGGCTTACTCCTCTCCAACTACTCTACTTGCAAAACATTTTAGTATGAATTTTTCTCCCATTTGTTTCTGTATTCCTTATGTGCCTCATAATATTTCAGAGATTAATTGGCATACTCTTGTTCTTGTCACTACCCTGGATATCCAGACAAATGTATTCCTCTCTTTTACCCACGAGATATGACACAATTTCCCTGATTAACTTTCAAGTCTGATTTTGTCCAACAATACTGCAATATATCATAATTATGAACAACTCAATTGCAGCAAACCCTTGAAATATCTCAATTGCTAATGAGAAATTCCTTCTCATATTAACCCTTATATATTTCACCATTTGCATCCAAATCAATTGACACATCTTTAATTTTTACTATGTTTTCATGACTTAAATTTTGTTATTTTGCAGATGATAGTTAAGTAGTAGATGGTATGTTAGGCCATTCTTGTGTTGCTGTAAATAAATAATTGACACTGGGTAATTTATAAAGAAAATAATTTTAATTGGCTCATAGTCCTTCAGGCTGTACAGGAAGCATGGTGCCAGCATCTGCTCAGCTTCTGATGAGGCCTTGGGCTTCTTACAATCATGGTGGAAGGCAAAGGGGGAACCAGTGTATCACATGAGAGCAGGAGCAAGAGAGGGGTGGGGGAGGCGCCACACACTTTTAAACAACCAGATCTCATGACAACTCACACTATCGTGAGGACAGCACCAACCCATGAGGGATTTGCCCCTGTGACCCAAACACCTCCCACCAGGCCCCACCTCTAGCATTGGGGATTACAGTTCAATGTGAGATTTATAGGAAACATCAAAGATGTATCAAATGGGTAAATAGAGATAAATAGATAATTGACAACAAATTAACTCTTTTTCATACACAAGAATGTGCCCGCTGTTGCTAGGTACTAGGGACACAAAATTAAAAAAGAGAGTTCCTGGCTGGGCGTGGTGGCTCATGCCTGTAATCCCAGCAACTTGGGAGGCCGAGGCGGGTGGATCATGAGGTCAGGAGATTGAGACCATCATGGCCAACATGTGAAACCACATCTCTCCTAAAAATACAAAAATTAACTGGGCATGGTGGTGCTTGCCTGTAGTCCCAGCTACTTGGAGACTGAGGCAGGAGAATCACTTGAACCCAGGAGGCAGAGGTTGCAGTGAGCCAAGATCGGGCCACTGGACTCCAGCATGGTGACAGAGCGAGACTCCATCTCAAATAAATAAATACGTAATTTAAAAAAAGAGAGAGAGAGAGTTCCTGACACAGAGTCTTCTATTTTCTTAAAAAAAAAATCACCGTAATGAAAGATACAAATTGCTATAAATAGACCACATATACAGTGTAGTAGAAGTATAGAAAAACAGATGTTGGTTTTTTAATCCTAACCCTCCTCCCACCCTCCAACCTTAAGTAGACCTTGGTGTCTATTATTCCCTTCTTTTTGTTCATGTGTACTCAATGTTTAGCTCCCACTTATAAGTGAGAACATGTGGTATTTGGTCTTCTGTTCCTGTGTTAGTTTGTTGAAGATAATGAGCTCCAGCTCTATCCATGTTGCTTCAGAGGACATGATTTTGTTCTTTTTTATGGCTGCATGGAATTTTATTGTGTATGTATACCAGATTTTCATTACCTAGTCCAGCTTTGAGGAACATCCAGGTTGTTTCAGCATATTTGCTATTGTGTATAGTGGTGCAATGAACATACATATACTTGTGTCTTTATGGCAGAACAATTTACATTCCTTTGGGTATATACCCAGTAATGAGATTTCTGGGTCACATAAGCAGTTCTGTTTTAAGTTCTTTGAGAAATCTCCAAACTTCTTTCTGCAGTGGCTAAAACTAATTTACATTCTCAAAAACAATATATAAGTGTTCCCTTTTCTCTACAACCTCACCAACATCTGTTATTTTGAAACTTTTTAATGATAGCCATTCTGACTGGTGTGAGATGGTATCTCATATAGGTTTTGATTTATATTTCTCTGATGATGAGTGATATGGAACCTTTTTTTCATATGCTTGTTGGCCACATATATGTCTTTTTTTGAGAAGCATCTGCTCATCTATTTTACCAATTTTTAAATTAGGTTGTTCGTTTTGTGCTTGTTAATTTGTTTCAGTTCCTTATAGACTTTTATCCTATGCATAGTTTGCAAATATTCTTTCTCATTCTGTAGGTTTTCTATTTACTCTGTTGATAGTTTCTTCTGCTGTGTAGAAGCTCTTTAGTTTAATTAGGTTCCACTTGTCAATTTTTGTTTTTGTTGAATTGTTTTTTGTGTCTTCATCATGAAATCTTTGCAAGGGCCTCTGTCCTGAACTGTATTTCCAGGTATTCTTTTAGAGGTTTCATAGTTTTAGGTTTTATATTTAAATATTTAATCCAGCTTTCATTGATTTTGCATATGGTGAAAGGATTGGGTCCAGTTTCAATCTTCTGCATATAGCTAGCTGGTGGTCCTAGTACCATTTATTGAATAGGGAGTCTTTTCTCCTACCAAGTGACTGACTAATGGTCTTAGAGGATATAATCATTATTGGGCTAAATATAATGTTCTGCTATAGATAGACTGGACAGTCATCAAGTCAGACAATACCTGGTGAGTAAAATTCCATGTTGTTGAATGTATGTATAACCTTCGTCCCTCCTGCCTTGTTTACTTTAAGAGCACATTCCATATGGACAGAGGTGGCTGGTGAAAGCGAGTGACTGATATCCACACAACAGATGATCTTGTTCACCTGATTATGAGTATCTTTCTCTCCTGAGGCCAATCTAGTGAGGATTCACAGATGGAACAAAAAAAATCTTGATTCCCTGCCCATTTATAGAGATCTATCCAAATTCCTCTCCCTTAGTCCTACTTTTCACCAACTTTAAGCTGTGTCCCTTCCAAGTATCTGACCCTTGGCCATAGTCTAGGATTAACGTAGATCCTATCTCTGGCTAGTTCTCATTTCAGGAAGAAAAATCTGCAAACAGGTATACTCTTTGAATTTACTGAAGATTTTTTTCCTTACCATTTTATTCAGAGATAACCTGAAGTAGAATTGCACAACTGTGGTTTTCTTTTTGGGTGGTTCAAGTCAATCCTGCAGAATCATTTGTAAACAAAGAATGATTTTTTCATTCTTTAATTACATAGTATTAGGAAACTCCTAGTTAGGCTTAAGGGTGAAGGTTAATAGATGGGGAAATGAAGCTAGAGTAAGGTCCATGGATATCTGGCTGACTTGCTCATATGGCTTTTCTACATCTTCAGGCACCACTCAAGCCTGATATCATATGTATCACATGCACCTTTATGATTGGCTTCTGTCAATTTTTTATTTTATTATTTGTTGGTCAGACAATATTAGCTCATGTTATATGGCAAATTTGTGGCTTGTAGTAAGTGTTCAATCTCTACTAGGTACCAGTAGCAAGGCAGAAATTATTTCTTTAAAAGGGGATAATAATCTTAAAATGATAGCTTAGCTTATAGCTTTCTTCTGAAATCTTAAAAGTCTATTTTGTGATTTATCAATAGGAATCTTCCCCAAAGCGCCATACAGTAACCTTATCTGCTACAATCATGTCAAACATAATTGAATCTTCAGTATCCTGTGGCCCAAGTGAGAGAGAAGCTTGTGAAGTAGTCTAAACTTATTGCAAGCCTTCTCTTTTTCTGAGTCCTAATAAAAAGAATAAAAGTCTAATGAAAAACAGAGTTTAAGGGTACTTGGTAAATAGGTTGGAGTAATAAACCTAGATAAAGTATATACTGCATCCAAAATTGAAAGAGACAAGCTTCTTCTGTAATGATAGGAGGAGCCTAATGCAGCAAATCGCCCTTCACCTTCACAGGGATATCTAGACATGTGCAGACCATTGAAACCTTAGAAATGTCATGAGGTACCAGGCCTCTGATTTTTTATGAGATTCTTTTTCTACCCTGTATGTATATGTCTTGTAAAATTTCTAGAGTATTTCATTCTTCATGTTCACCAGATCCAATCAGCATGGTGTCATCCCTGTAATGGAACAGCATGATGTCTTATAAAACAGACAGCCAATCAACATACCTTTAGACTAGATTATGTCATGGGGCTGGATGTTTGATTTAACACTGAGGCAAGTCAGTTGACAGTGTATTGTTAACTCTCTCAGCTGAAAGTAGATTTCTTCTAAATGGGTTTTGCCACTAAATGTTTGCTACATACCAGGTGTCAGTGGATTGTTAATTAACTGCAGCAATAAAACCACATCTAGGATAGCAGCTACAAGTGAAATCACTACCTAGTTACATTTTTTATTAATCCATCATCATTTTCTTTTATCCATCTGCCTTCTATACAAAGCAAATAAGCAAACTGAATGTACATTTGATAAGAAATACCACTGCTTCACCTTTTAAGTCCTAGATGAGGCAAACATGTGGTCTTATGTTTTTCTTATGTTGGTAGGTGACAGTAATTATTATGGCTTTCACTTGGTTTTGTCTCCACAAGTCAAAAAACCTTTTGTTTTCCGCCAGTTTCTATGTTTCTTACCACTGCACATTTTTTAATTAGGATAAAGCCGCAGGATATGTGCAGAGAGACATAGGCCGACTGTGGACCTAACCATAATCACAGTTATCACCTGATACTCATAGGCCCTTACTATGACAACTAGACCACGGTGGCATTTTGAGTACCCAGAAATTTCTGTCAGCTTGAGCCAGGGCATTATAGTCCCTAAAAGACTGGTTATTCCCCTTCTAAAATAGTCATTCTAATAAATAGTGGCAGGATTTCTTGGAGGAAGACTACGATGTAGATTTTCAGTACAATTTTTTGTTTGTATAGCCACATCATTACTTAAAAGAACCCACACTATCCTTTATTAAGATACTCTGGGTCCATAAATTGGTCCAAGACTAAAATTGGATAGGAGGTTTGGACATCACGGTGGTACTTGAAATCGCATCTCTCATTATCAGATCTATTGCCTTTCTGCCTATACACATCAATAAGACTCTGTAGAACAATCACCTACTTCAGTTCTGAGGACAACATAATAAATTAGCTAACCCTCTTAGTCAGTTACATACTGCTATGATAGAATAACATAGACTGAGTAGCTTAAACAAAAATTTATTTCTCACAGTTCTAAAGTCTGGAAAGTCCAAGAATAAAGGGGTCAACAGATCTGGTGTCTGGTGAGGGCACTCTTCCTGGTTTGCAGATGGTGGTCTTCTGGTTGTATTCTCACGTCACCAAGAGAAAAATCTCTTTCATGTTTCTTCTTGTAAGAACACTAATTCTATTCACAGGGGATCTATTTTTATGATACATTACCTTCCAAATCCACCCCCCCTTCTTTTACCATCACATTGGGGGTTAGGATTTGCACATATGCATTTTGGAGGGATACAAACATTTGATCTATAACTCTAGCGCCAAGGATATTTTCATGTCAAACTTCACTGTTGGCTGCTAGGGTTCTTCTGTCCAATACTGTAATATTAAATCTGGTGCTCACATTAACTCTTAAGATGACGCTCATTTTATCTCTTATTATTGTTGCCAATTGGCCCCTGCCATTATGGAATCTTATCATGCCCAATGAATACAGAGAATTCCCAAGATCCCATTGTTCCCATTGAATTTCAGGAATCCAGTTTGATCATACTATTTCCTACTATCATCCCTGGCCTGTACGTAATAACCACTATAGAGCTCTTTAAATCTGCTGGAATTTGCCTCATAAATGCATTAGTGGGACTGGCTAGCAGGTCTTACAGGACCAATCCACTCTAACCACCATTTTTTCCTAAAACTTTGGATAACTGCTTTGCAGATCTAAGGACATTTCAACTTCGCTATTATAGATTACCTTTGAGTAAAGGTTTAGTCAACTAGTGAAGCAAAGTGTCACAAACACTTTTTAGCTTCTTGATTTAATATATTGAATTCAGAATCTTTGCTTAGTGTACCAATCATTTTAACACATTTTGCCAAGTAAACATTATAGTCTTTTCAATATGATCCAACTGACTTAGAACTCATTCCCATATGGGCTCCACAGATTTCTATCAATAAACACTGGCAGTTCTGTTGCTGTGCATGGTACCTCCTCATGGGGCTCTAAATAATTTCCCAGTATTTATATGCAGTTGCTTAGTATTTTGGTAGACCGGAAGCTACAGTGAGACAAATGAGGGGGAAAATATGCAAGTAGAAGAAGATTCTCTTTCTCTCTGGACCCTTACAACCACAGGAAATTATATTATTCTTTAGCTGCTAGCCAAAGCCACACATCACAGGCTATAAATTGGGTGAGTAGGGAGTTAGGTAGTGGATGGGACCCATTCAAAGATGCCCTGGGGGCTATTACTTCAATGCCAGTTCTGCAAGCAAGGCTTTTTTAAAATAAAATATATTAGGCTACATATGAGGTAAGTGAGTAATTGATATAATAAAGCTCCATCAAAACCTTTAGGGTTTTCATTAAATGTCAGGCTACAATAAATCTCCCAGTACTGGATCTCTTTCCTGTAAGTGTCTCATATCTTAAACAGGATTATATTCTCTTGAAACATGGCTGCATGAGGATCATTCTTTAAAAACTCTTCATACTTTTGACATTTTTATGGCATGGCCCTTTAAAGTGAAATATGTAAGGTTTTCACAACAATGATACCCTGGTATGTAGTCACTGAAATAGCCACGTTGGTTTATCTGAGAGGGAAAAGGTGGCCTCGGCATAAATATGAACAATTTATTTTAAAGCAGATATCATGACTAATCTGCTGTTCAGTACACTATCACATAGCAGTTCGAAACCTGGGTTCTAAAACCTGACTCTCTAGGTTCAAATTTCAGCTTCATTATATAGTTGCTTTGTGACCTGGGAAAATTACTAAACCTCTTCTCTTCAGTTTCCTCATCCATAAAATAAAGGAAAACTACTGGTGACTGCCTGATAGGATTGTTGTAGGATTTAAATAAGTGAAGTTATCCAAATCAATTAAGATATACAATATGTAGCAAACCGCAAGGACTATGTAATTGTTAACTCTTGATATTTTGTTTTTCTTTATTATGCCTTCTCTGATTTCTGTCATTTTGTACTGATCATCAAAAAGTAATAGCAATAATATTAAAAACTATACTTCTGCATCACAATAGTTTGCAAAGAGTTGCATTAAAATTATTTTATTTTATCTTCATACTCACCCATAATGATAAAAATAATCATTAACTTCATTTTGTAATTGAGGAATTTAAAGTTCAGAGAGATATGATTTGTCAAAGATCACAAAAATAATTAGTGTAAGCAGGATGTAAATTTATGTTACTTGACTGTGCATTTCTCCTTTTTGCAAAGATAGCATAATTGCTGATTCATGATGCTTGCATGGGTTTACACTCCTGACTCCACATCCCTAACATTTATTGGGGACAGTTATTTGGTAGACAATTTATTTAAATTATATAATAGTATTACCTCAATTCTGCAAATTTCATATTCATATCCTGGCTTTTTATAGGAAAGAAGCTTAAGTGTACAGAAATGAAGTATAATACCCAAATTATAGAGATAGTAAGGTAGAAATGTTGCACCTCATCCCTTTCTTCATTTATTCTTCAATAAATGGCTATGATGGACACTATTCTAGACTAGGGGTAGTGTAAATAAAGAAAGAAACAATAATCACTGGTCATCAATGAGTTACAGTCTGGAAAAGAGATAAAAATTAGACTGGTTGTGAAAATATTTTTAAGAATAAAACTATAATTTATACTATAGAAAGTTCAACAGAATGCAACAGAATGCTCTTTATGAGAGCATAAAAATCTGTCTGCTTTTTGCATTTATGGCATCCTTAGTACACAGAAGAGTGCTTGAAACCCAGGTGCTCGTGACTATCTCGAATTAAATGAATCAATTAATTATAAAATACATCAAATGTCAGGAAGGAAAAGTGCTGAGTGCTATTAGATGCTATAATGGTGGAGTTAATTTAAACTGGAGGTTTCTTTAAGGATGGGCTAGTTAAGCTGAGAGTGAAAATAGGACAATAGCTGAGGAAGGGTGAAAGGTGAGGTGAAGTAATTAGGATATAGAAAAATCACCTACAAAACCATTGGGTGAAAATGAGGCATGGCAATGAAGAGCCTCAAGGGAAGTCATTCTGGCTGGAACACATTGAGAAGAGGAGAGAGCTGGAAAGATGGAGCAGGAGAGAGACATAGGGGCCAGAAGCTTCAGCGTCTCACAGGCCATGATAATAGTATTGCATTTTGTTCTAACTAGAATAGGAAGTCATTGAATGGTTTAAAATGGACAGAATTTTAGTTTTTCACATTTTATAAGGGCTATCTAGTAGTTATATAAAGAATAAGTAAAAGGTAGACAAGATTAGAAATGGAAGGCAACTGTAGTGGTTTGATGGCCACTTAGATTAATTGGCAGTAGAGCTAGAAGGAAGTTGAATATTGATAATAGCAGTAGTAATGCTTGTTAAGATTAACTGAGCAGAAGTTAAATATTGATAATAGCAGTAGTAATGCTTGTTAAGATTAACTGAGCACTTAGTATGTGCTAGGCCCTCTTTTAAGTATTTTATATAACTAATGTAATTTTTACAGTAACCACATGAGAACTAAGGCATTGAAAAAATAAGTAAATAGAAGATCTTGGTTTTGAACCAAGGCCACCTTACGTATGAACCTATGGTTGCCACAGTCTATTTACACTGGATAGTTTGAACATAAGTTTTGGGAATATTAAAAAGAGCTAGTGATAGATTAGATGACATATATGTCAAGGGAAAAAAAACTGTAAGATCTCTTAGTTGGACTAGCTAGCTGGTGTTTTTCAGATTTATGTGTCTGAAGCCCAATAAAACATCTTTGACTTGCAATATGATTTAAGGAGATATTTTTAAGTTCTTACAATAATATATAAATATTTGATAATAGATGAGATTGCCAATGATGACAGCGTGGTGCAAAAAGAAAAGAAGTCAAACTAATATTTGAGGAACTCCAAAGTATTAAGGTAAGGTAGAAAAAGCATGTTAAGAAGCCTAGAAAGAATTAGCGAAAGGTGCATGGGAAAAAAATATAACATCCAGGAATGTTTTGAGAAAGAGGGAATGATCAAATGTAGGTGAGAGATCACACAGGTGAGCACTGGAAACTTCTACTGGATTAGCAACATGCAGGCATTAGTGTCACAGGGACAAAAGCTAGACCAGAGAGTTTAGTGAGTGAATGGCTGGTGAAAAGAGAAGGATGGCTTTAAAAAGGCATGGATGGCTGAGGGGGGGAAAGGAAAACACGGTGTATATGTGTACTCTACTATTAGACACGAGAGCAGTTACATGTTTGTGGGCAAACCAAGTAAAAAGAAACCACGGAAGATATAAGAAAGAGTAGAGATATTAATCCGTGATGAAAGTTCAGATTCAGAAATTATAATACAGAAACAAAAAAGCTAAAACAACATAAGTTAGAAGCCAGAGATCCATTCCTGACATCAAGGAGTAACTTCTGCACTCTGTCTCAGCAGCACTCTGGAGGCCAGGTACAGGATTAAGGAGATTGAACAGGTTGGCAAAGAAAGAGTGCATGCCTTCAGTCTTTGAAAATATCTTTGTGCTGGTCATCACCTCTGTTTCATTATAGAAAATAATCTGATTATATAAACTGAAATGGCGGGGTTTGTTGATTTTGGTCTTGACAAGCAGTGAATCAGAAAAATAATTATTCCTTATGGTCTCATGGGAAGGAATAAGTCAAGCATCAAAATCTGGAATTTGTCTACTTGGATCTGAACACTAGAGAACACTACTAAGGAACAGAGATCCCCTCATAGCTCCAATATATATATATATACATATATATATATCAAAAGGTTAAAGTTATTCATCTGCTTATTTAGTAAATTATGTATTGAATCTATATTCATTCTACAAGTATTTATTGACTGCCTATTACCCTCTAGCCATTGCTTTATATGAAAGGGATGCAGAGATGATGAAAACAAATTAAGGCCCCACCTTCTCAGAGCTACATTCTATGGAGAGAGATGTACTAATCAAATATGCACGTATACTATTAAACACATGACATAATACCGGATCTGATAAGAAGTATCAATCCTTACTATGTAAAATTTTAAAACAGAACTGAAAGTTTAGGTAGAAATACAGACAATTCCCAAAAATGTAACGTATTCCATGATACAGAAATAAAGCATTTGCTTTAGGAGGACAGATAACAGTGTGCACCCATAACCTAGAACTGCTAAGAACAATGCCTGGGAACACATAGCTAATGCTCAAAATTATTAACCATTATTATATATAGGACATCTCTGTTACACAGACTAGGATGCAATGAACAATAAAGGCTTCTTTGAAAAAAATGACCCATAAAATTATTCAGAAACAATGAAAAGGGATTAAGTAGATATTGAAGAGGGAAGGGTCTCCTAGGGAATAGCCTGTGACAAGACAAAAATGCATGATTTTGAGGGATAAGTTTAGGAACCTGAAATTGATGCATTGGCTGAAGTATAGAGTTTCGGTCATCAGAAGAAAAGTGTATCAGGAGAGGTAGAATACAACTCAAAATGTCCCCTTGATCTGGAGAAAGCAAACATCAAGGCAATGTTGAAGGTAGGGTGAGCACAACAGTGTCTCCTAATTATCTCCTTTCTTCCTAATAGACTGTACATTTTACAAATTAACTCTTCTGTACCAGGTGCTGTACTAGAGACTGGAATGAATAATTAGATTTGAAACTTACCATCAATTAGATAACAGTATTAAAATTTTGAGTAATTTTAATTATCCAGGCACTGTTTCAAGTGATCTCCATGTATTAATTCATTTAATCCTTTAAAAAACTCTATAAACTAAGCAGAATTATTATCCTCTTTTTTTATAGACTAAGAAACCAAGGCAGTAAGACTTGTTCACCATTGTATTTCTAATTCCTGGCCTAGTTCCTGACATCACAGTTTCTTAATAAATAGTTTTGAATGAATTAATTAACAATGGATAGAGGAATCATGCTGAGCCCCTGCTTTATTAAGGTCATGGTTGCACATATATGATCAGGTCTCTGTCTCGCTGGTTATTTTGTGAGATGATGGTAGAACCTTTGTCCTCAAACTTGGATGCATAAAATATCTCCAGAATTTCTTGCTAAAAATTATATTTAATGGCGAAGCCCATGAATCTGCATTTTAAAGAGATACCCCAAACATTTTATTTTAAGATGATCCCTGAACAAATTTTGGGGGAAAAAATTGTTGTGCACTGTGTTGATAGTCATTATAACTGTATATAAGCCTAGTGGATAATGACAGTGGTTCAAAAGAAGGAGGAGGGAAATGGTGGCTTCGATGACAATATAAGGAAATCATCAGTTTCAGTAGACTCTGGTTACTATTCTCTTCACTCATAAGTCAGGGCTTCTCAGCCTTGGTACTATTGCCACTTTGAGCTCTGCAATTCTTTGCTGTGGGAGGGCCTTCTTTTGCATTTTAGTACATGTAGCAGCAACACTAGCATCTATCCATTCAATACTAGTAGCTGCCTTTACCCCCAGATTGTGATAACTGAAAATATTTCTAGACATTGACAGAAGTCCCACGGGGTAAAGTTGCCTCCACTTGAAAACGACTATCATAATGGAAGACAGAGAGCTTTCTTCACTTCCTTACCTATAGTAACTTCTAGTATTCTAACCTAGAAATCTGTAAGACACCTGATCTTATTTCTCCGAGTCAGTGAGTGTGCCCCTCTAAGACACTACTTTGTTTGATGAGTATGATGTACCTTATTTGCTTTATTCAGAACCGATAGTATGTATCTTTCCCCACATTCCTCCCGACTATGCATACAACCGGTTTATCAAATCAAATGAGGCAGTCTCTCAGGGTCAACATATGGGTGATACCTAACACCATCATTTCTTTTTTCCAGGTTCTGCAGGATTCAGATCCCCTTTACATATAATAGTCCATAGGAAATTATAATTAACTATAGCAGAATAGGATCAGTTTCCCATAAAACACATATTATAAAAATAGAAAATATATATCAAAGGAAGAAACATAGATATAGTTAAATAAAAGTACTTGAAAGAAATGAATGAAACAAGTTGGAAAATATTTCAGCATAAAACTTGCAAAAACCTGGATTTTGGAGAATACGGGAAATTCTCTCCAGCTTTTAAAAATCGTTTACAAGAATAAACAGGCAAATTCTTACTACCCAAGGAGATACCCTTCACCTTTCCTCATTAATTTCTTTTAACTGTTCTCAGTGTCTTTCAGTTACATATGTAAAATTAAAGAGTAAAACCTTGTTAAAAATTATTGACAGAAGGACTATCAGCTACTGTTGCATGCAGTATTATAAAGTATCATATTCCCATCAGTGTTTACAAACCTTATCCAATGTTAGCAAAATGCAAAGGGTAATCAGACAAGTATTTTTATTCACAACATACTTCTAATGAATTAATTCCTAGTTCTCTGGCTAATCAGATCAGTGAGTTAGTGTGTGCATTCAATGAAACAGTTAAATAGCTATCCAAAGCATATTCTTAATTGAAGCAGTAAAAGAAAAAAAACCTCAAATTTATATTGACATCACATTTTACGTAAATTTATTCACCCTAAAATCTATTATAATTAAATTTTTTTGTTTTATAAACTATTTGATATGGGCTACCTTGACTAACATGCTTTGTGGAAGAGAAAAATACTGCCTAATTAATGTGTAGTGGGAGAAGAAAAACAAGGAGGGTCAATGTGCATTTCCAGAGGAGACTAAAAGGGTGGAGAATCAATCAAAGAGGGGGAGAAACGCCTAGCACTGCACCATTTGTTATTTCGGGATAGAACAAGAATCAGTAACCTCATTACCCCTATCCGGTTTCTTTAAGTGATTTCAGTAGGTAGTGCAGCAACAGTTACCTTACGGCCGTGCGCAAACCCTGTTACTTCTGGCTTGAACCGTTTGAGGCAGACAAATATGCTCAGGTAACTGGGTAGTAAATTGCAGTTCAAACCAGAATCTGGCCAATTCCAGGTAGTTGTGGGGTGGATTAACAGCTAAAGACTCCAACCCCAGGAGGCTTCCGTGGGAAGCAGGCTCTTGGGAGGGCGTTTTAAGACAGAAGATGGCTAGGCAGAGAAAGCGCCTGCTTCCACCACCTCCAGCGTCTTCGCCTGTACAGTTGTTCCAGCTGCCAGAGGCTTTCTGGTTACCATGGCAACCGTCGGGCTCTGCTAGGAACTCAAAGCAGAGCCTCTGAAGTTAGGTACCAAACACTGAGGCTTAACAGATGCAAAAGCAGATGGGGAGTGGGGCAGAGAACTAGGATTGCCCATCTAATAGGTCTACAGCTCCTATGGCTATGACAACATTTATAAAATCAGACTTCTGTTTTTGTGTTTGTAAGATGAGATTAAGATGAGATAGTTCTTGCCTGGCATTATTCATTAGTGTCATCTTTCGGTGCCCGGCGGGAGAAGAAGACTGCATATCCTCTCTCACTATTAAGGCGGTGGAAGGGGGTTGGGGGGAGCAAACGTGGTGACCAGGAATGCATGGAGCCTGCTCATTCATTCATTCATTCATTCAATTATACATTCAACATCTCCTGAGTGCTCATTTGTGCGGGGCATCCTGCCAGGTGCTGGATCTGCAAAGAGAAAGGAGACACCGCCCCACCCACAAAATTAACAAAATGATTAACACAAATTAACAGAATCCTCACGAACCTGGGGAAAACCAATTAGGCACTGCCTGCTTCCCACGGGTCTCTCTTGGAAGACAGATTTAGAATCCGAACGCTGGAGAGGAAAGAGGCAGTCGCCCCGAAATAGAGTCAGACAAGAGGAAGAGCAGAAGGGGAGAAAGGCAGCCTCTCCCTAGGGAGGGATTCTGTTCAAGGCCACTCAAACGTTTCTCCGCCGCTGCGAGGGAGAAGAGGTTTGTTTTTCTTTTAGAAAAAGGGAGCCCTTTTCCCTACTGGGCTCAATTTCTAGTAGGAGAACCCCGCCTCCTTGGGCTACTGATTGGCTCAACTCTTTTTAAGATAATTTATGCCACCATCCTCTCGGCCTGATTGGCTCCCTGGCTCAATTCTGCTGGGAGTCGCATCCTACCTGTTTGGGAGGTGCACTGCCTTTCCACACTCTCCCTTCTGTACTCAGCCAGCTGCTGCTGAGGTGGGAGGAAAAGTCCTGGCTGGGAGAATTGAGCTAGTGCAGCACACGTAAAAAAGCGATTCCGATGGGTCCTTTGAAAGCTTTTCTCTTCTCCCCTTTTCTTCTGCGGAGTCAAAGTAGAGGGGTGAGGTTGGTCTTCTTGTTACTGACCCTGCATTTGGGAAACTGGTGAGTAAATTCAGGGGTTTAAAACTATTCTTTGCTATCTACCCCTTTCCCCTTATTCCCCTTTCTTTTAAAAATTATTCCACTTTAAGTAATTAATTTGCATTTCCTAACACATATGTGGTATTTACCATCGTTTTATTTTCTGATTAGATCTATTCATTCTCAGATAGAAGGAAAGTAACATATTTCTGAAGCATGAGATTGGTTCAGTTGTTTTTGACTTCAAGCAGAGTATAAACTAGTGAACTAGTGAACTAATGAAGGTTGAGTTACTGGGAGGGAGTGAGGGGGAGTAGAAATGACTTTGCCAGTAAATTTACTGAATGAATGCCACCGAAGAACTTTCTGGATGATTCTGCATTTTAAAAACAAAGTTATTTCAGAAACTTGTTGTTACACAGCATGATATGTATGATGTTTTTCTACCTACTGCTATTGCTTTTCCCCTTTCCTCGTTTTTGGTAACTTTCTGGAACAAACCAGTGTTTTACATCAAGAAATATTGTAAATCTGGCTAAAAACAAATCTATCAGCATTAAAAATGTATAGTATCCAAGTAAAAACTGACCGTGTATATTTAATTTGAACCAGCTTTGAGTGTTTTTTTTTAAAATTGGCTGTCCATCAGTAATTAAAAATGTGTGGCCACATGAATGTCTTGGCTCTGTGTGTGTGTGTGTGTGTGTGTGTGTGTGTGTGTGTGTGTGTTTGTGTGTATGGGACAGAGAGAGAGAGAGAGAGAAAAGTGTCACCGATCACAAATTTCAAATTTAACAGAAACAAAACTGGACTGGAATACCTTTCAGTAAAATGTTTAAGTCATTCTGGTAGACATATAAAATGCTCAGGTATCATTCTTCGATTATACGTAGGAGTAGTGGGTGACTTGAGCTAAAATACGTTGATTAAGACATAGACACTTATAAAGGTCTGGGACATGGTACTCATACCATGCAACTTGTTTCAAATAAATGTACTTTTATCATTACATTATTAAAAAAGTAACTCTGTATAGAATTCAAAAGTAAAGTACAATCATTATGAAGATAGAAACATGCCTTTATAACTATTTGTATCACTGCTAAAATGAATTATTATTATAAACGTAAGTGTAAAGCTAGAGTGAATTTTTTTGCCACACCAGCATATAGAACAAGTATATTTTCTCTTAGAAAATAGAGATTGGATTAAAGTAGGCTAAGTAATATTAGACCTGTTAGAATTTTTTGACAGTTAGTGCTTTTGTAGGACTGAAGTTTTCTCTCTCTTTTTTTTTAACCCTGTTCCCTTAGATTCTTAAATGTTTGACACGAACATAAACATAATACTGGATGAATTATTTCTTGTATATATTGTGTCGTAATGGCTTATTCTTTGAATATATTATAGCATTTTATAAAAGATATTTAGGTATACACATACATCATAATATTACAAAAGTAAAAACAGATTTACAGTAGTTTTCTGAAATAACAACCTTTTATCATTTTATACGAGTTTTCCTTTCAAACAAATAGGCAAGCTGCTTAGTAAAGAGCATATTATCTATCCCAAGAGATGTTTTATTTTAAATAAACATGTTTTGTTTTGGGGAATATTTGCAATCATTGTAATTGGCTCCAGAGCCAATTACATCAAGCTCCCAGAATTGAAGAGATATGTGCTGAAGGGACAGAGTGCAGGTTTAGCAGCCTGGAGACATGATCTCATGTGTCAAGGGCCTTTAACCTCTCTGAACACAGGTTCATCTATGAAATGAAGGATACTAGACCACATATGATTTCTTAAGAGTTTCACATTCAATACATCTATGATTTCAACTGAAACATGAAATAAGTCAATGGTTGCTTCACTGTTTTATCTAAGTACTTTTCAAGAGGGAAATTCTAAGTGTGAATACTATGGACTTTTTAACCATATGTATAAGTGAGGAAGGTATTGTACAGTTAACACATAATTTTTATTGTCATAGTAATGTAGATAACCTGGATTATTTTGTCCAGTGAATAAATATACATTAAAAGATATATTTATAAGCTGTTGTTCTAATTAGCCCTTACGGCCTCAGTTATGACAGTTCATGTTATACATTTAAAAGTACCCCCAAAAACATAATTTTTAAGAATGAGGTAGAAAGCTAGCAATAAAAGGCAAATGTAAGCATGCTTTCTTTAAGATGCATCATATACTGTTTTCTTCATTGAATGGAAAAAGTTTGACACAGAAACACTTTTGTAGGCAAACCATGAGAATGTTATTAGAACATGTTTCTTTCTCCATTGGGTTCTATGAGACCAAGTTGGGAAATATAGCAATTAAAAGGAAATAAAGCATGCTTTTGCTAAAAAATAAATTTAAAAAATAATGTTGCAATGAACATTCTTTTAAAATAAGTAAAATAAAGTAGCTACAGTTGGGTGAACTTTTTATCCTTTTAATATTTAGTTGGAGGTAACAGATGCTAACATGTATAAATCATGTACGATCATATTTCTCTCTCCCTTTCCCTTTCTTTTGGTTAGTTTTCCCTTCCAAAACTAACCATAAATAGTTCATTTGTAAGCATTTTAGTGTTTTATATGATTTCCAAAATATATCTTGAAAGTCATCTATTTTGGGGACTTCCCAAATTGGAAGCATTTTTTTTGTATTTAATCAGTTGTAATGCTTAGTTTCCTCATTAATTTCCATCAACAGTATAGAGGAGAAACACTATTTTATTTTTTATTGCTGAACTATGAAAACCTATCCTATCATTGTAACTAAAACTGTAGTCATGGTTCCTGTGTATCATTCTCTAGGAGACTCTTTGGCATCTTGACAAGTTCTTTAGAATCTCTTCAGCTTGATTTAACTTCTTTGTAATGATGAAAATAATCTAGTTATAATCAGGTTTTTAAAAAGAATTTAAAAAGATATTTTAGCTGTTACCAAAAGTAACCTACAATAAGCCTTGACTAAGAGTTATACATTGAAAGAGCTCCAGGAAAAAATCACAATTTTCTTTTTTCAGAACAATTTCCATGAGTCAATAATCATACTATGTGGCATTCAGTTGCCCGGTTGAAAATATTCAAATAAACTTGCTTTTTAAAATATATTATTTTCAAGCAATTTCAGTAGTATGTTTTGTGTGGGTAGTAATGAATGAATAATTTTTTAAGTGTCTAGATTTTTGGCTTAAATTTGTAATAAAATGTTGATGATAACCATTCAAACTTGAAAAGCAAATGACTAAGTAAAGATATTCCATGATAGTTAAATATGCAAAAGACTGAGAGGAAAATGATTTTTGAAGCTAAAATGCAAATGTCGTAATTGATAAAACCCCTGTGTACAGAGTCTTTTAGTTTATCCAAACAATCAGTATCTTTCTTCCATTCTATACTATGAAGAACACTTATGGCTAAGGAACAAGAGGAAATGTTTGATATTTCATTCAAATATTAAATAGATTAATTGAATGTAAGAATATAAGGATGAAGGTGGAGGCCCAAAGGAGGGGTGAAAAGAAAGAGTAAAAAAAACTGAAAAATGACTCTGGAGATACTGAGAAAATGATTACCAAAATATGATAAATGACTTCCATGAAAGAAAAGGAAGAATGAGCTTCAAGAGAGTAATTCACATATGGGCAGGCTTTCAAGTGAGAATCCTGGCCTTTACCAACAGATCTAAATTCCAGTTTCAGCTCCACCATTTCTCACTGGAGTGATTTCAGACAACTCCTTGAGGCAGAAAATCTTCATTAGTGTGGAGTTGTCGTATGCATTTCCAGAAATGAAATTTCCAAGAAAGAAAATCTGTGCAAAGAAACTAGCACTTAAAATTTTATATGAAAAGAAAGTCATAACAGATATTCTGTGGAATTATAGTTATTCTATTATGATATAGCCTCGCTAAAGTGGTTTTAAGTGCAGTAGAGTGAAATATATGGATCCTTGTGTGTTCTTAAATGTCTTTTAAGTCTTTTAAATGTCTTTTAAATGCAGCTTATGCTTATTCATGGCTAAGACCTAGATTTATGACACTAATTAAATAAAAAATATATTTTAATCAAAATTAAAAATACACCTCTAGAACTCTAAAGATAAACAGAGGAGCCTAAATTTTTGAAGATATACTGAAAGAATGGATCATAATCAAGGAAGAAGAACTAAAGAGCCAAGAGATTTCTCATCAGCAATACCAGAAGACTATGGGGAAAATGTCTTCAAATCTGAAGTCAAGTATTCCTCCTAGAAGATTATACTTAGCCAAATTACCTAATGAGAAGAAGAAGAAGAATATAGCCTCGATATTGTTATTCTCTCAATTTTACAGATGGAAAAACAGGGGAAAAACATTTTTGTGAACTTATTAAAGGTCATCTTGCTGATAGGTGCTGAAACCGAAACTTAAATCCCTGTGTTCTATACCCCTGCCTGCATTTTTAACTACCACATCTCTCAGATTATGAATGCAATATAAGTCAAAACAATGAACATTAGTGTTGATAAATTTTTTAAAGGAAATGGAGAAAAAAAGAGGAGAAGAGAAGAGAGATACTACAGTAAATTATGAGTTCATTGATAAAATCACATTAAGCAGAAAAATCTACTTTGTACCTATCACACACTTTCTGGAGTATTGTGGGTAGTGCCAGATTATTTTAAAGAAAATTTTGACACACTGAAGTACTTGACGCAGACAAACACACACACACACACACACAACTGTAACTTAAAAGCAAAATTTTTTAATTTACATAAGTTTACTGAGGAATTGAATGGTTATCTTATTTTAAAGGATGCTATATATAATCATGTTTGAATTTATTATGTATAGATGTAGTAGACAAACCATAACCAAGTAGTAGAAATTATATGAAGGAAGATTTTCTCCCAATACAAAAGTTATCTAACATGGTAATGGATAGCTTATCACTAGACATGTTTAAGCAGAAACTTGTTAGTGCGTTCTCAGGCTCTGTAGGAGGTAGATTAAATTTATAGTTTTTTTTATTTTCAAACATTTCATTAAGTCTATCAGTACTAAAATAATTTAGCCAGCTGAAGTCCCATGTTTCAAGAAATAGCCTTAGCTATTAATTCATTCAGTAAATACTCACTGAGCACTACCGTTCATTCCACCAATATTTACTCAGTGCCCATTGTGTGTTAAGCAGGGTTCTGGAAACTAGATATAATGGTAATAATGGTAAATAAGACAAAGTCATTGCCCTATAGTGTTCAACTAGCATAAATAAGACATATATTATATGCTAGATGAACAGGATACAGAAATCAGAATTCCTGCTCAATGAACATAAACTCTAGTAGTTTGTGTCAAGATAGCATATTAACATAAACAAGTAAACACAATAAAATGCTGTAATTGCTACTCAGAATTCTGGAGGAGGTACAGTGGGAGCAATAAAGAAGTTGCCATCAGTTGCAACTCTGGGAAAATATTGTATGTTCTCAGCTGTCATAGGCATAAGTTCAGGTCAGTATGAGGGAAAGATATATATACATCTAGATAGGTAGGTAGATAGATAGATAGATAGATAGATAGATAGATAGATCTATATGTAATATATATCCTTACATCTGAGGAAAGGGTAGGCTATATGTTCTGTTAGGGGGTTGAGGATAAGGGTAAGGCATATTATACTGTAGCTGTATATATATATATACACACACACACGTATATATGTATATATACACACATATGTATACATATGTATATATATACACACACATATGTATACATACACACATGTATACATATGTATATATGTATATAGATACACATGTATACATATGTATATATGTATATAGATACACATGTATACATATGTATATATGTATATAGATACACATGTATACATATGTATATATGTATATAGATACACATGTATACATATGTATATATGTATATAGATACACATGTATACATATGTATATATGTATATAGATACACATGTATACATATGTATATATGTATATAGATACACATGTATACATATGTATATATGTATATACATGTATGTATATATGTATATGTATATACATGTATGTATATGTGTATATGTATATATGTATATGTATATACATGTATGTATATATACAGCTATATACATGTGTATATATATACAGCTATATACGTATATACATATATATGTATATATGTATACATATGTGTATATATATATAGAGAGAGAGAGAGAGAGAGACAAAGAGAGACAGAGAGAGAGAGAGAGAGAGAGAGAGAGAGACAGAGATAACATTACCATCTTGTGCCAAAGGTAGAGTCTCACAGTTTGGTAGAATTTTTTGTATATAGATTTCCTATATATTTTAGGTGAACCTTTACTCTGGTTGTGTAAGATGTGGCATTAAAATAGAAACATCCTATTGAAGGCTATATAATTTAGTTTAATTTTGAAATCCTGAAATGTAGAAATCTTTTCCTCCCAGAAACAATGTATTCTGAGATTTGACATTTTTCCTTATTTGTTAGACAAATATTAAGTGACTAAAAAGTAATAGAGATTGTGCTATGCAATAGAGATACAGAAGTAAACTTAATATAGACCCTGCTCTCCAACCTATAGCTAGAATATAGGATCAGAAAGTTTATGATTATAAAATAGTGAGTTTAATATATATTTTAATAGTCATGTCAAGATGTGATTTGTTTCTCTAGATGGCTTTAAGACTGCTAGAATCAAGGGTTCTAGCCACTAGGTTAATCTTTAGGCAGATTTCTAGAACAATCACTAATGGTTGTACATTAGGTACAGTATGCTTAAGTACAGGGATATCATTCACCTCTTGATCATCCTAGATGGGTATAATTATAATATTAATTTTCCAGCACGTGTAATAGAGTGTGTTGAGTAAAGAATACCTGTTCCAGAAAAGAGCCATATTTACTAGCACTGAGTAGCCCTGTTGGCTGGATTGAACTTAAGTATTAATTCAGATGCCTGTATTTTATAAACTAATTTGTTACCCTCTGCAGGTGGCTTATGAATGTATATTTGTCTCTGGAATTTCTTAGTAACAATTCATTTCCAAAATCATCAGATTGTCATGACTAGAGTAGACTAGACTGTTTTGCTTTTTCTATTCACTTATTTGTATTCTCTTAGTTTTTGAAGTGAATAGTCTAAGACAATCTTTTGTCAATTAAAATATTTGACACTCATTTCAGATCCCAAGGCTTAGAAAAATATATATGTTTCTGCCTTCAGAGGTATGAATTCCGATTTCTTTCTTCCACTTTTAAGGTCTTTTAATATGTTTTATAATTTAATAAGCTCAATATAATGCCTCCATGTTGCAATATTTTTAGCAGCCTTGAAGAATGTATCTGAAGCATAGATATCCCAAAGTCTCAGAGAGTGTGAATGTCACCACGATTTGTATTTTTTTTCTAAGTCTAACTTATGTTCTGTCAGGCACTATGAAAATGAACTTAAAAATGGAGAACTCAATGATAATTTCAATATATTGTCTATTCAGTGTTCATTTTTTAAATAGACTATAATAAAAATTACATTTTCTTTCTCTTACTCCAAAAAGCACTCACATAGAAATGGTCATAAAATAACATTTACAATTTCTGGGCATTTACCAGCCTTCTGAAGATTTCATTGGATGGGTGGTTTGTAGTTTTCTACACTCTGCTTTGAGGAACAAAGTTAGCCTGCTAAACATAGCAAATAAACAACAAAGACAAAAATCTAAAAGTTGGCAAGCTATACTGTTTTATTTGTAGTATTTATTCTTTTATTAAAAATCAATCAAAAAGCTACAAAAATTTCAAATCTATAACCAAAGGCATTAAGAAAAAAATCTGTTTTATAATTGTCTTTTTTATCCTCTTTCTAAAAACATGCCACCGTACCAATTAATTTTTTAAATGTATTCTGATATTACTCTTTTTTCATTAGCTATCTTATGTTTAATCTTATATTGATTCTAAATAAATAAACTATGCTCTGATATGATTGGCAATTGTCCGACTCATTTTTGAAAGTAACAGAGATATACAGTGCTAAAAGCAATTTAAATTGCTATTTGTTTCCTATTTTAGATGTAATTTTGAAGAGATCTATATCTTCAATCCTACCAAGGAAACCATATAAAATAGACTATAAATGAAGCCACATTTTACTTCTTTCTCCTAAATCATTTTTTCACATCTCAAATAAAATCATTGATGTATAATCTTATTCATGCTCTGGTCTGTAGACAGAAAATTAATTTTACTTTACAGTTTGAGTTTTTTACTCAACTTTATTTTTCTTTACTTGCTTTTTGAAAATATTTTCAATTGTTGCTGTTGTTGAAACATAAGAAAAAAATGATTTTCCCTAATGCCATGGTATATATAACAATTTACTGTGTAAGGTGGGAATCTAATTTTGTTTTCTTCTAAAAGAGCTAATTAGCATTTCAACACAACTTACGGAATAATTCTTGTATTTCTAAACTGATAATTCACTTTTATCATATATTGTATTTTTGGGATACATCTATATATTTGGGATCTTATTTTGAAAGCTTAATTTTGTTTTCACTATTTATTGCTACAATGAGGTTTTACTTACAGAAACTTTATTTTGTTTTCTTTTTATTCTTGCCAGAAAAAGTCCATCTAAGAATTCCCTTTTTAAATAATATCTTATAAATTCTCATGTTGATTGTTCTACTTAATTTTAATGGTTTTAACCTGTTACACACAAAAGGTGAGATTCTGATTAAACCTGTATTAAATGCATCAAAAATTTAGGAATCATACATTAACAATATTTTATAGGCAAAATATTTACTTTGTCTTTTTTTTTCTGTCCTTATGTTCCTCAATAAACTCTTTAGTTTTCTTCACGTAAGACATTTACCTTCCCTGTTATAGTTCCGCTTAATCATTTCATATGCTATGTTGTCATTGTCAAATGAGTAAGGTTTTTTCTTCTGTTTTTATTTTTGATGAATTTGTATTGGTATCAGAAAGTTAGTATGTTTTTTAAATTAGCTTTATGTTAGGTTATCTACCATAATTTTTAAATTAAGGACCACAGTTATAGTTTTAGTTATGTTCTTGATTCATGGTAATTTTATCTGAAAATAGCACAATAGGATTTAAATTTTTTTTTCTGTTCACTTACTTATTCATTGATTTTTATTAAATTGGGCACAAACTATGTATCAGATTTGGGAGTAGGTGCTGGAGGTATCACATTACATACCTTTGGCTCTAAGGTATTTAAATACCTAAATACCTTCAAATTGCTTAAAGCTTAGAGACGGTCATAAATAAATAAGTAATTAATTAAGATACAGTATGATTAACTGCATGGTAGAGTTAACCACAGGACAGATTGGAAGCATACAGGACACACTTACCTAGTATTCTAGGCTTGGTTCTCTTCTGTCATTTCAAGTTTTCAAAGCATCTCTCTATGTATGTTAAGTGATAGGTTCCACTGTAGTTTCCTTTGTGCTCATAAAATAATCATAGTATTGAGTGGATTATCAATTCTCCTCTTTAAAACTCTGGAGGTTTAGTGCTTGCTTCAGCTGCACATATAATAAAATTCTGAAAGTTTAAATCTATAATGCTGTTATTTATCACTCTTTTACTTATTTTGCTTTTCTATAGCTTTTGTACAGTGAAAAATTATTCAGAGCTACAACCCTAGAAAGGAACTTTTCTACAAAAGGGTTTAGTAGCTCAAACATGAAGGCAAAAAAGAGAGAAAATTTATTTACTTTTTGATTTTAGGTCTAAAATCAGTGATTTTTCCTACCCTTTGAAAAGCTAGTTCTTACAGTTCTTGACATAGAGTATATTGCATCTTCTACTCAGAAGATACGTTTCTTTTCTGGAACTTTTCCCTGAAATACTGTGTTTATGAAAATGTGTTTGATGGTTGTAAATAAATACTACCTAACTTGTCATGAACAACAGATCACAGATAGGGCCTGTGGAGACAACATATATTTATTTACTAAAGAATATTCATTGAAACCCTGTGTGTGACAGATGCTGTTCTAGAAACTTGTGATATGTCCATGAACTAGAGATAAAACACCTTCTACCATTTTGGAGTTGGCACTCAGGAGGGAGAAATACACAGTAAACAATAAGCATAAATATATTAAATTGGAACTTATAAAATTATCTTTTTGTCCAAATGGGCAAATATAATTTAATGGGTTAATACTATTTCATCCTTTATCATTTATGTATAGGATTTTATAATTAAATTAGAGCTATGGTGATACGGTTAGGCTTCATGTCCCCCCCGCCAAATCTCATCTTGAATTGTAATCCCCATAATCCCCAAGTGTCAAGAGAGAGACCAGGTGAATGTAATTGAATCATGGGGGCAGTTACCCCTATGCTGTTCTCATGATAGTGAGTTCTCAGGAGATTTGATGGTTTTATAAGGGGCTCTTCCCCCTTCTCTCAGCACCTTTCCTTCTTGTTGCCTTGTGAGGAAGGTACCTTGCTTCCCCTTTGCCTTCACCATGATTGTAAGTTTACTGAAGCCTTCCCAGTTATACTGAACTGTGAGTCAATTAAACCTCTTTTCTTTATAAATTACTCAGTCTTGGGCAGTTCTTTATAGCAGTATAAAAATGGACTAATACATAGAGAAACAAATAAGCCGGGCAAGGAGGTGTGGAATTTGGATAGAAGAGCAAATAGTGATCAGACAGGCTTCAATGATTAAATAATATTTGAACAAATACTATAAGTGAGTGAAGCTTTCAGTCATGCCAAGTGAGGGTTGGGGAGATAAGAATTTGAAGTGGAAGACCATAATGTGGGGGCCTTGTAGTTACTTGTAGCCGTGTAGCTATTTTTTTTTCAACTTTTATTTTAAATTCAAGGGATGCATGTGCAGATTTTTTACCTGTGTATATTCCAGGATGCTGAGCTTTGAAGTAGGAATAATCCCATCAGCGATATACGAATCATAGTACCCAATGGTTAGTTTTTCAACCCTTACCTCATACCTCCTTGCCCTCTCTAATAGTCCCCATTGCCTTTTATGTTCATGAGCACCCAATGTTAGGCTCACACTTACAAATGAGAACATGGGGTATTTGCTTTTCTGTTCTGCAAAAAACACAATTTTGTTGTTTTTTAATGGCTTTTTTATGGCTATGTAGTGTTTATGTACCTCATTTTCTTTATCCAATCCACCACTAATGGGCACCTATCAGTTGATTCTATCACTTTGCTGTTGTGAACAGTGCTGCATGGAACATGTGAGTGCATGTGTCTTTTTGGTAGAATTATTTGTTTTCTTTTGGATATATACCCAGTAATGGGATTGCTGGGTTGAATGATAGTTCTGTTTTAAGTTCTTTGAGAAATCTCAAAACTGCTTTCCACATTGGCAGAACTATTTTGCATTCTCATCAACAGTGTATAAGCATTTCCTTTTCTCCACAGCCTAGTCTATATCTGTTGCTTTTTGGCTTTTCAATAATAGTCATTCTGATTGGTGTAGGATATCTTGTTGTGGTTTTGATTTGCATTTCTCTGACGTTTAGAGGTGTGGAATATGTTCCCTATGTTTGCTGGCCACCTCTATGTCTTCTTTTGAAAAATGTCTGTTCATGTATTTTCCTACTTTTAGTGGGGTTTTATTTTGTTGGATTTTCAATTGTTTAAGTTCCCTGTGGATTCTAGATATTAGATCTTTGTCAGATGCACAGTTTGCAAATATTTTCTCTCATTATGTAAGTTATCTGTTTACTCCTTGACAGTTGTTTTTGCTCTGCAGAAGCTCTTCAGTTTAATAAGGTCTCACATGTCCATTTTTGTTTTTGTTGCAATTTCTTTTGAGGACTGAGCTATAATTGCTTTCCTAAAGCTGACATCCAGAATGGTGTTTCCTAGGTTTTCTTGTAGGATTATTACAGTGTGAAGTTTTACATTTAAACCTTTAATCTATCATGAGTCAATTTTTGTATGTGGTGCAAGTTAAGGGTCCCATTTCAGTCTTCTTCGTATGGCTAGCCAACTATTCCAGCACCATTTATTGAATAGAGAGTCCTTTTCTCATTGCTTATTTTTGCCAAATTTGTTGAAGATCAGATGTCTGTAGGTGTGCAGTTTTATTTCTGGGCTCTCTTCTGTTCCATTTGCCTATGTGTCTGTTTTTGTACCAGTACCATGCTGTTTTGGTTACTGCAGCCTTTTCATATAGTTTAAAATAAGATAATGTGATGATTCTGGCTTTGTTCTTTTTTCTTGGAGTTGCTTTGGCTATTTGGGCTCCTTTTTTGTTCCATATGAATTTTAGAATAGTTTTTCCTAGTTCTATGGAAAACTCTTTTGTTAGCTTAATAGGAATAGCATTGAATGTGTAAATTGCTTTGTCCGATATGGCCTTTTTAATAATATTGTTTATTCCAATCCATGAACGTGAAATGTTTTGCATTTCTTTGAGTCACCTTTGAATTGTTTTAGCAGTGTTTTGTAGTTCTGCTTGTAGAGATCTTTCAGCTCCTTGGTTACATGTTTTCCTAGGTATTATTTTTGTGGCTATTGTAAATGGGATTACATTCTTGATTTGACTCCTAGATTGAACATTATTTTCGTATAGAAATTCTACTGAGTTTTAAACATTGATTTTGTGTCCTGAATTACAATGAAGTGGTTTATCAGTTCCAGGAGCCTTTTGGTGGAGTTCTTTGGGATTTTCCTGGTATAGAATCACACACTTTCTAAAAAGAGATAGTTTGATTTCTTCTTTTTCTGTTCGATGCCTTTTATTTCTTTCTCTTGCCATATTGCTCTGGCTAGCATTTCTAGTCTTACGTTGAATAGGAGTGGTAGGAGTGGCCATCCTTGTCCTGTTTCAGTTATCAAGGGTGGTGCTTCCACCTTTTGACCATTTAGTTTGATGTTGGCTGTGATTTGTCATAGATGACTCTTATTATTTTGAGGTATGTTCCTTCAAGTCTTAGTTTCTTGAGGGTTTTTATCATGAAAGGATGTTGGATTATATCTAAAGCTTTTTCCACGTCTATTGAGATGATTACATGTTTTTTTTAATTATGCTCATATGATGAATCACATTTATTCATTTGCATATGGTGAACCAACCTTATATCCCAGGAATAGAACCTACTTGATTGTGATGAATTAACTTTTTGATGTACTGTTGGGTTCAGTTTGCCTTATTTATTTTGAGGGTTTTTGCATCTATGTTCATCAAGGATATTTGCCTGTAGTTTTCTTTTTTCATTGTCTTTGGTGGGTTTTGGTATTAGGGTGGTGCTGGCTTTTTAGAATTAGTTAGAGAGGACTTAAAAGGCACAGAGTGGCAGGTTGGATAGATTAACAAGACCCATCCATCTGCTGTCTTCAAGACACCTGTCTCAGAGGTAGTAATGCCCATCAGCTCAAAATAAAGTTTAGATAAAGTTTTAATGGGCAAACAGAAAGCAAAAAGAGCAGGGTTCACTATGTTATATCAGATAAAATGACATTAAACCATCAACAGTAAAAATGGACAAAGGAGGGCATTGCATAATTATAAAGGGTGCAATTCAACAAGAAGACTCAGTTATCTTAAATTTATGTGCACCCAACATTGGAGCACCTACATTTAAAGATATACATCTAGAACTACAAAAACATTTAGACAGTCACCCAATCATAGTTGAAGATTTCAACATCCCACTGAAAGCATTAGCAAGATTGAAGGAGAAAAGTAAAGTAAAAAAGAAATTCTGTAACTAAATTTGACACTTGACCAATTGGAACTAGCAGATATCTGTAGAACACTCTTCCCATCAACCAGAGAATATACATTTTTCTCATCTGCACATGGAACCTACTCCAAGATCAACCACATGCTCAGCCATAAAGCACATCTCAACAAATTCAAAAAGGTCAAAATCATACCACCTATAGTCTTGGACCACAGTGGAATAAAAATAGATATCAATACCAAGAAGATCTCTTGGAACCATACAATTATATGGAAATTAAACAACTTGCCCCAGAATGCCTTTTGGGTAAACAATGAAAGTAAGGGATAAATCAAAAAATTATTTGAAATAAATGAAGACAGAGACACAATATACTAAAGTCTCTGTTATGCTGCAAAAGCAGTGTTAAGAAGAAAGTTTATATGCTAACTGTGGGCCTGAAAAGGTTAAAATAATCTCAATTTAATTATGTAACATCGCACCTGGGGAAACTAGAAAAATAAGAACAAACTAACCACAAAACTAGCAGAAGAAAAGAAGTAACTAATATCAGAACAGAACTGAATGTAATGGAGACACAAAAATTTGTACAAAGAATCAGTGAAACCTTTTCTAAAATGATAAACAAGATTGATGGACTGAAAGCTAGATTAACAAAGAAAAAGAGAGAGAGAAGATCCAAATAAGCACAATCAGAAATGGCAATGGTGACATTACAACTAATCCCACAGAGATATAAAAGATCCTCTGATACTATTATGGATACCTTTATGCACACAAACTAGAAAATCTGGAGCAAATGCATAAATTCCTGGAAACACACAATCTTCCAAGATTGAATCAGTAAGAAATTAAAATCCTGAACAGACCATCACTGAGTTTCAAAATTGAATCAGTATTAAAAAAAAATACTAACCAAAAAAAAGCCCTGGGCCAGATGGATTCACAGCCAAATTCTACTAGGCATACAAAGAAAACCTGGTACCAATTCTACTGAAAGTATTCTAAAAACTTGAGGAGACACTGTTTATCCTAAGAGATATGGAAAACCCTCCAACTAAGATCCAGGGTTTTGAGCATAGATATGATATGACAAGATCTGTATATTAAAAACATCACTATGGGTGTTGTATTGATAATAGACTATGTTATCAATGCAAGGGCAGAATTAAAGAAACCCAAAGGAGACTTTTTAAAATAATTTGAGTCTTCCTGATGAATTTTACCTGTGATAAATTCTTCCTTTGCCACTTACTAATAGTAAGAACTTTGGAAAGTTATTTAAATCTCTCAGAAACTGAGTGATCTTCACTTATAAAATTAGGGTAAAATGCCTACCTTATAAAATCCACATTCATGTTTTCATTCATACAACAAATAATAATTGAGTGCTAACTTAGTGCCCATCACTTCTCTAGTCACTAGAGATGCATCCATAAACAAAAAAAAAATCCCACGCTCATGGAGAGTGGTAAGGATAGTGGTAAAGGACTCCACACTCGTGGATAGTGGTAAGGATTAATATGTTCAGAATCCTAGCACAAAACTTCTGTCATTAGATCATTGTGAGTGAGTGAATTTCTTTAGTTTTGAACAAATTTTAAGATTCTTGAGAACAGAAAGTCAACATTTTGCTCCTACTTGACTGATGAATGAGTGGACTCTATTAAGCAAAGCAAATGTGAATTGAACAAAATCAATTTCTAGTTCAAGTGGCTGTGCAAAACACTACTTCTCACACGGAGATTTAGTGACATATAAACTGAATGTGTGTGCCAAAAATTTACTAAGCAGAATTTTTTCATATTTGGCTTGACCCTGACAGGCCATAATGCTTGTTTCCTGGCTTAAGAAATGTGCATGAAAAGAGTATCAATTCATGTTCCCTTCTAGCTAAAAATTCCCCAATACTATATGTTTCTTAGAATTTTTTCATTCCATACTTATTACCATCATTTATACAGAATATTTCCCAAGTATTTCCAATTTACTAATATAATAATTTTTCTGTATTTCTAATGTTCCTTCTGACAAATATTTAAAATGTGCAGAATGTGCTAGGAAACCTATTGATTTACCTTCCCTTTTTTGTCATATGTCCTCTAGCATAGATTTTTGTCTATCACATATACATAAACATTTTACCAAATACATAAGTAAATACTTATTCTATTATTGATCCTTCTTTTTATAGTCGTTATGTCACCACTTGTAGAATAGTATTCTGATAATAGTCTAATTTTAAAAATAATCATATGTATAAAGTATTTTAAATGTCAAAGCTTTGAGTAGAAGTATTGTTCAGTTGGAAAGTTTGTAGAACATGAGATTGTTGTAGAGTAACAACAAGTTAACAGAATATTTGAAGAAAATAAATTAAAATAAGATAGGATTTTTGATATCTCCAAAGGCAATGTCAAGAGAATCATCATTTCTATTTAATGATTCAAAATTATATAATTTAGTATCACCATCATAATTCACATATGAGAAAAAAAGAGAGGGAGATAGGAAGCAATAAGAAAAAGAAGGAGGGTGGGAAATGAGGTGGGAGGAATGGTGACAGGGAGGAAGAAGAAGAGAAGGAAAGGAAACAAGAAAGGAAGGAACTGAGTAACAATGAGGATGGTGTACATGTACATTTGTGTGTGTAGAATTTAGAATGACTGCATTAAAATATTAAATAGTAAGATGTATAATCATGTTAAAAATAAAGCATTGTGTACATTATTATAAGGTATTACCTTAGGAACATATATATTATTCAATTTATATGATTTCATAAAACTTTTGCTGATAAATGGCAAACTATAATGAGTTTCTAGTTAATGACAAATGAAAAGAAAATAATATTCAAGAGGAGAGAAAAGATCAATAGACAATTGTAAAACCACATAATGGGTACAAAAAATGGAATGAATGAATAAAACCTACTACTTCATAGCACAATAGGGTAACTGTAGTCAACATAACTTAATTGTATATTTTAAAATAACTTGAAGAATATAATTGGATTATTTGTAACTCAAAGGATAAATGCTTCAGGGGATGAATACACCATTCTCCATGCTGTGCTTATTTCACATCGCATGCCTGTATCTAAACATCTCACATTCCCCTTAAATATATACACCTACTTTGTACCCACAATTTTTTTAATTAAAAAAATGATTAAATGTAGTTGCGTTTGGAGCTGGAAAGATGAATTAGGTGACCATGCATGACAGATTCTTCCTCACTCATGATTCTTTTTCATATCAAGCTTAATGACCCAGCAAAAAAAAAAATTTACAGTAACCTCCACATGTTTTATTTCATATACCAAAAAAATGACTGAAAATGAACTGTTTCTAAAGTCAGGATATGTTACAAGGAAAGGAGGTGTTAGGTGAGAGGAGTTCATATACCTAATTATTGAATTTAACATATTATCCATCCTGAGCTTAATTCAGTTGAGCAGAGTAGAACCAAGCATTCATTGTGTTCAAGCTATGAGCGTTTATGTACATTTGAGTTATTAACAGTGCTCTTGCTGTATTATGTTTTGAGGAAGTAAATCTGCTCATTTCCTACCAATGCAAAATAAAACAATGGCAAAATGTCTTTGCTTTTCTAACTCTTTGTCAAAGTCTTTTGTTGTATAAGATTTTTTTCATTTTAAATTACAAAATTGCACTTAGACAAACCAAACAAACCAATGTAAATACATAAATGACTAATTATGGGGTATCCCCTGGGACCCAGTGAAGGACTGATCAACCAAACATCAGGAAAGCTGGGGATGGGGCAGTCTTGGTGACAGAAATTCCTTCTCTTTCTCTAGCTATGCCAACGGGCTGCACTACAAATTAGCTATTGCTGCATTTATTGATTAAAATTCTCCACTGTCAGGAATGAAAGTCTGGCTAACCTTTTGGGGCTCAGGTGTCTACCCTATTCTAAACAACTTGGCCTGAGAAAGGACCTGGGAGTATAAACAGACCTGCTTAAGCAGCCTGCCTGTTGATTGCTTTCATACCAGGTCACAGTGTAGTTCAGTAGGTGGTCATACTCAAATGTGCCTATAAAACTAGACATTTCAGGAAGGAGAGTAAAGAGCTACTGGAACCTGGAGAAGAAAATAATTCTAGCCATCTAATTGGTTGAAATAGGACTCCTTCACTTGTTTTGCTTTTTGATGATAAAAAACAATCAATACAAAGGAAAGTGCATACACCGACTAACTTGTAGAGAATATCTATCATCTATCTATCTATCTATCTATCTATCTATCTATCTATCTATCATCTATCTACCCATCCATCCATCTATCTATCTAACTGCTTACCTATTTATCTATACAGGTAAGTAATTTTAGAAAATTGGAGGATTATGTGTCTGGAGATAGTGTGATGTTGATCCAACCCATATTGGACATTCAAATTAATTATGGTGGTATAAATACAGTTACAGGTGAATCATGTTATGTAGTGTAATAACAATTTTTCTGAACTTAAAAATTTTTCCCTCAAGTAAATAATTGTCCTTTTAAAACATCCCCTTTGTTTTGCATGTACTAGTAATTTAAAATAATTTCCAAATTTTCTCCAAATCTCCTAAATGTACAGGCAGCCAAGATATGAAGTTATAGGGCTATTCAAAGTGCTGGGACTGTCTTCTACCACATTACAAAAAAACAGTAGTGTTTATATTTGTCTGTATCATTCTTCCATCAGCCTCAGCAAACTGACGTTTGCTTCATTTTCTTTTCTAAGCCAGTTTGGTTTTTTCGTTTTCTTTTTTTCTTTTTCACTTTAATTTTCTTTCGCAAGTCAGTTTTAGAGACCACCCACCTCTGCCAATGGTGCATCTGTTTGTTGATCTTGTATCAATAATTTGCCCAGGCCTTAATTAGCAAGTATCATTCTGCCAGCTTCCTTCTCTTTGTTTGTGCTTTGGATTTCCGAAGTCTCCTTGCTTATAAAAAATGGAGTTTGGGAATCTGGTTTTCTATCTCCTTGCTACTTTTGGTTGATTTCTGAAAAAGGAAGGATAGCGTGCCCACTTTACCGTTTTCAAGAGGAAGTTCTGAATTACCTTTTATAAATCCAGTAATGTTTAATATATATTCATTACCTAAGGGTTTACAGAAATATAAACCTTAAAAGTTTGATGAGGAAACTGTGGCTCAAAGATTTGTAAGGATTTGTACAAATCCCACATTACCATTAAAAGATTAATACTAATACTTAAGGCTTCTATTTTCCATGATCTTTCTTCTGGGGGCTGCTTTAGTCATCTTTGCATCCCCAGCATCCAGAAATGCTGGATGCTCAGCACACAATAAGCACCTAATAGACATTTGTCAAATGAAGTTTAATAAAATAATTGTTATAATTGTTTAAAGAGTGTTAAAATCCCAACTAGAATGTAGTTTACATAAGGCAAAATAACCAATACATATAAATAGGTGTTTTATTTTATAATAATTACAGGAATGTAATGCAATGAAAATTAGATACTATTTCATATCCAATAGATTGGAAAAAGGGATTATGTGACTACACGTAATAATGTATTATGGCTATATGTAACGTTGTGTCATTCAAGGATACATAGGTATATGCTAAAATGTAATAACTAACTAAGATTAGTTAATGTAACACATTAGTTATTACATTTACAACAACACGGCAATAAATTCATCTTAACATTTATAATATCTGAGGCTGGAGAAGAATGTAGAGCGTTTTGTTTCTTAAACTGTGTATTGGTTTCATAGACAGTTGATGATTACATCATTATCTACTTTTTAAGAGTTTCTAAAATACTTCATAACTTCCTTTTACTACAATCTCTATGTATGTTTTGAGTAGGAGTCATTTCTCTAAGTAACTGAAATATAATGTGGTATGATCATTGATACATTTGAATCATCATAATCATTTCACATGTGAATATAATAATTATATGAAATTTTTGGCACTAAGTAGCTTGGAGGCCTTAATGAAGTCATTTATGTGTTTAGAACTCCAGTTTCCTTATTTTTTAATATAAGGAGTAGGACATGAAGATATCTAAACGTGCTCTTACTTCAAACACTCTATGTTCCTAGAAATGCTTAGTGTAACGTATATAGAACTTTGGTAGAGATTACATGCAGCTAATCATAACTTGAATTTGGCTCCTGATTGCTATATAAAAATATATAAAATATCAGTTTTGATAAGGTACCTATACTTTTTGTATCATTCTAACCACTTATGCTTTTTCTCAGCTACCTAAATGAGCACTAATAGGGATAGCAAAACCACCCAGTCAATTGTGTTTATTAGTATGAAATAATAGGAGTAGCAAAATGACACTCAAAATTAACTCTAGTCAATGACATTCAAATGACAAGAATAATAGTGGTAGTCATGATTTCTGAACATATTTATTTATTTTTTAATTATAACAGGCAAAAATTTGGATTTCTTGATTGAGTATATCTACCTATTATCTGGATTTTATATTAATTCACTGATTAATTTGCTATTAAAATATTGTTAGCCCCACTTTTAAAAAATAGGGCTATGATAACCTCAAATGGTAACAATATGAATAACCAAATTTTATATTTATTTTAATAAACATGGTGGAACTTTTCCCTGTGTGGAAATAATGACCAACTAACTAACCCAGAAGTTTTTATGAGGAAGTACCAGTGACAAATATTTATTATATTTACTATCCAGTGAATTTTTTCTGTACATATACTCAGTACAAGTAGCAATTATCATTTTTTTCCAATGAAGTATGTAAATGGCCTCATCAATCAATTTCACTTGCAATTATGTTTTTTTCACACTGTGGGGAAAATAGTCTATCACTATTTCTTCAGGGTTTACTCACATTCCTCAGGCACCTTATTAAGCTACTTTGAGTTTCATCTCTGGTTTCTTAACAGATTAATGGAAGAAGCTCCCTCCCGTGTCAGAACCAGGAAATTTGCAATAACCTTTATATGAACTAAATACAGGGTGACTAGATCATTAATCATCCAAAGTAGGCCATTTTGTGATGAGAAGCTGCTATTAAAAATCATTTTGGGGCAACAGGTGTAAACCAAGATTTTCCTTGGCAAACCTCAATGAATGTTTAATTTACGCATGAAAAATAGTTTATATTAATTGACTGACTTGCTATAGGCATATATTTTTTTCTCTAGTAATAAGGATGGATTTTCTTCATAATTTTATGGCAAAGCATGCCTTGTCTTTACTTAAATTAACCCTTGGTTATTATTTTGAAACTCTTGTTTGTTATGTAGAAGAGTAATATAGTTATTAAAGGTTTTTTTCCCACATACAGTAATTTCTTGTCATCAAAGAAATTTGTATGATACATTAAAATAGCTGAGTTTAGTAAGACAAAAAGAAATAATAATCATATACTAAATGACTCAAAGATTTTCTTTAGTAAATAAGTACAGGTTGCAATTGAATGTGTGAAGAAGTCTTTGAGAAACAGATGTCAAGATGGCCTTAGACTTGTAAGAGAGAAATGCTTGGGAAACATAAATGAGAGGAGGAGGGAGTGGCAAGAGAGGCTTCAGGTAACAAAGATGTTTGAAACGTATGAAAGTAGAGGGGGGAAGAAGTAGTTTGGATCAAAAGAATCTGAGTGCAATACCCTTCTAAGAAAGTTTTGGCCAGGGAGGTAGGAATCCTCCAACACAAATTGCCCTTCAGAGGGGCTCCTAGTCTGACAGGAATGGATCTGAATTAATATTCCTACTATGTTCAGTTATTGACAGAAAGCAGCCTGAGACAGCTTGGGTCTGGTGCAGACTCAGGGCTCATCCTTAGTACTGGCAGGCAGCTATGTTCTCACAGCAGGAGAACCAAGTGGCAAATTTTCAGGGATGCCACAATAATTTTCTTAAGAGAGTATGATATTCTACCTCTCTCTAAAATACTCTATTTAGTTATTCATTTTATAATTAGAAATTTATTTCAGAGCGTTATCTGGTATATAAGAAGAAGTTCATTCTTAGGTAGGCATTCACATCGAATTCACTCCTTTTCATTTATTTACATTATACAATGTGTACATGAAGATTTCAGGATACTATTAACATGCAAAAATAAATTTTCTATTGTCTCACTAGTATAGAATGTTGAGTGTATACATTATTCTGTTTTTCCATCAAGTCTTTTAAGCTACTTTATACATAGATGACAATTAAAGCAAACTGTTTTCTGTTATTTTTCATGTAATATTAAATTATGAAAATAATTTGATGTTTTTACAGACTCTTAACAAGCAATAGATGTGTACTTTTTGTTAATAAATCATTATTTAAACATACTCTTATTGTTAAAAAAGTTATATAATCATAGGTAATACCGTGATAAGCATCTTAATGTCTGATGCTTTTCTGTGTCATTGGATTGAAAATGTTTTCTCCTTTATTAGAAAATGAGACCATCTAGATCAAGATTATAATTTCATTTGTCTTTGTATTCCTAGCACTTAGCACATTTTTAGTACACGGTATTATCTCTGTAGATGGACAAAAACACTGGGTCAGAGATTGAGATCACAGTGCTTTTTTTGTCATATAGTGTGCGACTCCTTGAGTTTATGATTCTACCTTCTCTGGAGTCAAGGGCTGAGACTACCCTAGCCACACACAATCCAAATGTGTCTGCTAATTACGTACCGTAGGTTTTGTTGCGGTCTTGTGAATTAGGAAATTCAAAACCGAACCACCCTAGATTATTCAATAAAGGTATATGTTGTGCCAGGAAAACTTTAAGGAAGCAGAAAATATGTCTTCAAATTAAATCAACATTATTTTAAATTCTGGGTCTATTGTTTAATAGCTGTGTGTCCTGGAATTCTATAATCTCTTATTTTCTCATTTTTAAGGTAGGTATATTAATTTTTAATAAATTCTCAGAGTATTATTTTTAAAAAATCATACCTGTTTCTTCCAAATAAATATTTATCCAAAACATGTAACTGCTACAAAAATCTCCCAGCTTCCAAAAAACATCAGGACATGAAACACACTATAAGTGCTATGTTTTTAAAATTATGAAGTACTTTTTAATCACCAAGATAACACCAATGTAATATTCAAAGTAATTAATGAACATTCTGAGCATAACTTAGATAGCTTAGAGAAAAGGTGTAGATAAATTACCTATAATGAAATTTCTTTTATGTTATTGCCGAAACTGAGGAAAGATAACTTTATAGTATTTTTGAGGTCAATTTTCATATTACCTCTCTACTACCTGAGAAAAGGGCAATATAAACTAGTATCACCATGTGGATTTTAGATTATCAAAATATTGCCACCATAAAAAAAAAAACAGAAAAAGCTTTTTTTTTTTTTTTCTAAAATCTTCCATTTGATTGCAATCATTATTCAAGGAAAGATAAACTGTTTATATGTGCAGTGGCTTGCCATACCCACCAGATACTTCATTCTATAAAACTGAAATTTAGAGGTGAATGAAAACCTAAAATTTAAGTTGTTGCCAATATCTCAACAAGTCTAATTAGGAAATAAAACATTCCAGAAGCACACACCAGCAGAGATTCTTAATACTTCAGTATTTTTTTTTTACTTTTATTTTAAGTTCAGGGGTACATGTAAAGGTTTGTTAAGTAAACTTGTGTCATGGTGGCTTGTTTTACAGCTTATTTCATCTCCCAGGTATTAAGCCTAGTCTCCATTAGTTATTTTTCCTGATCCTTTCCCTCCTCCCACCCTCCCCACTCTGATATGCCGCAGTGTGTGTTGCTCCCCTCCATTTGTCGATGTGTTCTCATCATTTAGCTCCAACTTATAAATGAGAACATGTGACAACTCAGTATTTCTAATTCCTCAGCTTATATGTACTTATTTACTTGGAGAAAATAATAGGAAATTATTTGAAGGAAATCATATAACAAAATTTCTATACTGTACACAAGATAAGTAGAGCAAAATAATTACTGTAATGATGTACGTAAGTAAAAATATGTTAACTAATATGTTCTCCAGGAATCTGCATAGGGTTATAAGTGAAACTTTGTATACTTTAAAATAATGCATCCTTAGAAGTACAGGCTCAAAGTATTTTTACTCATATATAAACGTATCTCAAATTGGAACAATATTATAGTGTGCTCATTGCATACTGCGGGTATCAGAGCCCCAGTTCTACCAGAGTAGCAGTGTTACATTGGTCAAGTTAATCCACTTCTCACAGAGTTTTTCTTCATTTGCAAAGTAAGGGAATATAATAATAGTAGAAGGACCATGGGTTTTAGGGTCTGAGAACTGGCCTCTGACTACTAGAAAGCTTTCTTGAGGTTGCATACAAAGCACATTCTATGTACTTTAGTGATATACTTAACTTGAGGGGGCCAGAATTGTTTTGGCAGAGATTTTGCTAAGATTGTTTAACTAAGGTGTTGGTGGTGGGAGAAACTGGTGAGATTTGGAATAGTAGAACTGAGGCGTATGTTACTTAACATCTCTCAATTTGTATTCTCAAAGTGTTACAAATAAAATTGGACCATCCTGAGGCAATCTGCCAAGACACATTAGGTTATGCTGTGGTAACAAACTACTTCCAAATCCCAGTGGCTTCCAACCCTAAATGTTTATGTCTCACTCAGATTACATGTCCATTGTAGTTCAGCTGTGGCTCTGTCCAAGTCACCTTCACTCTGAGAGTGAAGTAATGGAGTAGCCTGTGAGTATGGCTGAGTATCACCTGGCAGAAGGACAAGAGAGATGTAATAAACTTCACTGACACTAAACCCACTGCTTGGTAGTGATGCATGTCAGTTATATACCATTAGCCCAAGTCAATCACAGGGTCAGACCTGAGTTCAACAGGACAGGGATGTATAATCCTCCTGCTGGAAGGAGTATTGCAAATTACAGACAAGTTAAAAGTTAGTAGGGTGAGAAGCATAATTATTTCACAAGAAGAGGAGAAACATTGTTAATAATACACTGTTATTAATCCGTGGAAGATAACTATTAATATAATTATTATAACGATGAAATAATATAGTAAATTCTTTGAAAGTAAAATTTTAATTTATGATGTTAAAATCTCATAAAAATTTTTTATGGCAATATAAGGATTTTTACTTCACAAGCATCTTCATAAGCATCTTAACAAAAATATTTTCACGAAAAGCAAAATAGAGGGCAATGTGAATCTGATGATACAATTAAGTGCCCCAACCCCCCAACCATTGTACAGAGAGCCTACAAAGCAGATGTGATATCCAGGTTTTTATAGCTGATGTTTGGGAAATGGAACTGAAAATTCAGGATTTGTTTGGCCACTCCACTTTCTTTCACAAAATGAGAAGGCAAGCACTAAAAAAATACCAAAGAGGTGGCAATCAAAAGCAGTAATATTTCTCTCAAGACCAGGGTAGTCCAACATAAAATAAACATCTCGGACTGGCGTGTTCTCTTGTATTCTCATGCTTGATGTATTTCTTAGCAATTCAAATCAGCTTGAGAGTTTACGGATAAAAGGAGTTGGGGCTGCATTTGCTAAGGTGTTTAGATTCAAAGCAAAAGAGGTCTGAATAGATACTGTAGAAAGCATTAAGTATTTACTGTTTGAGGGAAACACATCTTTGAAATATATGTGAATAATCTGGAAAATTACAGATTTACTTGATTTTACCAATGTTAGTGTTTAGTTTTTTGGACCCCTTTTCACTGGAGCATGAGGGATTTCCTAAAATGGGTGTGTTGTTAAGTCTAGAATGACCTTACTCAAAAGAAGATGGCGTTACTTATGGGCAATAAAGAGAAGAGTAATTTATTACCTTTGATGAATTGTTGATGAATATCTTTATTACTGGATGTTTCTATCACAATTCAGAAGTCAGCTGAATCTTTTCACTTTTAAGCACACAGGTGTATCAGAAAGCAATAGTTGGAGAGGCAATGTTTGAGTCTCAGTTTTGCTGATAAATAGATTTGTGTTTTGGCTATTTTTCTGTGGTCCTTGGTTTTCTCAGTTATAAAATAAAGGAAGAGAGTTATTTGATCTCCCCAATATCACTTCTAGTAAAATGTGATAGTTATGCCTCCTCCCAAATATATGTGCAAGATGAGTCACCTATTGATAATTTGATGATTATAAAATCTTTGACAAAGTTCTTGGAAAAAGATGGCTGGGTTCTTCCGACTTAAAAGAAATGAGCAACAGTATGTACAACAAACATGTTTTCCTTTTTATTCAAACCTTCCTTTACTCAATTTTTCTTAATTCTTCTTTTCTACACATCCATTTTTTGTACATTTTACCAGACTAATTATTACATCTTTTCCTGTAATTCTTTACCTTTTAATTTTTATTTTTGGTTGTGATGGTTTAAGGTCACCACATATGGGTGCACAGATTTTATGTTATACAAATTTAGGGGACACCAGTCATATTTTGGTGGAATAATTTTTATGAATGTTAATGACAGTTGTGGGAGTGGTCAAAATTTACTTTATTATTTTAATATTGTGTATTTCTTGCACAGAATTCTCATTTTTTGAGTATTATATCAGGGCACTTTGTATGACAAATGTATTGGTCTTACTAAATGTAATGTTAGTGTAATACCTTTTTGTCTGCCATTATTACTTTCTTACTCAATTGTAACATACTTAAACTATACTTTTATACATGATTTGATTGAACCTTCTACCATCCATTTTTTTCTTTGAATTATTTAGTGTTGATAAGGCAGATGATGAAGATGATGAGGATTTAACGGTGAACAAAACCTGGGTCTTGGCCCCAAAAATTCATGAAGGAGATATCACACAAATTCTGAATTCATTGCTTCAAGGCTATGACAATAAACTTCGTCCAGATATAGGAGGTAAGCTTGAGTTACCATTCTGGGATTTTGATGACCATTAAACATATCATTACTGGTACTATTTTAATCATTATTTCTTATTCCTTGAGTGTCTGATGTATGTCAGAGAATCTGCTGAATTTGAAGATTATTGGTTAGAATGGTCACTAATGTTTTGAGGAGTTCACAGTCTGAAATAAGAAAAAAGAAAAAAAATTAATGTAATTATTTTCCAACTGCTACAACAATATCTGACCGAGTTTTGATAAAACTGCCTAAGACTGAGAAATACTTCATAAAAGAGCTAATATTTGAAAGATAAGATACAGAATAATGACCATTTTTATAAATAATGAATATTTTACATTCTCATTTCCAAAATTATACTTTTTCATGCCATATTGCACTGGGTAAGACTAGAGTATAATGTTGAATAATCTCAAATTGTTCCTGATATCTGGAAAGGTAATCTCTATTTCACTAGTAGGTATGATGCTTGCTTAAACGTCTTTTTTAAGGACACTTTTTTTGGTTACCTTCTCTTCTATTTTGCTAGGGTTCTTTCTTTCCCTACACATCTACAAGTATGTGTGATGTGAAAACACAGTCTTCAAAACAGGTTTCTTTCTGGTTAGAGAAAAATATCAGAAAGCTAGACAGAAGTGTGTTTAAGAAACTGAGCAGTGATAGGGAAAAGAAATAAAAGGGAGAATTTTGTGCTCAACCCTGGCATCATATATTAGTAGTATTTGCTATGTATCTATATGGGCAGTGAATTTCTTGCATTTAATTAATATTTGTTTTATTTTAGTATTTTGGAAGCTTCCTGTTTTTGTTCTAGTTTTACCTTCGTACTTTTATCTTAATAGCCTTAGTCTTTCATTTATTAGCCCTTTACTCGGGATTCTCAGTTGTTATTGATATTATTTAACTCCCACATACTGTCCATACAACAATTAATGATATTTTTCTATTTTCTTTTTTTCTTCTCCTTTGCTTTTTTATTTTTAATTATATATTTTCTGCTTTGTCACAACATGTAATATTTGTAAATTTGTTTAACACCATTTTCCCAATCTTTGCTTTAGTCTTTAGGCTCTTTCAATATATGCTGGAGGCTACAATCTTTAGGAAACTAACACAAGAACACAAAACCAAATACCACCCATTCTCACTTATAAGCGGGAGCTAAATGATGAGAATTCATGAACACTAAGAAAGGAATAACAGACACTGGGTGGGGAGTGGGAAGGAGGAGAGGAGCAAAAAAGATAACTATTGGGTAATGGGCTTCATATCTGGGTGAGAAAATAATCTTTACAGGAAAACCCCTGTGAAATGAATTCACTTACGTAACAAACCTTCACTTGTAACCCCGAACCTAAAATAAAAGTTAAATACTAATTAAAAAAATTCTCATCATTGGTATATTTTGCTAAAGTTATTTTAGTCATCTCTTTATTGAGTAGATTTTTCAGAAAGTTGTTGCATGTAAAATTATTTTTCTATTGATTTGAAACTTGAAGGACATAGTGGCTACATAGAAAATCCTCAATTTATGTTTTCTTTCACTGACTTTTCACTTTAATAGCCTAATTGCACTGGTAACTTGCTTTGTGTGTTATTTTTGAAAAGTCTAATGCCAGTCTATTATTCAGTCCTTGTAATTTACTTAGTCTTTTTTTTTCCTCCTGGAAGCCTTTAGGATTTTTTAAGAAAGGTTTCAACTGAAGTCTTTTCTTAGTATATGTTTCAGAGCTGTTCAATTTGGGTAGCCGTTTTTCTAGACATTGATACATTTTTTTCAAAATGTAATTTCAGGTTTTCTTTTCAACCTTGGGAAAATGCATTTACTTCTGTATTTATTTATTTAGGAACATAAAGTTGAATATTTGTTCTGTTACATTGTTGTGGTTTTCTTCTTCACGAATTCCCACTATAGGTATGTTAGTCACACTTTGCCTGCCTTGTATTTGCACAATATTCTCTCTGACTTTCTGACTTCTCTTCATCTCAGTTGTATTCTCTTCATTATTTTCCTGCCTATTATTAAACTGTTTTTAGTTGATTCATTGGTGACCATCATAATTTTGTCTTTTTCTTCTATTTTTTAAAGTTCAACCAATTTTTTATTTATTTCTTACTTTTTGTGTATTTGTGTGTGCGTGAGAAATGTATTTATCTTGCTTAGTTTCTGAATTATTTTATTCAAGGTGATTTTTTCTTATTCCTAAATTTTTGTTTGAATATACTTAACTGTGGGGAGTATTTTCTTACAGTTTCTTCTGCTTATTATTTTGTGTGGGAATTTTCCACAATTGATTTGTATTGGATCTTCGTATCTTAATTCTGCAATAATTATTTTGTCCTTTTAATTTTGTGGTTTCTGGGTGTTCTACAAGATCTTAGCTTATTGATGTATTTTAATGTCACGATAGCAAAGTTCAGATACTTTGGATTTGATTGTGGTGTTGGGGTGTATTATTTATTTTGTGGTCGGGGAGAAATTCTGTTACTTCCAATTCATTGATTCTTCTTTTCCTTGTAGAAGCATGAGGTACTCCCCTTGACTTTTCCTTGTCACTATACTATTTCCTAACCTCACTTCTGTTTTTGTTTTTGACATTTTTCTTGGCCCAGAAACAACCTATTTTGAACATCACTCTTTGACATCACACATACTTGTAGATCCTTTTCCTCTTAGTTCTTGTGCTGGTTTCCAAATACATGTTTAAATACTTTCATATTAATGGTACATTTACTTTCTTCAGTGGACTTTGGCATCTACCTTAGGCCCATCACTGACTCCCTTCTGTCTTCTACAGAGCCTATTTCAGGCTGCTGTGCCCACCATAAACTGTTGCCTTAGAGTAGAGATGAGACAATGTTTGAAAGATTTCTTTCCAGATTTGGTATTTGGGGTTTTATTTGTTTGCTTGTTTGACATTTACAGTCATTTTGAAGTGTGGGCATTTTTTGTCTTTAAGTTATACTGAGAACTTAATTTTTGTTTACTTCTACTTTTCTCTTTTTTTTATATACATTTTTGAAGGAAATATTGGGAGATGAAGACACAGGGAATTTATGTAAATTTTCTCATGTACTGCTTTAGACTTTTACGATTTATTTCTTTGTAATTTCTTCTTTGTCACATGCAGTAGTTAGTGAATATTGTTTAATTTCAAAAATTAGCCTGTGTTCTAGGTATATTTTTGTTATTGGTATCTACATTAATTTAATCTGGGTCTGAAAACATAAACTTAAGTCAGATTTATAATTCTTGTTGCTCAAATGTATAGATGTATAATCCTATACATCTACTGAGAGAGGTGTGTTAAAAATCTCTGACTACAATGATTGACTTAGCCTTTAAAAATTTTTAGTCCAGTAAGATTTTGCTTTATACATATTGAAACTGTTTTAGGTACACACAAATTTTGGATTGTTTTGTCTCCTTTTTTAAAAAAAGTTTTACTTTTATTTTTATGGATACATAGTGGATGTATACATTTATGGGGTACATGAGGTATTTTTATATACACATAGAATGTGTAATAATCACATCAGGATAAATGGGGTAGTCACCTCGAGTATTTATCATTTCTTTTTGGTATGAACATTCCAGTTATACTCTTTTGGTTATTTTTAAATGTATGATATATTATTATTGACTGTAGTCACCCTGCTATGCTATCAAATAATAGATATTATTTATTGTATCTGACTATATTTGCATACACATTAACCATCCCCACTCCCCTACCTCACTACCCTCTGGTAACCATCATTCTATTCTAACTCTATGAGTTCAATTGTTTTGATTTTCAACCCCTACAAATGAGTGAGAACATGTGACTTTTGTTTTTCTGTGCCTGGTTTATTTCACTTAACATAATGTCATCAGTTCTATCCATGTTGTTGCAAATGACAGAATCTTATCCTTTTTTTTGTGGGTGAATGGTACTCAATTGTATACATATACCAAATTTTCTTTGCGATGGTTACACCTTCTGTTGAATAGCAGTTTTATCATTAGGAAACAATCTTTCTGGTCTGTAGAATACATTTTGCTATAACATTTAATTTGATTGATATTATATATCTATATGTGTTTTCTTTGAGTTATGATTTGACTTTTTTTTTTTTTTTTTTAAGATGGAGTTTCGCTGTTGTTGCCCAGGCTGGAGTACAATGGTGCAATCTTGGCTCAATGCAACCTCCTCCTTCTGGGTTCAAGCAATTCTCCTGTCTCAGCCTCCTGAGTAGCTGGGATTATAGGCATGCGCCACCATGTCCGGCTAATTTTGTATTTTTAGTAGAGACGGAGTTTCTCCATGTTGGTCAGGCTGGTCTGCTGGTCTCAAACTCCTGACCTCAGGTGACCCACCCACCTCGGCCTTCTAAAGGGCTGGGATTACAGGTGTGAGCCACCGCTCCTGGCCAATTTGATTTTTTAATATCTTTTTTTCATACTTTAGTTTTCAGTATTTTTGTGTCCTTCATTAAGTAATTTTTTTTAGGAAATATGTATATTGTTCCTATTTCCTAATTATCAAGTCTGGCAATTATTTTCTTTTAAATGGAGTGGTTAATGCAGATATGTTTAAGGTAATTATTGAATATTTTGTGTTAAATCGACTACCTTTCTATTGTTTTCTGTTTTGTTAAGCTATTTAATTTGTTCTCTATTGCTTATATTTTTCTCTATTCTTTCCTTTTTTGAATTCATTAAATATTTGCAGTTTTATTTTATCCTTCTATCATTGCATTGTACACATATTCATTTATAAATTTTAGTCAGTAAAATATGCACTTTATTAGATTTAATCATAAATCAGTAAGTTTATCATAATTCAAAGAAATTTCAAACCTTTTTCCATAAACTACAGTGTCATTTTGCTATTATGTCCATATGTTTTATTCTATATTTATCTGAAATACCAAAAGACATGATTATTATTGTTTTAAGGTGTTTAAAAGCAATTAACTTATACCAATAAATTATCATTTCTGGTGTTAATTCCTTTCTTAAATACCCTATTTCCACTTAGAAATATATTCTCTGCAGTATTTCTTTTGGTGCAAGTCTCTCGAAATGGAGTATTTCAGTTTTATATGAAAATTATTTTGTATTGCCTTCATTTTGAATATTTCCAATCGATATGGAAACCCTGTTATTTCCTTTCCAAACTTCATAAATATCACTCAATTTTCTCCTGACTTTTACTATTTCTGTTGAAAAGTCACATTTCAACATTAATCGTGCTATTTTGAAGATAAAATGTATTTTATCTCTGGACAATTTTAACATTTTCTTAGTCTTTGATTTTCTACCATTTTATTTTAGTGTCCCTAGATTTGCTTTGTTTTCATATTTATATTGAGGAGTTTACAGAGCTTCTTGAATCTGTGGGTTGAAACATAGCTGCTTTTGAAATTCTCGGCCTGTATTTCATCAGACATTTTTCTTCTGTCTCAATTTCTCTGCAACTCCACTTGCGGGTATGTTTGACCTCTGCTATGTCATTACATCTCATACGCTCTTCTATAATTTTCTCCCTATTTGTGTTTCAATCTGCTCTTTATTACCGACCTAATTTCCCGTTCAATGTTTCTCACTGGTAGTATTTACACCTGATTTTTAAATCAATTTCAGGTATACTATAATATTTGCAATCTTTTCTTCTATTTTCTTATATTTATTAACAGAAGTTATTTTAAAATCTTTGATCATTACGATGTCTTGATAACTTGAGTAACTTTTTAAAATTTTCTTTTCCATTGTTTCTCTCTGTTTAAGGTTATGTGGTTGTATTTCATGGAATGTGTCTTAATTTTGTGTTGAATGCGAGTAGGGTATGTGAAAAATAATGGAGATTCTACATGACATTATTTTATTCCAGAGAGGACTTAATTTTGTTTCGATAGTCAGGTTGAGTAAAGAAAATCACTGTCATTTGGTCAGAACTAGCGTAATTTCCTTGGTAAAGCTTTTATTTTGCCTAAGACCAACCATTTGAGATGTCTGGACTGACAGCCTGAGGTTTGTACCAGGATCCTCTCTCCTTTGTTAGTCAGACATCCCTAAAATAGCTCAACTCTCTTCCTGTTGTTTTAGATGCTTAGGAGCTGCTTATATTTGGTTTGTCAACATCACATACGTACAATTTAGGAAACAGCAAATGCCTTGAGGGGAAATCCCATGTAGAATGTCCGATTAAATTCCGTGTGTGTGTGTGTGTGTGTGTGTGTGTGTGTGTGTGTGTATGTGTGTGTGTGTGTGTGTGTATTCCAGGGAAGTCCTAGCTGTCCTGATAGCCCTTAATTCGAAGTTTTGTCTCTCCAGCCAAATAAAAGATCTAAAAGCTCTAAGCTGCTCTGTTCTGTTCAGTCACTATTGCTGTGCTGTCAAACAGCAAATATACCAAGGGGAAGAAGTGGCCAAAGAGTAATGTAGAACTCACGTCATTTTCATTATCTTCAGGGAATTGTTACATCAAATTCTGGCTATCTGATTTGCTCTGCTTTCTTCACCATCTGTGTGTGTTTATTTAAAAAAAATTTATAGTTTTCTTTATTGGGTTGGATATTTTGATATCAATTAAACCACAAAGGAAGCATCAGAGTCTGTATTTCTGTTTTACTCCTTATACTTTACTATTATTATTTTGTGTCTGTTTTCTCTATATATAGAGAACTATATATAGTTCCCTAAAACTATAAATCACTATATTCCTAATTGCTAAATCAATGCTTAAAATATAAACTAGGTTCTCTTAATATTTACCAAGTATTTGTAGAATAGAATCCATTGTATATAGTCTTTTTTAGTCCATGTGTAGGTATTTTGATAGTTGCCCTACTCCATGAGTTTTGCATTTTAGGTACATTTATTTCAGATCAAGCTATGAATGCTCAAATTTTATATACAATTGTGATAGCATCACTGTGTTTAATACATTAGGTTAAATATGTCCTGGATACCTTGATAACTGTATCATGAATAGTAGCATTTTTTTCTGTGCATCTGACTACATCATAGGTGACTTAATTGTTGAAGTAATTTTTGTATGTATCGCTTTCTGTCCAAAATATGTTTTAGTACCCTTTGTCTTTGGTGATGCTATGAAAACTTATAAAACCAACTTATTGAGGTCTTCTGAACTTAATGGAGAATTAACATAGAAAGGTTTTGTTCATCCAGTTAAGCTTCCATTGCTTTATGATAAATATTATTTTCCTATGTTTTTATTTTTTTGAGGCATGGTCTCATGCTGTCATCCAGGCTGGAGTGCAGTGGTGTGATCATAGCTCACTGCAGCTTCAACCTCCTGGGGCTTAGCTGATCCCTCCACCTCAGCCTGCTGAGTAATTGGTACTACAAGCGTGCCACACCCCGCACAGCTAATTGCTGTATTTTTTGTAGAGACGGGGTTTCACCATGTTGCCCAGGCTGATCTCAAACTCCTGAGCTCAAGCGATCTGCCTGCCCCAGCCTCCCAAAGTGCTGGGATTACTGGCAGAAGCCACCATGCCTAGCCTATTTTCCTACTTCTTAACAACTTTACAAGTAGATTCTATGACTTTCCAAACAGTTTCAGTTATTTAAATAGTTCAACCTAATATAAAAATTTAATATCCAGATTAAAAGACATCCTCTCTTGAGACACAGGTAAGACAAGCACCACTAGGGTGACACTGTGGGGGTAAGAGGATGGTAAGAAAGGGAGTAGTGTGGCTTGTTGTTTTATTCCATCTCTTTATCTCTTCTATGTTTCTAGCGATGGGGACATGGGGGAGATATAAAGAAGATTGGTCTACGTTTTAACTGGGCATAGTTGCAACCTTAGTCTTGTTACTTGTTACTTCTTTTTGGGGTAACATCAAGTGGCCTTAGGTGTAAGTTAAAGGCTTGACGTATAAATAATGACTTTTATGGTTAGGAGGTATAAATAATTTTTTGTTGTTTTTCATAGGCATTGTATATGGCTCAATTCCCTGGCTTGGGAAATCTGGATGCTCTTCTGTATCTTCCACCTGCCTTAACTCCTTTCATCAGCAATCTAGTCTGAAGATATGTGCTGCTGATGCACAACTCTCTTGAGGTCAAAAAACCTGTGAGACGCTGCTAACCAAGTTATTTTCTTTTGGCGTGCTTTATACCCACAAGAAAATAAAATATCCTAAAAGTGCTAAAGAGTAGGTGTGCAGCTCTTCCTCTGCTTTTTCTTCTTTAAGTCCTATCACTTCTATTTTTCCTTTTCCCTGATCAGGTATGGGAGCAAGAGCAGGTTGCCAAGTCTGCTGCCTAAACATATATTTAAGTAGAGAATGAGAAACCAGCCTTCAATTTTCCTGAGAAGACATTCTTGGGAATACACACACACACACACACACACACACACAAACACACACAAACACACACACACATGCCATTTAAATATAGATATATGGGGTGTGTGTGTGTGTGTGTGTGTGTGTGTATTTTATAGTGGGATATACACTATACCATGCCTGTATTGTAAGGTGCGAAAAGTAATTTATAATGAAATATTTGGCATTCTATATGCGAATGCTCAGGTTTAACTACACTGAAAGAAATTATGAAGCTTCCAGATGCTTGCATTTATACACAGAATGACTGCATATTGGAAAGCCTGCGCAAGTTAAGAGATACAAATGTGTCTTATCAGTGACTCCAGTACTATGAGCAACATTGTGATTGGTGATATGGCTATCTAAAATGGTGTACAACATTTTGTAAAAGTCAGAACAAAATAAATACCATATTTCTGTGTTTTGTTTTTCAGGAATTCCTAGCAAACACAGAAATATTTTGTGTTTATGTGTAAAAAAACTTATCTTCTAGGTTCAGACTATAAGGCATACTGTTTTACCTATATGAATGCTAGACAGGATATTCAAAATCTTGTTAAATGTGGGACAATTTTTCATTACATATGACTGTTTTATGAAGTTCAAGCACTTCATCCACTAAACACTACTACTAACAATCCCAATTTTTGTGACGAACACAAACAGCTGCCCAGAAATTTTCAAAATAATTTACAGGCGACATGGTGTTCTCATTGAGAACCACTGGTGAACATTGTTCATTAAAACTTACTGAAATGATAGAAATGTTGTTCTGTATTGACCATTTTTGGAAGCACTGGCCACAAGTGGCTGTTCTGTACTTGAAATGTGATTAGTGTGGTTAAGAAATATTTTTATTTCATTTAAATGCAATTAATTTCTATTTAAATTTAAACAGCCATATGTTTCTACTGGCTACAGTATTAGACAGCTCAGCCTTAAGAATCTACTTATCCCTATGTACCTTTTCATCCACATATATCTAAATGTAACCTGGAAAGGTTGATTGTCAAGTGGTGTTTGACATTTCCTTGTTAATTAAGGTCTCACAAGAAGTATCTAAACTCGAGCTTGGTATCTATCTTTGGGTCAAAGACTTCTGCTGTATAGTCTAGGGAAACTGGAACATGTTAATCATAATTATTTCAAAGTCTATATGTGGTATGGACCTGGAGTTTTCCTTCTTGGGACATGTTTATAAGCTCTACCATTTAATAACTATAGGTTTTCTGTTAACTAGATCGATATTTTATTTTTCTCAATTTTATAACTTGTAACATTATTTTCATTTTTATTTACTATTGAAAAATTTATCTCCTCCTGACTTTTTCCTGATTCATGGATTATTTTTTAAATGTTATTTAATTTCTAAATATTTAGGGATTTTTAAAGATATCTTTTTTATTAATGACTTCTATTTTAACTTTGTTGTGGTCCTAGAATATACTTATATTATTTCAACCTTATATAAGCATGACACAATAATGAAAACCAGGAAGATAATATTGATATATTACTACCAGTGAATACTTGGCCCCACTTCCCAATTGTCTCAATAACGTATTCACAGAAGGATGATTCAGTTCAGAAATAATATTACATTTTTGTTGCTTTACTAGTGAATTTCACCACATATAGAAGAAAGAACTACTATAAGTCTTACACAAATTCTTTAAAAAAAATAGAGAAAGGATACTCAACTCATTTCACTAAACCAGCAAAATCCTGATAACTAAACCAGCCAGGGATATTACAAGAAAAAAAAATTATACGCTCATATCTCTCATGAATGTATCGGTTGAATAAAACAGTTGGTACATTTATGAGAAACAATTATTTGCAGGTAAAAACAGTTGACTCCCTGAATAAACTTTCAGAAAATCATAGAGGCTGCTCTGCCTATGGAGTAGCCATTCTTTTATTCCTTTGCTTTCTAAAAACAAAACAAAACAAAAACTTGCTTTCACAATAAAAGAAAATATTCATAGAAATTTGAGTAGGTTGATAAAAATAAACCTGTATATGGGCAAGGACCAGAAGAGAGTCCAAAAGCAATCAGTTGTGTAAGAGTATTCACACTAGGTGGTTGCTTGCTTTCTTGGAATTGTACCTATATCATTTACAAACAATAATATACTTGGTGAAATGAAATATTTAAATTTGAAGTAAAATTTATATAACATAAAATAAAGAAAAAAAATTATGTGTGATAACTGCAATATCTGAATAAGTGGGACTATTTCTCTTTTTTAAGGCCTATTCTGTGACAATAAGAAAAGTCTATAAAACTCTCCAGGATTAGAGTTTTTAATTGACCTAAATTAATTTTAATATACAAAAGTGACCAAAAAGCTACATAATCTGCTAAAGATATCTTAGTGAAATTAGAATAGTGTGTCCAAGAAAGCATGGTTAAAATCAATTATAAAGAAAAGATTTTTAAAATCTATTGTAGTTTATATTTTCTCACTGATATACCAATTACCCACCTCTACAATTGGCTGTCCTAACTATTGCCTTTGCTACTTGGAATCTGAATGTGGAAACTTTATTGATCACACAGCTTTTTTCTTTTTAAAATTTTAAACTTTTCTTCCTATTTCTGTTTTCTGGATGTTCTTTAAATTGCCCTGAACCTCTAATCCCACTGGGAGAATATCTACTTATATCCTGTTGAGCAACTTAAAGCAAAGTACTTAAAATAACAGCACAGAAAGAAACCTTGCAAAAATAATCCAGTGTCATCTCTACCTGCCTTCACATTTATATATACATATGTGATTTGCCATGGCAGTACATGGTTTTCTCATGCATTGTTATGCTATTGCAAAAAAGAGATCTTTGATCTCCATGTGTATTGATGAATTAAACATAGTCTGTGCTTACTTTCAAGATGTTATTTAGAGTCTGGAATGACAATTTTCTGTTAGTTTTATTTTTCTAGTTTTAAATTAAAATATAATGTCTTAGTTTTTGAACATCACTCATATCTTGCAATTGAATAAACTTTGGATTGAGAAAATCATAGTGCTAAGAAAGAGTACTTAGTCAATTTCCAAAAGCCTGTATTTTAAGTAATATTACTCATTAGTATTGTTCATAGTATGAATCAAAGCAACAATGAGTCATTATTAAGAAGCAATTACAGATTTCTGGTTTTTTTTCTTAATTATATTTTAAAGCATATCACCAGCCGTGGTTTCAAAATTAATATGAAATATTTTAGTCTACTTCCTGGTTTATTCATCTTTGTCGGTTGCTGCTGCAGATTCAAGGATCAGATCAAATAGCATCTCAAGTTTACAAAATGGTGAACAGAATAACTCAAAAAGATTCGTCATAGCTTTCACATACATATTTAACAATTGTTAACTAAGTATCTTCTATATTAGTAGCAATATTGGACTTACTGATATGATTATTCTTTTGTCTCATTCTGGGTGCAATTGCTCTATGCTCATCATAAAACACTTCAGTATCTCTGCTTCTATGTAACTCATGCTAAAATGCCAGAGTTATTTTTCTAATGTATATGTTTATCTTATAATTGGCTAAGAAATGTTGATGTCAGGAAACCAAGACAGTTAACTAATATCTATAACCTCTGACATTGTAAATGTAGAAAACATTTATCCTCTAAAGAAAATTGTCCCAGGAACAATTTCCCTCTCAATGTAGACAACGTTCAGCTTTGAATATGTGAAATAAAAGTAGGCACTCGGCGTTTGCTGATTTATCAGTTTAACTGAAAAAAAAAATCTCTTATTATATAAGAATGGTATATTGTTTATACCAGTTATAACTACTTATAAGTGGTAATAAATGTACTTACAGATGGAACTAATAAATCTATTGTCTCGTTGTTAATTGACTTTCATGAAAATCATTCTGTAAATCTAACTATAACTGGCTTAATTTTATATTTATTGGCTACAAGTCTTAGCTAGTCAGAAACAAAGGAGAAACAGTTAAAGCAACTCATCTCAGAAGTCATCAGCCTATGTTAAATTGTAAAACCTTCTATAAATCATATGACCTACTTTTATTTAAGATATCTAATTGATGGCTAGCAAATGGAATTGCATTTTCAAGTATTGTGTAGGTCTAGAAACATAGTTTTGTGTACTAAAATTAAATCTGTGTTATTAAATACGTATGCAATATAATAAAATTTTTGCTTGAGGAAAAACAAACTATGTAAGTGTTGTGTGTTTTATTAAGTGTATTTTTAATTGCAAGGGGTAAAATATTGTTCTAAAATTTGATAGACATTGTTTTACAAAATGCTTCAAGTTTTTCACTGAAGTTTGGTAGCTTGAGGGCTCTGTCAGATTGAAAAATGCCAAGACCAGGAGACTGAGACTGAATAGATATTCAGCCTGCCAGACTTGTGTGTGTATTAAAAGAATAAATACATCTTGCCTGGTCAATCATAGCATTGCGATTATGAGTGATAAGTACTCGGTCATATAGGAAAAACAGATGAAGTTTGAAAAGGATAACTGAGCATGTATGACTAAAAACATGCCACAATAACAGAAACTTTCAGTCTACAAGGTCATTTTTCTGCATTATCTCATGTGCTTTATCTCTATATAATTATCTGTGACTGATTTGCAAACCAAAAAGATTGTTTTTTATAAAGGCTACATTTCTGCATTTCATAATAAAAGATGTTTTATGATTGAAGTGTTAATATATAAGTAGTTATTAAGATTTCTTTAAAACTAAGATTTATTTAAAACAATGTCTAATCATATCTTTGACCTTTCTTTTTGTTGATATTTTGCAGTGAGGCCCACAGTAATTGAAACTGATGTTTATGTAAACAGCATTGGACCAGTTGATCCAATTAATATGGTAAGTAAGAAATATTAAAAATAATAACTGCCACAGAGATCTCTCGTGTATACCTCCAAAATAGAATTCGCATGTGAGTAATTTTTTATAGTTAATTCTGAATGAATTCAGATCAACATGTACAATTACTTTGTGCCAGGTATTGGCAACTGGAGCTAAACTATACCTGTATCTAAGAATCTGTATCTTGTTATTCCAATGTGCTGTGTTTGGTAGAACTATGCAACGGCATAACAAATTATCATCTGATCCACCAAGAAGAGGTCCCTGAAGAAATCTGGAAAGAAAAAAAATCAGGAAGTCTGAGGGGAAAGTAGTCAATCAGAGAAAAAAAAGACTTACTGGCAGAGAAAGCAGCATGCACAAAGTCACAGAGGAATGAAACAGCCTGATAAGATCAGGGGGACTTCCAGCAATTTGATGTTACTGGAATATAAAGTGTAAAGTAAGGAATTGAGGCAAAAGGGATATTTAAGGATCTTATCAAGGACAGTCTTGTAAGCCATCATAATAGGAAGCTTGTAAATTGTATTATGTATAAATTGTATCCCTTGGGAGAAGATAAATGACAGGAAACATTTTACCAGGGGAGTGTCAAATGCAGATGTACATTTTTAAATACATCTCTCTTATAGCAGTATAGAAGATGGAGGTAAGAGTCCAAGTTAGGGTTACAGAGACCCATTACAGGTTATTGTGTTAGTCTGGACAATAGATCTTCAAGGGCTTACCTACTGCAGTTGCAATCAAGCTGGAGATGAAAATAATACATTTTTTTCAAAATAGGTAATTTTTTGAGAATTTGGTGACTTATTAATTATGTGTAACCTGACTCCAAGGTATTGAAATGAAGAGACTTTGAAGATGGTAGAGTCATTATCAGATGTAGGAATACAGTGCAGGCCTATGTACCCCAAATGCTCATGGTGCATTCAGCAGGAATGGTCCAGCAGCATTTTGCCTTATAGATTTGCTATCAGGGAAGAAGTTAGGACAAAATATAGATGTAGATGAGAAAGAGAAAGGAGACAAGCAGTATATAATAAAGCTCAAGACATTAAGAATGTGTGAGATGATCTAAGAGAAGATTCAGATTAAGAAGATCACAGATCTGAGGACCAGATGGTGTAATGAGATGAATGTATGTAAAATATAGTTGCAAGAAAGAGAAGCACAGAAAGGGGACATATTCAGAAAAGTCAGAAGGGTAGGAGCAAAACCGAGAGAAGATGATATTATAAAATCTGAGAAAGTAAAGAGGATAAAGAAGGAGGGAATGATAATGAGTTACAAATGCACATGAGAATACAATAAAATGGATTAGATAGTGATAACTGGCATTCACAAGTAGGTGGTGTTGATTAGCTTTGTTAGGAGAAATTCAGTTGGAATGGTGAAGGCAGGAAAGGGATAACAGCTGGATTGCATATCCCTCCTTCATCTTCAAAATTGATCTCATGTCCAAACTTTTTGCCATGGATCCCTGAGAATAAATATGGTTCCTGCAGGGATAGTGATGTAGTCATGTGCTGGTTTCTGGGTGCTAGGGAGTGAGTGGGAATGTAGATTTAATTTTATAAACTACTATTTTGAGAAACATGGCTTAGAAGAAGATGAGATAAGAGTATGGGAGTAGAGAAGGTAGAGGAGAGAAGAAGAGAAATAAGGGAGGGAGAGATAATTTGAGAAAATATCAAGAAAAGACCATTTAGAATGAAAACTGAGAAAGTGTGATATTCATTTTTTATGTTTTATACATAGAATAAATAGTGTTTTATTACTAATGAAGAGCAAAATTAACAATGCCAATATGAGCAACCAGCATTATTTTAAAAAAGACTTCATAATGTTCAGTTCCAAACGCTAATAATCCCATTTCTGTGAGTTCAAACTACTGGATCCCATGGAATGCATTCAATAATGTCTTCTACTCCTCTCCTTCGCTTTTGCCTTTGGTATTTGTTCACTAGGGTTGCCACAACGAAGTAGCACAGACTGGTGGTTTAAGCAACAACAATCTATTTCTTGCAGTTATAGAGGCCAGAAGTCCAAGATCTATGTCATTGGCTTGCAGACAGCTGCTTTCTCACTGTGTCCTTACATGGTCTTTTCTCTGTGCCTGTGCATCCCTGATATCTCCTTTTGTATCCAACGTTTCTCTTCTTATCACAAGTCATATTGTATTAGGGCCCACCCTAAAAGCCGCATGTTGACTTTAAATGCTCTGCCTTTAAATATAGTCACATTCTGAAGTTCTCGGGATTAAGTCTTCAACATATGAATTTAGGGGGTTCAGCCCATAAGACTTCCAAAGATAATTCTCAAATATCTTGCTGATTTTCCTCTTCATTTTATTTATTCAATATTATAATAGTCAAATCATCCCTTTATTACAGGCTTTACCACTTTATAGCTGGTGAACCTTTATAATATGCCTAACAGTTGCCTATGTCTGCTTACTCCTTTGGTGTGACAGTCACACTCAGTTTTTCTCCTACTCAATGTAATCTTCACATGACTCTCATTAACTTTTACAGCTGTCTGCACTGATTACTGTAGTGATAGCATTCTAGCCATGCCATAAGTGACATCTTTGTCACATTAGTGCAAGAAAATATGAACTGGCTGTGGATAAATTGAATTTGAGAGGATGAAGGAATGTTCCAATAGACTGACCTAGAAGTTAGTCTTAAATTAGGGGCTAAGATTCAGGGAAAAGTTGAGGCTGGGGCCAAATCTTTGTCAGGAATTTGCTAAACCTCTGTGAGATGGGGGAAAACAGCCTTAAAGTGAAGAGAGAAGAACAAAGAAATGAATAGCAGACCTTAGGGAACACATGTATTTAAGGACCTGAAAGATGAAGCTGAGATAGTAAATGAAACATCAAGGTTGGCAAGAAAGTGACAAAACAATGACGTGGAAACCAAGGGAAGAGAAAGTTTCAACAAATCTTTTTAGTATTAGTTCTACTCAAACAAATTACTATACAATAAGCTGATTTTTGCAAACAGAAAACTTTTAATATACACGTGTAATAGGTGCATTTTTAACAATATGCAAATATCAGATTTCATAAAGTAGTACATTGCTAAAATGTTATATTTCTTCTTTAGTGGAGTATTGTAATGTTTAGTTTCTAAGTAACCAATGCCTAGAGAAAAGAAGCCTGTTTGAGCATATGGGAATGTTGGCATTTTCATGAATTGTATATTTTTCGTTTGGGGTTTATGTTTTCAATTTGCATGAATATATTAAATAAAAATATGGTCATTAAAGTAAAGAGAAACAAGATTCAAGGATGTATTGGTATTCTAGAAACACTTTGACAAGAATGGCTATCACAGACTTTTACAATGATCTTCCTATATAAAAGATTAATGGTATTAAAGATTTAGTTTCCCCAGTGGAGCAAATTACACACTTGTAACCTTCAACAGTGATTGTTTAAAAAAACCTAATTAAATAAAATTGCTATTGAAACTAGTGATACTAAAACAGGTGAAAATAAACAAATAAAAGAACCCCATGGAACACTTGATAATGTTTATTAAAAAGAAAAGCATTGTGATACTAGGGATGAATAAGAAATAGGTTAAGTAGAAGACTATTTTAACTAAACAATACAGGGAAATTAGAATTCACTTTTCATAAAATGAGCAAAATTGCTTTGAATGTGAGTGTAATCAAGGAAGCAGATTTGAGCATATTTAAGCAAGAGGGTGCCACCCCCTTAAGTACTCATATAATTTAAGTGACCAGTAAGAAACAAAATTAATATATTAGTTTTTTTTAAGTTAGCCAAAATTTGTTTTGCTGCAAAATGGGTGTTTCTTTTTAAACTTGGATACATAAAATGCATTTCCATAGATTTCTGAATAATGCCTAAAACGACATTATTCTACAATGGAATATGCTTTTCTTTTTACAGTCAAAATGAGTAACAGATGCACTAATGAAGACTGGGGAAAAATAGAGTAACTTGGAAAGAAGCTGTTCAATTTTATATATGGTTTGATTATAACTATCTTCAATATAAGCAGAAGAAAAATATGCAATCAGAATTGAAGTCAAGAACATGTTACTAGAGTTTATGAGACAAAATGGTTATAACCTCGTAACTTTTCAGATTTGGGGGATATTATGTATCTTTACTCTTCTGAGTAAATATCTCACGGTGTTGGGTACCCTCTGACTGGCAAGTACAACACTCAAGGGCCATAGCAATTCTTTAAAGCCAAGTCAAAATTGGTAAAAGCTCCAGGAAATTCAAGATGATATTATGGGTATCTAACAGGAGGCTACAGTATAAGATTAGTAAGTACAAAAGTAGCTACCACTAAAAATTCCAGGTATAATTTGGACATGAATTTAATTGTAGGAACTGGTATACCCTTATATAATCCAATATTAAGAGATGACTAATATAGAAACTTTGAAAGTGAGGGACAAGGAACAACTAATAAAAACTACTTAGATCCCAGTTCGCATCTGCAGAACTTAATTTAAATATTTTCCAATCGCAAAAGTGATATATCACACAGTCCTAGAATATACTTCTGAAACTAGATAGAATCTTCCTGCTGGAAATTGAAACTGGGTAGAATCTTCCTGCTAGAAATTCTGATTCCTCTTAGTAACGGAGACAGGGCTGAGGAACAAGGGCACCAGTTACGAAGACGACAATTTAAAAAGGAGCTGGGAAGTCACCTGGGCTATACTTCAAAATAAGTGCATGCTGGAGAGGACTACAAAGGGGTGAGCAGTAGGCAAAGAGGATCAGGCTAACTTAGCAAATGACAGAATGCTTTCATTCTGGCCTGTGCAGAAATATGTAACAGGAATGCCCATTTTCAGAATCTTTTTTAACAGAAAACGAAAATCGAATTGCTTTCTACAAAAGGAAAAAAAAAAAACAAAACTTTTTAAACAAAAATGTATGTGGAGCTACAGAAGTCACAAACATTATTTATTATAGAATGTAAATGAGGGATTTTTCTCAATAATATTGTTTTTCCTTTATTTAAGTGAAATGGCCAAGTATCCAACCTTAATGTAGATAGGCTATGATTACTAACCCATAAAAAACTAGAAAAAATTGTAACCAATTCAAGACTGTCTACCTTGAGGTATCTATCTTGAAGTGTCAAAAAATTCAAAAAATTTTTTAATTTGTTTTATAAAAATTCAAAATATTCACTTTCAATATTTGACCAAAATCTATGGTCAAATAGCTTTAAGAGGCAGTTCAAAATGGTGAGAACTGACTTTTAAGTAAGCCTCTTTAACTTTTCAAACTCATTTTGATAATAAACTCTCAAGACATATAACTTGTATTTAAGCATTCTAAACATATGGAGAAAACTGGTGCTCATAGAGATATTCTTTCCATATAATTTATTCCATTGCAAGAAACACATGTTTCTAGGGTGGTTCATGCAATTGGTTCCGGCATTCCATAGGCTGATCTCTTTCTCACCCTCTCTTTTTCTCCCTGCCACCCTCCCTTTCTCTGTCCCTCTCTCCCTTGTATGTTTCTGGGCTTCTAGTTTTAGGAGATAAAACCTTTAGCTATAGTTTCTACACATCAAAGAAACCCTTTTTATTCATTTTACTATATTAACTGGAAAGAGGCAATTCTTGCCAAGTACATTAGCTTGAAGAATTTTGAAATGGCAAATGCTTGGAAATAAGATTTTGTTTGCTATTTAGATAACTGACCTGCATATGCCAATGGTGGGGAAGAAAAAGGTATTAGTCTTCTTAGATGTGATTAATTGCAGTACTTTAGGAAACACATTTGTATTTTTAAAATCTATTATAAGTTTATTTTCTTGGTGTTTGCAGTATTTTAAAGCTTGAAACTATGGTTTTAATTTCTTTTCTTCTGCATATATTAACTTTTTGTCACTACATAAAATATATTTTTTAACAGATCTTATTTTAAAATAATAAAAAATTTAGTTACTTTTGATTCAACATTTATAGAGAAAAAATTAAATATTAGAAATAAATAAAAGTCATTTTCATCGCTGTTTCTTTTATCCAGTGTGTTCATTGACTCTATAAATATGAAGTGAAAGTTCCTAGTATTAGGAAATTAGATTAACCTTAGAATCTCTAAAAATTATCAAAATAATTTTATTTCTTAATTCAAATACACATTTTATATGTATATATATATTTCATTGTTTTATTTGTCTGTCATATATTTATTTACCATTTATTATAGTGACAATTGGTTCATTGTTAAAAAAAGATATCAGAAAAGATATGTCATCCTTTCTTCAGAAGACATAAAACCTAGCAGGGAAGATGACTAAAAATGCAAATTAGACTGAGAGAGAAGGGAAAAGGCAAAAAAAATTCTGTGTGTGAAGTTATACCTATTTTAAATTGTAAATGGTGATCCTAATGCTATTTTCTTCTAAAGATGTTCTTCATAAAAATAGTTTTTTATTATAAAAGAAATACATACTCAACCAAGAAAATTAGAAATTTAATTTAGATAGAAGAAAAAATTTAAAATATCCTGAAATATTATATCTAGTGGTCACCATTGTTATGATCATAACTTTATGTACATAGTTTTACCCAATGCTTTATTAACCTCACTGTTTTATAGTATTATGTTTTTCTATGTGTTATACTATGTCATTACTTTTTTTAAAAATATTTTATTGCTATTATTATACTTTAAGTTTTAGGGTACATGTGCACAACGTGCAGGTTTGTTACATATGTATACATGTGCCATGTTGGTGTGCTGCACCCATTAACTTGTCATTTAGCATTAGGTATATCTCCTAATGCTATCCCTCCCCCCTCCCCCTACCCCACAACAGTCCCCAGTGTGTGATGTTCCCCTTCCTGTGTCCATGTGTTCTCATTGTAAATAATATGCAACATTTAACGGATTTTTTAAAAGTAATGATATACTATGTCATTACTTTTAAGAAATCCGTTAAATGTTGCATATTATTTAGTAATGAATTATTTTACATGTGGAATAGTTCCAATTTGCTGTAATTAAGAGTAATATTATTATTAAATATTTTAGCCACCATTATTATTTCTTCAGGCTATATATATACACACCCTAGACCTCTCAGATTTTGGTCAAATATTGAAAGTGAATATTTTGAATGCCTAGAAAACAAATTCAAAAATTTTTTGAATTTTTTGAAACTTCAAGATAGATACCTCAAGGCAAACAGTCTTGAATTGGTTACAATTTTTTTAGTTTTTTATGGGTTAGTAATCATAGAATGTTGTAGAATGTACTGCTTGGTAATTCTGGCCTCAGGGCAGGTTTGTGGGCAATGTTCTGACAGAATGAATGTCTAGTTTGCTTCAGCTCATGACTATCATAAATGTACTTAAAACTTGGTTTTTGGCCTTGCTTTAACTGGCTGCTCCAAGTCACTATTCCAAATCTCAGATGTTATAGCTGATTCAAACATACTCTTATGATTCCTAATTTTTTACACCTTTATTTACCCATTTATTTATCAGAAAAGAGTGACTTTGCTAATAATAAAAACACACATCCAACCATACATATCTAAGAAAAAGTAATTTAGCATATATATATATATATATATATATATATATATATATATATATGAACATGACCTAAGATAAATTTAGGTAGTTCATATTTTGTCATGTTAGGAGATTACATTCTAAAACTGTGTAGAGATACATATGTTAGTTGAATGTTAAAAACCAAAATTTCCTTAAATGTACATATGCATACACGCACAAACACACATATTTTCATATAGATTTTAGTATAAAGAGCTACTGTTTAGAAAAATGGTAGCCTCCATGATTCAGATTGAAGAGTCCTAGACAATTTTTCTCATCTGTAGATTTTTTAATTTATAGGATTGTATGGGGTACAAGTATAATTTTGTCACATGGATAGGTTGTGCTGTGGTGAAGTCAGGCTTTTAGGGTAGCCATCATCACAATAATGTACATTTACCCGTTAAGGAATTTATTATCTTCCTCACCACTCTGCCACTCCACCCTCCTGAATCTCCATTGTCTCTCATTCCACACACTACATCCATGTGTACAGAGTTTTACGTTCCCACTTATAAATGGAAATATTTGTATTTATCTTTCTTTATCTGAGTTGTTTCACTCAATGGCCTCCAGTTCCATCCATGTTGCTGCAAAAGATATTATATAAACTCCAAAATGCACTTAAATGTCCTGGAATTCTGCAATTAGATAGAATTTTCTTTATATAGCAAGGACCTTTCTTTCTTTCTTCTTTTATTTGATTTTTTAAATTTTTTGTAGATATTTACACCCTGGTAAAGAAATGGAATATAAAGCCATAGTTTTTCAAACCTTCATAACCCCAAATGATAGACAGGAAAAAGGCAATTTTGTGAAAAAGAAAAAACCAAGTTCTCAGGCCAGGGGATTCGGATACAGTAATCTCAGATGGAGTCCTGGAATTAGAATTTTGAAAATGCTGGCTGGGCACAGTGGCTCACGCCTGTATTCCTAGCACTTCAGGAGGCCGAGGCGGGAGGATCACCTGAGCTCAGGAGTTCAAAACCAGCTCGGGCAATACAGTGAGCTCTTGCCTCTAATTTTTTAAAATAAAATTCTAAGTAAAATTTTAAAATAAAATGTTCAAAGTAAAAAAGTTAAAAATTAACAAAAAGAATTTTGAAAGTGCTTATCAGAGAATTCTAGTCAACCAGGTTTGGAGATTACTAGTCTAGGCCATTTTCACCTATAAATTTAGTAGGGATTAGGTAGGATTAAAGGAAAGTAAACAATGGTACTTACGGACTGAAAGTATTTGTATGAGGAAGAGTCATTGAAAGAAACCGTGTTCATCTTAGGCTTTATCCCTCCTTATAGGTAGGACTTTTTAAAATATATATATATTAATTTCTAATATTTTATAATGTTTTCATGATCATAGAGTCTTAGAGCTGGGAAATATAATAATTATGATCTTGCCTTTTGCCCACATTTCGCCAATAAGAGTGTATAAGTGACTCAGTCAGCACCCTACTCTAGTAAGTCTCAGAATCAGAATTATGACAAAATTTTCCCATTCCATCCAATCAGTGTTCTTTGTACTACACATTACTCTTACTGTAATGCATACTTTGGATATATTCAGTATTTGTTCTATTGATTATCTGGAAAGTATTTAAAATTATGTACGTAATTAAAAGACAATACCTTATCCCTTATTCAATGTGTTATTTTTATATCTAGCAAAGGCTTAAAACAATGTAGTAAAGGTTTGTCTTAGATTGGCAATGAATTTGAACTAACACCAGCTGCTCTTCAGTTTAATTAAAATGTGAAGCAGAGAAAACTTATTTAAATATCTTGACTTCGGACATTTTGTTATAATAAAAATTGTAACAAATTACCATAACTGAAATTGTTAAAACTGTATGATAAGCCTTGGATTTCCTGGTAGGGGTACCTAGCTTTGTGACATGTGCAATAGGATTCAAACTCCTCAGGTAAACAGAAGCAGCAAGTGCTTCCGACAGCAGTGCAAATAATGCCCCACTAGCAGGATACAATGTTGGAAAGTTTTTCATTTTCTGCAGCTGGACTGTGGACAACAGTAAGCATTTTATAAACTGGTAATAATATAAATAATTTAAAACATGAGTCACGTGGACTATTTCTAAATATATCATTTCCAAATATAGTGTTCTCTCTTGCTCAGATGGACAGACTAATTCAGACATCAAGAAAATATTTTTAGTACAGGGCAGTCACAGATGTAGAAACACTTTTCCCATTCAGATCATACAGCAATTAATCTAGCTGTTTAGCACTGAACCAATCTATAACAAATGTTGCACATGTGGATAGAAAGCAAGTTTGCCTATTGGCTATGAAGCTTTTCTAGGAAGCAGAACCTTCATCTGAATATCAATCATTTGTCACAGAGAACTTCTTATCATGCTGTTAATTGGTAATAAACTGTAATGGGGAAGTATAGTTTGAGTGTGTTTATACAATAGTCCCTCCTTATCTGTGGTTTTGCTTTCTGTGGTTTCAGTTACCCATGGTCAACAATGATCCAAAAATAGGTGAACACAGTACAGTAAGATATTTTGAAAAGAAGGTAGAGATCACATTCATAGAACTTTCAGTACAGTATTTTGTTATTAAAATTATATTGTATCATTCATTGTTGTCAGTCTCTTATTGTGCGTAATTTATCAGTTGAACATTATCATAGGTACTTATGTATAGGAAAAAACATGGTATATATAGGGTTCCCAACTATTCAAGATTGCAGGCATTCAATGGGGATCTTGGAATGTATCCCCATGAATAAAGGGGATCTTTTGTATATTTGTTACCATACTATGTTTCATACTTAGGAAGCGTGCTCCATGCAAGTTAGACTTATTCAATCATTTATTCATCCAAATAACCCACAGTGATAACATAGATACAAATGCCATGAAAGTAAAAAACAAGATAAAAGAAAGGTAAGTATGAAATAAGTGACCAAAACTACTAATTGTCAAAATATAAATTTCATTTCTCTGGTTTAAAAATTTTTGCCTCATATGGATGACCTGAGTTACGGTAAAGAGTTTAAAATTGTGGAGTACATGATCAGAATCTCTTACACGTTCTATGATCTTGGAAAGGCTTCCTTGTATCTCAATTAAAATGAGGGAAAAGCAGGAAAAAATGAGAAGATAGAGCTTGGCAATATAGAATAGTCACTGGGCAAAAACAATTTGATGGAATCTGGAAAGCAAATGAAAATATTGTGAAGGGAATTACATTAGCTTTCCCTGCTTAAATGAAAGGCTATCAAATATATATTTATTTAAATTTAATAAAGGTTTATGGAAACATTTCTAATTTATCAAAAATAGTAGGCATGTTTTTGGATAATTATTTTTTAAATTATTTTATGGCATATGACAACTCTTGACATAAACTAACTTCATGAAATTCTTTACTCTTTTGCCAGATTGCTAGATTTTAAATAAAAATTATATTATCATAAATATATCTAAAATCTGTCAAATATTAGTATTTTTACTAAGAACTGCTCCGTTTTAAATCAGTATTGAATCTCAGCAGAGGCAAAGTAAGTTTAAAATAGGTTTAAAAAACAGGTAAACACACTTCTATTATATCTCACTTAATTAAAAAATTCATCGCACATGCGAAGCTAGCATCACAATGGTTTTTCTGCCCTTATTTTCTTGAAACATCACTCAATACTCTTATGTTTTCAGTGTAGATCACTTCTTTTCAGATTTCATGGTCATTCAGATCAAGTTCAAAGTGCAGAAAAATAAACAGAGACAATAATCTATAGGTAATGGATTTTTAATATATTACATCCACTCAATTGAGAAATATGAAGCAAACTTCAGAGAGACCAAGAGATGGAACAAAATGACAAGAATACAGATTTTCATAGAGAACATGAGATGGAGGAATATGTTCCTTCTTGCCACAGTATAAATTGTCCCTTGTCTGGAAAAGAAACACATGGATAATTTTTATAAAAGCGTTCTCAATCCATGGGTGTCTATTCCTACTGTTAATAGCTCTGTGATGGTTAATTTTACATGTCAACTTAGCCAGGCTATGGTGCCCAAATACAGTTATGTATCACTTAATGACAGAGACACATTATAAGAAATGTATCTTTAGTCAATTTCACCATTGTGGAAACATCACAGAATGTATTTACACAAACCTACATGGTATAGTCTACTACATACTGTGGCTGTATCATATAGCCCAATGCTTCTAGGATACAAACCTGTAAAGAATATTATTAAACTGAATGTCACAGGTAATTGTAACACAATAAGCATTTGCATATCTAAACATACCTAAACATAGAAAAATACAGTAAAAATATGGTATAAAAGATAAAAATGGTATACCTGCATAAGAGGCTTATTACTGAAGGCTTGCAGACAGGGAAGTTGCTCTGGGTGAGTCAGTGAGTGAGTGGTGAGTGAATGTGAAGGCCTGGACATTACTTTGCACTACTTTAGACCTTATAAACACTGTGCACTTAGAATACACTAAATTAATTTTTTAATTTCTTTCTTCAATAACAAATTATTATCAGCTTACTGAATTTTTTATTTTATAAATTTATTATAAGTTTGACATTTTCATAACAGCTTAAAAACATTTTACAACTGTACAAAGTATTTTCTTTGTGTCATTATTTTGTAAGCTTTTGCTTTTTTCAATTTTTTTTTTAGCTTTTTCAACATTTTGTTAAAAACTAAAAATCCTACACATTAGTCTACATGGTCAGAATCATCATCATTACTGTCCTCCACCTCCACATCTTGTCCCACTAGAAGGTCTTCAGGGGCAATAACATGCATAAAGCTGTCATCTGATCTGATAACAATACGTCGTCTGGAATACCTACTGAAGGACTTGCCTGAGGATGTTTTACAGTTAACATATATAATGGTACATATACATATTGTATACAAATACATAAATACATCATATACATTACATTATAATATATTTATATATTATATATATAACATATGTGTGTGTATTTTCATTTATGTATTTATTATGCTATACTTTCTGTCATTTTACAGTTAACATATATATGTGTTATGTATATATATAATACAGTTAACATATATATTTGTTGTGTCTGTGTGTGTATAAAGTAGAAAGAGGATAATCTGAAATAATGATAGAAATTATTGTATGGTAAATATGTAAACCAGTATTAAGTTAGTTATTTATTACCATTACCATTACCAAATACTATGCACTGTGCATAATTGTGTGTATTATACTTTTAAACAACTGGCAGCATAATAGGTTTGTTTATATCAGCATCACCAGAAAGACGTAAGTAATCTGTTGTGCTAGGACGTTAGAATGGCCACAACATCACTAGGTGATGGGAATTTTTCAGCTGCATTGTAATTTTATGGTACCAACGTTGTACATCATTGACTGAAAATGTCATTAGGCAGTGCATGACTGTATTTGGCTAAATTCCAGTTCAGATGTTGCTGTGAAGGTATTATTTAGATGTGATTCACATTGAAATCAGTAGTTTTTGAGTAAACAGTTTACCCTCTATAATGTAGTTGGGCCTCAACCAGTCAGATGAGCACTTTAAAGATTGACTGAGGTTCCTCTAGGAAGAAGAGACTCAGGCTGCAGACTGCCTTTGGCTTCAAGACTGAATCATAAACTCTTCCCTGGCTCCCTAACTACCAGTCTTCCCTGCACATTTTGCACTTTCCAGCCCCTACAATATCACATGATTCAACTCTCTTTTCCCTTTCTCTCTTTCATCTATCTATCCCTCTACCTATCAGTCAGCATCTATATGCCCACCTATTTATCCCGTTGGCTGTGTTTCTATGGAGTACCTTTACTAATACAAGCTCACAAGAATAGCTTGCTCCAAACCCAGAATTCAGGTACTCAGGTACTATATATATTCCAAGGTCTGGAAGCTGACCTTGTCCTATTTTATTGTAACTTCTTAAGAACTGGGAGTTCATTCATAGGGTTTATAAAACCCTACAGATTGCATTACTTCATGGTCTATTTTATATAGTTTAACTGTTCTGTGAATATAATGTTTGATATTTTACTCTTTTGATTTTTATACAGAATATTATATAATATATATTCTGGAAATATAGTTATATATTTCCAGTAGGAAATGTTGATTGAGCATGATGCAGAAAATTAACACATGAAGTGCTAGGATTTTCAGTTCATTATTCTCAGTGCAGTGTTCAGAGCTGTTTCTAGGCTGCAGGGTCAATCATTGGAAATTGGTAATTTTAGATAATAGTTGCTAAAAAGCTCTTCCAGATGTAGGATACCCTGTGTATTTGAGGAATGTACATTCCCTGACATACAGAAGATGTCTACTTTTTCATTATATATGGCTTGCATTCTTTATTTTCCATCCCGCCCTGCCCTTTACTGCCTCTTTGTCCTCTCCCTTCCCTCCACCATTTACTAATTGGTGCATAAATCAAAATATTTCCAAATCTTACAGGTTTCAGGTTAAATGCAACATCTGTCGTGAAATCTTTCTTAAGTTCCCCTAACTAAAAATAATCTCTACTATTTCTATTTCTCTTTATACCCCTTCTACATTTTATTAATTTCCAATTTTATGATGTATATGTTCATACCAAGAAGGTTCCATTTTCGTCTTTGTAAACCAAGTACATTATAAAACTAACAAGAACACTGAAAAATGTCTGCTAAAAATTTAATTGATGAATGCACACGATGCTATGTGCCTTTGGCAATCTACATTCATAGATATAAAAAGAGAGCACAAAGGGTTAGTAGCTGAATCCAGAATATGTGTCTACTTTTTGAATCTCTCTCCTGTATTGCTGATGACTTCAATGATTTAAGCAATTGGCATAACCTCTTTGTTCCCTATTTCTTTTTCTATTTCAAACATAGAATAACACCAAGTTTTGTATTTACCTCTTCCTGCTAGAATTCAGAAGCTGGTGCTTTTACAATAATTAAGCAAACTGGAGCTGATACCTATAAAATTTTACCACTAAAGGTATTTAATTGTCCTATGGATTAGCTGTACTTGTACTTTTTCTCTACATGTCTATAGCTCCATTACTGCTAAAAATTATTAGGTCCACCGTTCTCTTCTGGCCATGTGACTAGACAGTTTTGGAAGAGATTAATGCCAACATAGGAATAATAAATCAGGATCAATCAAATTTTATGATGAAATTATGCACCTAGGTTAATTGCTTTGGCAGGTCTTGAATTTTTTGTGAAGTTTCTCCCATTACTAGAAAGACAGTAATATTGAATTAACTGGTAATTTGAAATGTGAGATACAGTGCTTAATTGCAAACTGACAATGTAGTAATGAGACTGCACTACACACTTATCAATTATTATTTGATTTTATTAAGTTAGGAATCAAAATGGCTCACTTCACATTTATTCACTAATGCTGTTTTGTCAGCTAACTTGCAAGGAGATACAGCACATTTTGTAAAGTACATTGGATGTCAAATTTTAAATGCACTGTTCCTTATCTCAAAATGTTTATCTTAGAAACTCTTGTATTTTCGTTCTGAGTAAACAGAAGTTCGATTTTATGTTTTTCTTTTGCTTATTTCTTGTGTAGATCATTATAACCTGTGAACAGGAACATGAAGTACAAGAGCAGTTTGGTCGTTTGCTGGAAATTACACTAATACAAAACTGGATTTTTTTTTATTACGTGTAACATGGCATAGATTTTAATGGTCTTCTTATTTCAGTGAGGCATTTATTAAAAATTAGCAATTTAAAAGGGCTTATAAGTATTAGCTTCTGCAAAGGGCTTGGGATGGATGGATTATCAAGACATATGCTCTGAGTCTTTCTCTTCTTGATATTAGATTGAGGGGACAACTGTGAGTAGAAAACTTTTTCCATTTCTGATCCTTTGGAAATCATAAGTCTTCCAACAGTGATTAACACTTCCAGAATCAGGGATTTTAAAGAAGGTCCTGCAGCTGCTAAGCAGTATTGACAGCTGCTTTGGAAATCCCAGCCTTAGACAAATTGGTTCTCAAGTGCCACATTTAATGCCCTGTGAATTAGGAATACTGCAGCTAAGTATAACTGCCAAGTAGCATTACATTCCCTCTACCAACCAGTGTTGAATATTTGCCTAGCCGCAATCCTTACTGGTATCTTAAGTAGTTTCTGCTGTTTGATCCTATGCAACAGTACAACATAATTCTGGCAAATAAAGTTGACTAAATGCTCTTTCCAGGGCATTTAGTTTACCATAGTAGAGTTTGAGCCTTCTGTCTATTTGTATTTGCCATTAAAATTAGACATCATGTCATTAGCGTAGGTTACATGGTTAGACTGAATGGTTAGTCATTTGTGTCAGGTGAAGAGGCTGCTTGGCTAAATTATAATTGATTCCAAAGACAAAACATCTGGCCTGAGACACAGGCAGGCAGAGTGGGGATTAATGATAACTTCAGTGAAGTTGTCCAAGAATTTTTCACAAGGTTCAAAGAATAGGTACACCAGTGATGTTGTGTATAAGGGTCTCTTGGACCTCCTAAATGCATGCACAATTTATGTGTTACTCCATTAATATTACTCAATAAGATGATTAAACATCTACAGCGTAAATACGAATTACTATGTATTATGGGATGCGGTTTGCCTTATGACTCAGCCTGTGCTTTAAACACAGTATATAAGCAAGGGTGTGGCTATCAGATTTATAAGGCTTACATGGTTGCAAAAGTACTTTCAGTCCATATTCCACAGCACAGTTTGATCTGTGCCATCCCATATTAAGTTGCAAAAAATAAAATTTTAATTATCTCCCTAAGTTACTCTAGCACAGCAATCAAAATTATGTAAAGAGAGGGTCATGATGCAAGCATTTTTGTGCACAAAAACTTCATATTTTAAATCCATTCAAAACAATGACTGACATAATATAGATGTTAAATATATAGGTAGACTATTGAATGATTACACATTACTTCATTATATGAATAAATTATTCAGAATTATAAGTGTATATATTTTAAGCCCTTTATAAAACATACATCTCATACTCAATTACATAGTTTCTGGTACCTATTGGATTTTAAATAATTATTATGTATATGCTTTTCCAGAATTGTAACACTGTTCATCAAAAATAGATAAAATGAGGTAGCTTCTCAATTTATTTTTATATTCCAGTTAAGCAAATTGTAATTATAAGTAGTATGCCTGGAACCTAGGATTTGATCCAACTTCCCTATAAATAAGTTGAATCTAGTTTGTTTACTTATGAACCACTTGTAATTTTTTTTTCCATTTTTCATTTATTGGCCACTTCCCCAATTGTACTTCCATTTCTTATATTAAATATTTTCCTTCAGGAAAATTGGCCAATTGCTAATACGACATCAAGTGCAAGTAATCAATCTCTCCCACCAGAAGTAACTTATATAATACCTATTTTTCAATTTACTTATTCTTTTAAATATCAAAAGTATATACATACACATGCAAACATACATACACACACATATATACACACACATATATACACGCACACATAAATATATATAGTACATATATATAATATATATGTATATTTATTTCCTTTCCTCTATGGCATTGATTACTGCTGCATTCTTGTTCATTTTATATATGTTAAATGCCTGTAATATGGCAGACATTTTGTCAGGATACAAAGGTAGATAATATCTAATCATCTACTCTTGAAGGTTCTCTGTTAATTGTGGAATTTCCTAATTACAGTTACTATGGACAAAGGCTTTGCTCTAACCTTGGAACCCATCAGACTTCACTATAACCACCATTATATGCATTTGTTATGGATGTGGACTTGGGATTTAGCCTGCAGTGGCTCAGTTTCCATATCAACTGCTTATTAGTTCTGTGATGTGAGAAGAATTATTTTATATTTCTATTAATAGATGTTACTGAAAAATAATGATTATAGTAGTACATATTTCACAGAGTTGCAATAAAGATTTAGTGAGATGAACATGCAAAGCTCTTAACATATGTTTGGCATTTTATAATTGCTCAGTAAGTTAGTTTGTGGTTGCTTTAAAACATTTAAAAACAGTAGATATAAATAATTGGAATTAACTTTTTAGACAAAAAACAATGTAAGGGCTCTTAAAAAATTTGGTTGTTTTTTGCGTCTAGTTTCTTTTTTGTTTATGTGACTTAAACTGTATGTATAAATTAATATAATTGTTGACATTAAGATAACTTGCTTTTAAGTTTAATGAGTACATCCTACATACTACAAAATCTTGAGTAAAATTCACACACAAAAAATAAAAAATAATAAAGCCAACTGTGCAACAATAACTACTTGAAATCTTGGATTTCATTTTACATGACTCATGCAAACAGAAAGAAAGTTTAGGCCGTGTGCGGTGGCTCACGCCTGTAATCCCAGCACTTTGGGAGGATGAGCCGGGCAGATCACGAGGTCAGGAGATCGAGACCATCCTGGCTAACACGGTGAAACCCCCTCTCTACTAAAAATACAAAAAATTAGCCAGGCGTGGTGGCGGGTGCCTGTTGTCCCAGCTCCTCCGGAGGCTGAGGCAGGAGAATGGCGTGAACCCGGGAGGCGGAGCTTGCGGTGAGCCGAGATTGCATCACTGCACTCCGGCCTGGGAGACAGAGCGAGACTCTGTCTCAAAAAAAAAGTTTAAAATAATGGCATTTTTTTCCTCCGAAAAGACTGAGTTTAACTGTTACTTGCAGAAACTTTACAATACAAAAATTCAAACTTTCGAGAAAAACAACTAAAATAGTAGCTTTACTAATATGTTGTTACTCTTCTTATATTTTAGGAATATACAATAGATATAATTTTTGCCCAAACCTGGTTTGACAGTCGTTTAAAATTCAATAGTACCATGAAAGTGCTTATGCTTAACAGTAATATGGTTGGAAAAATTTGGATTCCTGACACTTTCTTCAGAAACTCAAGAAAATCTGATGCTCACTGGATAACAACTCCTAATCGTCTGCTTCGAATTTGGAATGATGGACGAGTTCTGTATACTCTAAGGTAATATTGGTTTAAAAATCTGTAGTTGCTCTCATTTATTTTCCATACTAATATTTAATCAATTCTTAATTTTTTATTTCTCAAAGTTGCAAAACCAAAAATGTGGAGCTCCTTTCACATGCTAAAATATAAAATGGTGAAATACTTTGGCAATACTTTTTTAAGCTCAGTTATTATTATGTGAAAAGGACTAAAAGCAAAGAGAAAAAATTCTTTGATTTTCTTCCTTTGAAGCAGAACAGGTTGCAGCATAAAGATTATGGTTTTCTTAACCTGCAGTGCAAATAATTGAGTAAGATTTCCTCTAGAAACCCACCCTGCTATAAAATTTTATAATACTCTAATTTTCAATGGTGTAGTAAAACATCCCTAAGAAAGGATTAAATGAAGGTTGATGTATAAGGTTCAAGTTTATTTAACTCATTGACTTAAACATATCTGCTTATTAAGAACCATCCTTCATGGAAAAGATATTCATAATAAACCAAGAGAAAAAATTACCATACTTAACCATTTATAATCTGTTAATCTGCTATGTTTGCATATGTGTGTTTGCTGACATATTGAAGTATGAATTATTATGTGTAAACACAGAGATCATATTGAAATGTATACAGAGGTAACCTAGTTGACTGAAGAGGAAATTGTTAGAATTCTGTCATATATAAATATTATAATATTATTGCTATTTAAGACTTTGAGACTTTAGAATCATTATTATATTCTAATAGGTCACAATCTATTATCATATGACAAAATCTTGTTTTAAAATGAGACAGGAGATTTTTAATGCTTCAAATTATTTATCTTTATTTAATACTTTTCTTTCCATCTAAATAGATTGACAATTAATGCAGAATGTTATCTTCAGCTTCATAACTTTCCCATGGATGAACATTCCTGTCCACTGGAATTTTCAAGCTGTAAGTAACAAAACACTTGATAATTTCATAGAATTTTAACCTTAGAAGCTGTTTATTTAAAAATGAAAAGAAAGAAAATAAAATAGGATTTTCAAAAGTGTGAGTTATGTTCAATTCTTTTAGATAAAATAATTACAAATAATATATTTGCTTCTTGCTTTTAAACTAAAAGTTTACAATAAATGTGTTATGAATGCATATATTTTATTAAAACATTCTTTATAACTTTTAATTTTATTCCAATGCTATTTGCTTATTTTTATTAAATAAAGGAGTATTGAAAATAGGTTTGTATTCAAATGTTTTTACACAGTCCCCAAGAAAAGGTGATTCAAATTATATTCATGTTCCTGGAGGCAAGATTTAACTTTATTACATTAGATTTTGAAATGTGTTTCAAAAATTGGTTAGGCAAATAGTATTTACCATACGAATAGCAAATATTTGAGACTACTTTAATAAGGTAGAAAAACCAAGGTAGAAATAAGTTGATTTAATTAAAAAAGATTGATTCATAGAGAAGTGGTTAGAGGTGAATAATTAGAGTATAAAAACCGGGTATATTCTTATCCTTTGCCCACTTTTTGGTGGGGTTGTTTGTTTTTTCTTGTAAATTTGTTTGAGTTCATTGTAGATTCTGGATATTAGCCCTTTGTCAGATAAGTAGGTTGCAAAAATTTTCTCCCATTTTGTAGGTTGCCTGTTCACTCTGATGGTAGTTTCTTTTGCTGTGCAGAAGCTCTTTAGTTTAATTAGATCCCATTTGTCAATTTTGGCTTTTGTTGCCATTGCTTTTGGTGTTTTAGACATGAAGTCCTTGCCCATGCCTATATCCTGAATGGTAATGCCTAGGTTTTCTTCTAGGGTTTTTATGGTTTTAGGTTTAAGTCTTTAATCCATCTTGAATTAATTTTTGTATAAGGTATAAGGAAGGGATCCAGTTTCACCTTTCTACATATGGCTAGCCAGTTTTCCCAGCACCATTTATTAAATAGGGATTTATTAAATAGGGGAAAGGATTTTCCCCATTGCTTGTTTTTCTCAGCTTTGTCAAAGATCAGATAGTTGTAGATATGTGGCGTTATTTCTGAGGGCTCTGTTCTGTTCCGTTGATCTATATCTCTGTTTTGGTACCAGTACCATGCTGTTTTGGTTACTGTAGCCTTGTAGTATAGTTTGAAGTCAGGTAGCGTGATGCCTCCAGCTTTGTTCTTTTGGCTTAGGATTGACTTGGCAATGCGGGCTTTTTTTTGGTTCCATATGAACTTTAAAGTAGTTTTTTCCAATTCTGTGAAGAAAGTCATTGGTAGCTTGATGGGGATGGCATTGAATCTATAAATTACCTTGGGCAGGATGGCCATTTTCACGATATTGATTCTTCCTACCCATGAGCATGGAATGTTCTTCCATTTGTTTGTATCCTCTTTTATTTCATTGAGCAGTGGTTTGTAGTTCTCCTTGAAGAGGTCCTTCACGTCCCTTGTAAGTTGGATTCCTAAGTATTTTGTTCTCTTTGAAGCAATTGTGAATGGGAGTTCACTCATGATTTGGCTCTCTGTTTGTCTGTTATTGGTGTATAAGAATGCTTGTGATTTTTGTACATTGATTTTGTATCCTGAGACTTTGCTGAATTTGCTTATCAGCTTAAGGAGATTTTGGGCTGAGACAATGGGGTTTTCTAGATATACAATGATGTCGTCTGCAAACAGGGACAATTTGACTTCCTCTTTTCCTAATTGAATACCCTTCATTTCCACTTCTCAAAAGAAGACATTTATGCAGCCAAAAGACACATGAAAAAATGCTCACCATCACTGGCCATTGGAGAAATGCAAATCAAAAGCAGAATGTGATACCATCTCACACCAGTTAAAATGGCGATCATTAAAAAGTCAGGAAACAACAGGTGCTGGAGAGGATGTGGAGAAATAGGAACACTTTTAAACTGTTGGTGGGACAGTAAACTAGTTCAACCATTGTGGAAATCAGTGTGGCGATTCCTCAGGGATCTAGAACTAGAAATACCATTTGACCCAGCCTTCCCATTACTGGGTATATACCCAAAGGACTATAGATCATGCTGCTATAAAGACACATGCACACGTATGTTTATTGCGGCACTATTCACAATAGCAAAGACTTGGAACCAACCCAAATGTCCAACAATGATAGACTGGATTAAGAAAATGTGGCACATATACACCATGGAATACTATGCAGCCATAAAAATGTTGAGTTCATGTCCTTTGTAGGGACATGGATGAAATTGGAAATCATCATTCTCAGTAAACTATCACAAGGACAAAAAACCAAACACCGCATGTTCTCACTCATAGATGGGAATTGAACAATGAGAACACATGGACACAGGAAGGGGAACATCACACTCTGGGGACTGTTGTGGGGTGGGGGGAGGGGGGAGGGATAGCATTAGGAGATATACGTAATGCTAAATGATGAGTTAATGGGTGCAGCACACCAGCATGGCACATGTATACATATGTAACTAACCTGCACATTGTGCACATGTACCCTAAAACTGAAAGTATAATAATAATAAAAAAAATAAAATAAACAAATTTGTTCCACATAAAAACAAAAGAAAACAAAACCAAAAAAAAAAAAATGTAAGTGGTAACTTATGCTATTTCTATATTGCTCAATGTTGTATTTTTAACTCTTCATTCCTGTAGCTGTGTAGTGGTGGTTTACTTTCCTACTGTATAATATCAGTTATATTAAAATGCTTTTATTTATCCTAAAAAAAAACCTGGTATATTCTTTATAGGAAATAATTATAACCTTTCCAGAGCTATATTAATTTTATTTTATATTTACTAACATACATATCCTCACATGTATTTTTATAAAAGTATTTTTCTAGATACATACAATTATCTTAAAAATATGTAAAATGGCTTATAAAAATGTGGTTGCCTTTACCCACAAATTGTCTAATGCTATTTTCTTTCTTTTGAAATTTATTGTTTTCACAGATCACATTCTAGAATTTGGTAGAGTGTAATATGACATTTTATTCATAAGCATAACCCTACTTCTTCACTTACTAAATTTCCACATTTTTTTTTGCCTTTTATTAATGATATTCTTGAATTTTCTTAATGATTTTGTCTCATTAAAGCATTCTTTTATATTAATGATCTACCTCACTGCTTTGATTTTTAAACAGTAACTTTGAAGTGGATAAGACAGCCAAATAGCAACAAATACTTGATTGATAGAATTCAAGGAACTCAAGGAAAAGTTCATATGCAATAATTGATGTAGCAGTTGTACTTCTTCATTCTAGAAGCCATTCTTAAATTTTGGTGTGATAGCTCTCTGGTTTTGATTGTTGTTAATAGTAATTAATCATTTATCTTTGTGAGTTTAATTGGGTGTCAATAGCTAACATATAATAATCATAGCTAATTTTTTTCAGGCACTCTACATGGGTCCAGTAGAGAATTCAGCCATCTGCATCTAATATTTCACAACAAATATGTGTGGAAGATTTCATTGCAGTCCCAATTTTAAAAATTAATATCATGAGATTCAGAGTGGCTATTTAGCCAATCATGTTTATTTGTGCCCACACTACTGTATACTATGTCTATCCTCTATTGACTCTAAAACTTTTTAAAAGTAAAGACAGAAACTATAGAAATCAAAATGGCTACAACCCTAGAGAGCAAGTGAAAGAAGATGGAGAAAAGGAAAGATAAAATAGTTTATTTATTAAGTAGATCAGCAGAGATGATAACTATTTCATTGCATGACTAATAGAGATCCTAGTGCAAAATACATGGATATACTATTTTTGAAATTTCAAGTTAATTAGTGAATTCTGTTTATGTAATGTGCTACCAATCTTTCGGTTGAAAACAAAAATTTTATACCATTAAAATATTCTAAAACATGTATGTGACCATACGTAGAAAGAACTTTTTAGCTACAAACATCTACATGAAAACTGTAAACCAGAAAGGTAAAGTTGCAGCCGATTTTGACCTGAGGACATTGACAAAACGTGGTAATTTCCTTCAAGCTTTGCTTTGATGGTATTGTAAGATGGTAGTGTAATAGAACATAATCTCCACATAAAGTTGGCATACAAAAGCCTGACCAGTTGAGATCACGTGAAGAATTACCTCCTAAACACACACACACACACACACACACATACAACCACCGAAAGCTAAAAGGGAGGTTGCCCCTGAAATCAGCATACAGGGTGAGATGATTCTTCTTGAGAGAATCTAATTACAAGTCTACCTCAAATAGATTTTTAGCCCAAATTTCTTTCACTTGGTTCGTTCAAAAAGTCCTCAAAGATATTCCTGATACAAGCCAGAAACAGAAATATTTTTTAGAAAGATGAAAGGATAGACCTCCGTTCTAGACAGCTACAAAGTAGACAAAAACATTTTCCTTAACAAAGGACTAGTATCTAGAATACATAAAACATTAATATAAAAAGAGAGGAAAAAATAAGAGAAAGTAAAAAATAAATAATGGGCAATTGAACAAGCAGTTCCTCAAAGAAGCAATCCAAAATTCTAATAAACATACTTTTTAAAGGCTAGGTTTTATTATTAATCAGGAGAATGTGAAATAAAATACACTTCATGGACGAGTAAAAATGAAGAAGACTGCATTTATCAAGATTAATGAGAATATGCATTCATGTTAACTTTCACACTCTGGCTGATAAGAGAATATGCTAGTGGCTAGGCGTGGTGGCTCATGCCTGTAATCTCAGCACTTTGGGAGGCCGAGGGGAGCAGATCACCTGAGGTCAGGGGTTCGAGAATAGCCTGGCCAACATGGCAAAACCCTGTCTCTAATAAAGATAAAAATAAAAAGAAAATTAAAAAAAAAGGGTAGCCATTCGTGTTGGCAAGCACCTGTATAGGTCTCAGCTACTTGGGAGGCTGAGGCATGAGAATTGCTTGAACCTGGGCGGCAGACATTAGCAGTGAGCCAAGATCGTGCCACTGCACTCCAGCCTGGACAACAGAGTGAGACTCCGTCTAAAAAAAAAAAAGGAGAATATGTTAGTATACTCTCTATGGAAAAAAGATTGGCACTACCTCATAAAGTTGATATTATGTGTAACCCATGACCCAGCTACTCCATACTCTATCCTAAAGTAATGCTTGCATATTGCATGCCACGTTTCGGGAGGCATGCATAATAATGTTACTAGAGCAATGTTGGTTATAGCCAACAGAAAATACCACAAATGTCTAAAACAGTATAATAGATAAATTTCGGTGTGTTTTTACAATGGAAGAAATTTAGCTACGTACAACTTTGATGACTATCACAATATATTAAAAAATACATTCTTAGACAAGGTAGCATGAGGAAAAAGAAGAAAAAAATAATATGCCAAAGAATGCCTTAAGTATGGGAATGATCAAATAAAATTCAAAGGAACCCAAACTATGCTATACTTTTCAGAAATGCATATGAAAAATCTATATTAAAAAGAAAAGATCATCGCAGAAATTAGGATAGTTATTACCTCTAGATTGGGGAGGAAGTACTATATTGGGGTGGACATATTGGGTTTTCTGTGTGTTAGCAAGTTTCTATTTCTTAAGTAGATTACATGGGTTATCATTATTTGATCCATGTATGATTAGTCATTAAACTCTGCTTATTAATATTTATTGTATTCAAATATTCTATGTTTGGCATATCTTGTAATAAAAAAAGAGGAGAAAGTTCCAAGAATCTACCTTTGGATAATGTTGGCATTGCAATGGTATCAAATTTGGATCTTGCTAATCTATGTATTTTTTCTCTATAGATGGATACCCTAAAAATGAAATTGAGTATAAGTGGAAAAAGCCCTCCGTAGAAGTGGCTGATCCTAAATACTGGAGATTATATCAGTTTGCATTTGTAGGGTTACGGAACTCAACTGAAATCACTCACACGATCTCTGGTAAAAAGAATACTCAAATAGTGAAATGATGCTAGCATTAAATGACATTTTTATTTTAAATATATGGATTGTGATTTATATTATATAGCCAAAATAAAACTTTTTTTTCTTACAGGGGATTATGTTATCATGACAATTTTTTTTGACCTGAGCAGAAGAATGGGATATTTCACTATTCAGACCTACATTCCATGCATTCTGACAGTTGTTCTTTCTTGGGTGTCTTTTTGGATCAATAAAGATGCAGTGCCTGCAAGAACATCGTTGGGTATGACATGTAATATTATGCTATAATGCCATAGAACTTTAAAAAATCATTTTGATGTGATAAAAGTTCATAGTCACATTTATTAGATATATTCTTCTAGACTACAGTCAGGAAAAAAATTGACAGGAACTAAGGGACAATACCATGTTGAAAGAGATATGTAAAAAAAGAAAAGTAGAAAATGGAATTGTAAAGAACTTGAAATTTCAGAAAATTCCTTCTTTTTTCTGCTAATGAAGACCAAGGGAAGCATAGATCCATAACAAGAATTAATACATGAAAATCATACGTAATTCCTAAATCTTATTTTGGTTGAGTTTTTCTATCACGTTTCATCAAGATTTTATTTTATGTTATAGCTGAGTCACTAATAACCACTGTTTATTTACTGAGGTGTGCAGATGGCTTTAAAATAACCTGCTTTTATAACATTGCTAATGAAGTCAATCTTTCCAAAGGGCAAGTAGCTGAAAGGAACAAGACGCTCCCTGGCTTCTGTGGCTTCTGTCATGTATAAAATGTGTATTTATTCTGTGAATACTTGAGAGTTGCCTGTAGTTGCCTGTAGAATAACATTGATTAACAGGGTAATTTGATTCATACTTGACAAAATAGACTTTTACTATTTTTCTGTAACAATCTATTGCAATAATCAAATCACATAACAAAATAAGTGACTAATTACAGTATAGTTATTTAAAAGAAAATGATAACCTGCAATCAGGTATTGATATAGGAATAAAACTTGTTAATCAATTGATTCACCCCCCAAATCAGTGAAAGACACATGAATCACACTGCTCATAATTGTGTCTTAAAAATATGTAAAGAAAGGTGAGACAGTTTCTATTTTTAACCACAAAGAAGTTTATATGTGATTTCTATGATAGCTTATAAATGATTCCATCTAATAAGTACAGTAAAATGCAGGTCACATAAAAGTGACAACAACAATGCATGAGGCACATGGGTCTATACTTGAAGTTCTCTTGGCCATCTAAACAGGGATATTGACATAGCTAGTGGACAAAATCCATTCGTATCTCAATTTTGTTTCCTTTCATTGTTTAAAATTATTTTATAAGTTGTATAAATTATTTGAGTTTCTTTGTATGCTACTATAACTTAACCATAGTATTTTTGTTTCTATTTCCATATTTTTCTGGGAATGTAAATTAGTATAACCACTATGCATAACTGTTTGGAAGTTTCTAAAAGAATTTGAATGGATTATTTATACCACTGGGTTTGTATAAAGTTCTATGCTAGAGTGTCATGAAGAGAAAAGCCAACTGTGAAGTCGTTTTTGCATAAACTTATTTTTATTCAATATTAGCATATCAATCATAAAGGTAAGCACAGCCAGATGTAACTTGACAAATATCTCTTGTAATTGTGGACCCTAAGATAGAGAATTACAATTGCTTTAAATATACATGCACACACATATCACTGCAAGACAATTTCCTGAACTCAACCTTGCATTTTTCTACAATGTATCCAATGCTTTCTGTTAAACAAGCAGTGTTTTTGGTGCTTTAGTGTTAACAGTGAATAAAATTTTAAAACTTCGTGTTTATGGTGTTTACATTTTAGTAGAGAAAACAGGTAATGTACAAATGTAAAAGGCATACAATAAAATTTTAGTGAGTCATGAAGGCTGTGAAGAGATAGCAAAATCAATGTTTAGAAAATGACAGGGTGTGAGTGGTATGATATTTGCTATTTTATATTGTGGAGTCTCAATAGATACCTCTGATGATGTGGCATTTGAGCAGTGACCCAATGAAGTGTGGTGCTAACCTGGTGGATATTGGGCAGAAAGATATTCCAGGCAGGGGGAACCATATGGTTTTTGAAGCCAGATCTTCCTGCTATGCCATGCTTTGGGGTTCAGAAAAATGACAAATGTGGTTGGAGCTGAATGAATAGTCACAGAAAATAAATTTGGAGAAGGGGCCAATAGTTAGATCAGGTAAATTTTTGTGGGCCATTTTAAGGACTTTAAATTTTATTTCAAATGTGATGGGAGACTATTTTTTTTTTTTTTTTTTTTTTTTTTTTTAATTTATTTATTTATTTTTTTTTTTTTCCTTTCTTTTTTTTTTTTTTATTATACTCTAAGTTTTAGGGTACATGTGCACATTGTGCAGGTTAGTTACATATGTATACATGTGCCATGCTGGTGCACTGCACCCACTAATGTGTCATCTAGCATTAGGTATATCTCCCAATGCTATCCCTCCCCCCTCCCCCCGACCCCACCACAGTCCCCAGAGTGTGATATTCCCCTTCCTGTGTCCATGTGATCTCATTGTTCAATTCCCACCTATGAGTGAGAATATGCGGTGTTTGGTTTTTTGTTCTTGCGATAGTTTACTGAGAATGATGGTTTCCAATTTCATCCATGTCCCTACAAAGGATATGAACTCATCATTTTTTATGGCTGCATAGTATTCCATGGTGTATATGTGCCACATTTTCTTAATCCAGTCTATCATTGTTGGACATTTGGGTTGGTTCCAAGTCTTTGCTATTGTGAATAGTGCCGCAATAAACATACGTGTGCATGTGTCTTTATAGCAGCATGATTTATAGTCCTTTGGGTATATACCCAGTAATGGGATGGCTGGGTCAAATGGTATTTCTAGTTCTAGATCCCTGAGGAATCGCCACACTGACTTCCACAATGGTTGAACTAGTTTACAGTCCCACCAACAGTGTAAAAGTGTTCCTATTTCTCCACATCCTCTCCAGCACCTGTTGTTTCCTGACTTTTTAATGATTGCCATTCTAACTGGTGTGAGATGATATCTCATAGTGGTTTTGATTTGCATTTCTCTGATGGCCAGTGATGATGAGCATTTCTTCATGTGTTTTTTGGCTGCATAAATGTCTTCTTTTGAGAAGTGTCTGTTCATGTCCTTCGCCCACTTTTTGATGGGGTTGTTTGTTTTTTTCTTGTAAATTTGTTTGAGTTCATTGTAGATTCTGGATATTAGCCCTTTGTCAGATGAGTAGGTTGCGAAAATTTTCTCCCATGTTGTAGGTTGCCTGTTCACTCTGATGGTAGTTTCTTTTGCTGTGCAGAAGCTCTTTAGTTTAATTAGATCCCATTTGTCAATTTTGGCTTTTGTTGCCATTGCTTTTGGTGTTTTGGACATGAAGTCCTTGCCCACGCCTATGTCCTGAATGGTAATGCCTAGGTTTTCTTCTAGGGTTTTTATGACAAACCCACAGCCAATATCATACTGAATGGGCAAAAACTGGAAGCATTCCCTTTGAAAACTGGCACAAGACAGGGATGCCCTCTCTCACCGCTCCTATTCAACATAGTGTTGGAAGTTCTGGCCAGGGCAATCAGGCAGGAGAAGGAAATAAAGGGTATTCAATTAGGAAAAGAGGAAGTCAAATTGTCCCTGTTTGCAGACGACATGATTGTTTATCTAGAAAACCCCATCGTCTCAGCCCAAAATCTCCTTAAGCTGATAAGCAACTTCAGCAAAGTCTCAGGATACAAAATCAATGTACAAAAATCACAAGCATTCTTATACACCAACAACAGACAAACAGAGAGCCAAATCATGGGTGAACTCCCATTCACAATTGCTTCAAAGAGAATAAAATACCTAGGAATCCAACTTACAAGGGATGTGAAGGACCTCTTCAAGGAGAACTACAAACCACTGCTCAAGGAAATAAAAGAGGACACAAACAAATGGAAGAACATTCCATGCTCATGGGTAGGAAGAATCAATATCGTGAAAATGGCCATACTGCCCAAGGTAATTTACAGATTCAATGCCATCCCCATCAAGCTACCAATGACTTTCTTCACAGAATTGGAAAAAACTACTTTAAAGTTCATATGGAACCAAAAAAGAGCCCGCATCGCCAAGTCAATCCTAAGCCAAAAGAACAAAGCTGGAGGCATCACACTACCTGACTTCAAACTATACTACAAGGCTACAGTAACCAAAACAGCATGGTACTGGTACCAAAACAGAGATATAGATCAATGGAACAGAACAGAGCCCTCAGAAATAATGCCGCATATCTACAACTATCTGATCTTTGACAAACCTGAGAAAAACAAGCAATGGGGAAAGGATTCCCTATTTAATAAATGGTGCTGGGAAAACTGGCTAGCCATATGTAGAAAGCTGAAACTGGATCCCTTCCTTACACCTTATACAAAAATCAATTCAAGATGGATTAAAGATTTAAACGATGGGAGACTATTGTAGGATCTTGAGTAGGGGAAGCCATGGAGAATATAGCAATGATATCCAAAATGTTTTCTCAATATCCTGTTAATATCTTAAGTGTTTTTTATTATCACGGACTCAGAAATATTTTAATAGAAAATCCACTATGTTCTTCTCAAGGTAATGACAGTGATAATAATTACTAAATTAAATAAATGTCTGAAAGCAAAGTTCTGCTTAGTTTTTTTGCCTTATTAAAAAAGAAAGTAACAGAAACTTAATAAAGTAAAATTTATTGCAGTAGTGGATAACAAAATGAAACCACACATTGGATTTAAGATTTTTCAGATAGGAGACATAATTGTGGAGCCAAGAAACACTTTGGAAACCTACCTGGGCTGACGATGGGAACAATGTGATTTAATAAGCTTGTGTGGGAGATGAGGCAAAGGGAGACTTGTATATATCATTTTTTTAGCCTTTACCATAACAAAGCCTTTAAAAATGTACATTTAGTTTCAAAATAATTGAAGTAAAAGCTGTAAGGGATAGTGGGAGAAATAAATCTGCAACCATACTGTTTTCTCATTCATTGTTAGAACTACAAGAAAAAGTTAATTAGGATATAGAAACTTTGAAAAGAAATTATCATCAACTACTTTACCTGATTGATATTTATAGGACACTACACCTAACTTCAGAGCACACAATATTTTCAAGTGCATATAGATCATTAAACAAGATATTACTAAAATACAAAACACTAAAATTTTCAGAGTATATTTTCTAACAAAAAAGGAAGTAAATTAAAAATAAATAAAAATAATATAACTGACAATGGCCTTGTATATTTGGAAATTTAAAAAAAAGACAAATAATTAAATTAAGTACATTTTGTGTATATTTACTACAATTACGAAGCAAGATATTACTGTGTTTGTTTTTTTTAAACGAGAGGCACAAAGGAGTTGAAAAACTTTGTTAAGATCACAGAGCTAATAGAAGAGTCAGAGATTAAACCTAAATTTGTATCATAATTCCAAATTCATCACAACTGTTTCACCTTTAATATTTTCTCCAATCCTAAGAAATGATAAAAGTGAAATGACAGGTTTGTGAGTAGAATTTTTAGGGTATGTTTCAATGGAGACATGAGGGGAAGAGGTGGTTATTGCCTTCACTATACCAAAGAGACTGTTGCTACAGCTGTTTTTGATTTACTTTTCATCATAAATGTTGTCACTCTATAAATATTGGTCAAATTAAGAAGCATTTAGCATTATGTTTAGTACTTTTAAGAGAGTAAACAATTCCGCTCATGGGGCCATATTTACTGGGAAAACGAATGAGGATTATGAAAGTTTAGGTTAAAAGAAATATTAGCATGTGCATCTGTAATTTAGGAGACCTAAGATTAATAGTGATAAGAACCACACAAAGACTGATGAGAAACAGATCCCTTCAAGGATACACATACAGGATTGGGACCCTTGGGGACATCCCAGGTATACATGCTGACTTCTCAAAAATAAAAGGATTTACTCTGTGCTTTCAAAGCAGTATTCCCTTGATATAACTGTGCCAGTATTCCTCACTTAAACATTGAGATTAAAAAATGGGTTTAACTCAGGTTATTATATAACAAAAAGCTATGTTAGTTTGGATTAATTTTGACTGTATATGTATGGTGGAAAATGTCAAGTCACTGTCACTTCAATTAGATAGAAGAATATCTGTTGCTTATGTGAAGTCTAGGGGTAGGTATTTCTTTTTTTTTTTTATTTCAAGGCGATACAATGCATTATAGTATGAGAGACTCAGTCTCCTTCTGGCTTTCTCCTGTATTGTGAGTAAATTTAATTTCCAATATTATCTAATGTTTTAAGATAGTGCTATTGGTCTGGCCATTGTATTCCAGCAGAAGGCAATGAGAAGGAAAGAAGGGCATTCCTTGTCTCTTTAATGCTGTCTTTAGGATATTGTATGTTGCCTACATTCTTGACTTGGTTCCCTTTGGCTAGATCTCAGCCTGTAGCCACACTCAACTGCAGAGAGATGGCAAATAAAGTTGTTCTGGGCAGTCATATGCCAGCTAAATATTTGATATTCTATTACAATGGAGGAAGGGAAGAATGGATATCAGGAGTCAACTTGCACTCCGCAGTAATTTAAATGATTAGAACTCACAGAAACACAAAGAGCACATTGGACACAATGTTGCTATGGCTACCAATAATTATTAATATAAATTACTAGTAATCATATTTTTGTTTCTATTGTTTAATTTCACTCACAATATTGCCAAATCAGATGGAAGAATAAATGTGGTCTATTAATTTTCATTTCCTGTTTTGTTTCCTCTCTCTATAGGTATCACTACAGTTCTGACTATGACAACCCTGAGTACAATTGCCAGGAAGTCTTTACCTAAGGTTTCTTATGTGACTGCGATGGATCTCTTTGTTTCTGTTTGTTTCATTTTTGTTTTTGCAGCCTTGATGGAATATGGAACCTTGCATTATTTTACCAGCAACCAAAAAGGAAAGACTGCTACTAAAGACAGAAAGCTAAAAAATAAAGCCTCGGTATGTTAAAAAGAAAAATTTCTATTTTATAAACCTCAACTTACTTAGAGATACTCTTTTGAATATTTATGTGTTTGTTTACAGAAATAGGGACGCTTGAGACCCATAACCAAAGACAAAGTTAAGATGAAACTGGAGTACCTAACATTGCTCACCAAGAAAAGTGTATTTCTGTTTTTCAAATGTCTCCCATTGGATCCCCTGTGTAAAGAGTGGTTTATTATGGCCTGAATTTTCCCACAGTGGTAGATTCTTTGTACCTCAAACATTATTTGTGATTTACCTTTGATCCGATTTTTTGTGTTAGGATTTGCATTTCTAACAAAATTACCTTACTTTTAGTGATGAAGATTCCTCTTTAATGGTAGTGTCCAACTGTGTTTAAAAGTGATGACCACAACGTTCTTTTTTTGTTTTTCTGTATTTGTACTATTTTACTCTCCCATCTCAATCATATAATTACCTTAACTTATATCACATCAAGTCTAATATATTAAAATGGATTCTCCTGAATCTAATATACTCATGTATGGGGTTATTGACTATGATTATGTTTTATATTATCAATTATAGCAACCTGAAAGTAATATCTAACACATGTTGAATGTTCCAGACACTCTGCAGAGCATTTTACATGCATGATTTCATGTATGCTTAGAGCAACTCTCTAAGTAGAGGTTCAATGATTTACACAAGAACAGCCTCAGTAAGCGAAAGATCCAAGACTCAGACCTGGATCCTTTTTGGTGCCAGAGCTCAAGCGTGTGACCCTTCCTTTATATATCCTGTTCTCACAGGGCTTAAAAAAATAGACATTTATTTTTCTAAAATTAACAAGAAAACATTTAATTTAGTAAATGCTTTCAAAGATTTGTTTCAAAATACTCAAATAAATGAGAAATGTATCAAATAGCCAGGCATTAGTGGCAAGCTTGTAAGCCTACCTTAATGTATATATAATGAGTTTTCCATATTATCTAACTTTTTAAGTTCTAGGAGTCAATGCATTTTTCCCTAATCTTTTTTCATTGGTTTCTTTATAAAACTCTGCTATACTTTTAAGTTATGTTTTACTTTTCATGTTATATTCCAAGAGAAAAACCTGGTGTATTTTGCTTTCAGATACCCACAATATTCCAAGAAAGCAGAGCACATTGCTAGCAGTACAAATTTGATAACTTGCATTGTAGAATTAGCCAGTGACTCCGTCAACTTCACGTCATTTTTGCTTATCTATAGGATATATTTTGTCTCCTGAATGGACAAATCAGAAGTCAACTATAATATCCATTGTTACATTTTTAGATAAAGAAAAATGAATGCTTTCTACAATTTTCCTTTCATCAAAGCCATGCATCTTCTCTGGATTTTCCATTTTATCGTTTACTTATCTGTATCTATGTTGGATTATTGCCTTGAAAGTTTTATTTCTGGAAATTTTGAGTGGAGATGTTTAGAATAAAAATAACTAATATAGAGGCCAGGCAATGTACAATCTCACATCCATTCTCTAATTTCATTCTAAGAATAAATAATTTAGGTACCACTATTATATTATCGAAGGACACAACCAAAACATGGCTACTCTAGGATGGTAGCTAATCAGTTTGACCGCAGATCATGTACACTCAGCCAAAGTTCCAATGGCACACTTACTCAAGAGAGCTGGATTACTCTAGTGTAGACTTTAAACTTATCATGTTATTCAATCATTCATCAACTATTTATTAAGGACTTCCATAATCTAGGCATTGTTCTAGAATAGTTACTATTTTTAATCCATATGTTAAGTCTTTCAAATTTAGCATCAAGCCTAGGTTGCAAACTACTAATTATGGAAAGGTAAAGAACGAAAATTAAATGATAGTATTGAAGTACTAAATGGCAAATAGCAACAGTTAAATTGACATATTATAATTGACTACTTGAGTACCAAAAATATTTTCTTTACTGCCATTCATAATGAAGTTTGATAGTCTCTTTTCTTTGTTCAATTATGTGCTTTATGAGCTCTTTCAGTCCTAAATGATATTTTGAGTGAAAAACCGGGATCAGTAATCAAATCTGACTCCTTGCATGGTTCAGTGTACAGCCATATGGTCTTGCTAATCAGGTAAATCAGAATGTACTTTTATGAGGAACAGGCAACTCTGTTTGTTGTTGTCTCAAATCCTCTATTTAAGGGCTTTCTGGAATCCACATTTTTCTTTGGTTGCAAGATGTTGTAGCATCTTGCCATTAAGCCTGTATTAAATGTTTGTGACTTCACCCCCTCCTTCCGCCTTTCTCTCTCCTTTCCTCTTTGTCTTTCCTTCAATCTCCCCATTTCTTTATTAAAATTCAGAGTAGTTTAAAATCCAGCATTTTCCCTTTAAAAAAAATGTTTAGGGCTATAGTCAGGCTAGGATGCAATACTTTGGCTAGAGAGTTGCTGAAAGGTCAACAATTCTGTTATTAAGCAAAATTAAAATCCTTTTCCTGACATCTTGTTGACTGCTTAACTGAGAATCTCAAAATGTTCAGTTTTTTTTGGAAGAGATAATACTTGAACAAAATAGATTTTTAGCTTCAAAGAACCACCTAAAAATATAAATTGATAAACACCCGTTTTAACTTACTCTCCACATGAAATGGGCCAGCTTGCTTGCTCTCTCTCACTCTTTCTTTCATTCTCTTTCTTTCATTTGTCTTTTTTGCTCGCTTTCTATTTTTCCTTCCTTGCTTTTCCTTTCTCCCTTCCCTTTCCTTCCTTCCTTCCTTCTTTCTTTCCTTCCTTTCCTCCCTTTCCTTCCCTTCGCTTCCCTTCCCTTCTCCTTCCTTCCTTCCTTCCTTCTTTCCAGTAAGAAGGTTACTTAAACAATTGTAAAGAGTCGGTGCATGGTGGGATATTTTCAATAGATAGAGTAACCATTTAGTACCAGTTGTGACAATGGCCATATGATGCTTCCCTGAAGTATATAGATACCACCACCAACAGCTCTTTTTTCTACCTTGGAAGAACCTTCCTTCCTTCCTTCCTTCCTTCCTTCCTTCCTTCCTTCCTTCCTTCCTTCTCTATTCCATTATGACCAAATTTTTCTTCCATTTTATTGTACATGTGAATGACATTTTGGATTGTTTCATATGCCCATCCAATATATATTATTACTAATCGGCAAGTATATAATTCAGGTGTATTTGTGCCAACATTTATTTTCAAGAAAGTCTAAGAAGTTAAGTTAAATATGTTGAACTATGGAATCAAGACATTTTATGCAACAGATAAAGCCACTAGTAATAAACCGAAAGGCACTAGTAATAAACTAGCCTTTGCCAATTGAAGAGTAGTTTATGTTGAAACTTGAATATTCGGCCCATAGGCTAGCAGAAATTTCAGAAAACCATGTTGTACCTACTTCAGGGGCCTGCTATAGCCATTTGAGGATTGAACTTACTTATTTTTAGTTTCCTGATTTTATTAAGATGTGAAATTATAGAAATTTATTTATCCAGCTATGGACGAGACATTATGGAGACAAAAAAGAGATAGAATGTGTTCTTTGCTTTCAGGGATGATTACATCCAGTTGTGAAAAAATGCATCGCAAATACAAACATAATAAGATACAATATAAATAATAGTCCAAGATAAAGATCAAAATTAAACAAGGAGTCTGTGAGGGAATTAACAATTAGATGAATAATTTCTCATGCTTTTTCAGAAGTAGGTTATTTTTATAACAAATATACATAAGATATTTTATTATTTTTAAATAACAATATTTTTATTTTTTATAAAAACATAAAATGTATTTTTAAAGGAACTGTTCTTGTGGAAACAGACAGGTATCACAAAGCCAGACCTATGTGGCCTATGCCTAGCATCCCAGGCAGTCTTCAGACATCATATTATGTGGCCTGTGAAACATTGAACAGGCACACAGTGTTGAAGAGAACCTTGTGGAGAGGAGAGGATTCCTTTCATTTCATGTGTAAATAATTCATTCATAAAACATATAAACTGATGGAAGTTTGGCAAGGAAAATTCCAGAGAAAGTGTGGCTTCACTGAAGTAATTTTTTGAAGAAAAAGTTGCAGTTTTCAAGATAACAAATTAGAAAGAACATTTAAGATAGAGGGAACTATGTCAGCTGGGCTGAGCCTTACATGTGAGAACAAAAAGTAGACTAGCATACGTCCCAAGCTGTGCTGTCCAATATAATAGCCACTAAGCACATATAGATAGGTTGGGTTAAATTAATTAAAATTAAACAAAATATAATATTCAGTATCTTAGTAGCGCTAGTCGCATTTCAAGTGCTCAATAGCCACATGTGACTTACGGCTATCATATTGAAGAGTGTAGATGTAGAACATTGTCATCACAGAAAGTGCTATTGGGTAATGTTTATCTTGAAAGTAGGAAAGAAACATTTTCTCTTAGGAAAGAAAATAACCTATGTTGAGGATAGAAGAGTGGTTTATGGCCAGGTTGTGCAAAATCTTTAAAGTCATGCTAAGAATTTACATTTTGTCTTGTTAGCGCAGGCAAGTTATACACGTTTTTAAGCAGGATGGTATATTTCTATGTATGTTTTCAGAAGATAATTAGAAATAGTATACAGTATATACTTGGATGGCAAAAGAGGCAGGGAGATAAATTTGGAGACTATTGCAGTTGTTCCAGAAGTAATATAATACTAAAAGCTGAAACCAAGATATTAGGATGAAAATAATGCATTAGCAAGTTTTTGGGTCCCCCCTGGCACCGCCTCACCCCACAGTCCTCACCCACAGCTCCTTTTCAGCAAAGAGATTTTCATTTCAGTCAGTGCATGCCTATTGAATAAACATTTGTCTACCTCTCAGAGTACTAAAATAATGAAAAGCTGTATCAATCCACAGTTTCACAACTTATAGATTCTTTCTTATAATAGTATTTGGCAAAGCTCCCAGGAAGGATTATGTGATATTGGTGAAATGTGAAATACAGCAAGAAGGTTACTTAAACAATTGTAAAGAGTCAGTGCATGGTGGAATGTTTTCAATAGATAGAGTAACCAGTTAGTACCAGTTGTGACAATGGCCATATGATGCTTCCCTGGAGTGTATAGATACCACCACCAACAGCTCTTTTTTCTACCTTGGCTACCAAAGAACACTGCTTAATATTTATATTTCTATTTAAAACATCATAGACTATCACAGCAGAAAGGGACCAGATTAATCATTGAGTAAAATTCCCATTTAAAAAAATTAATTTTAACAGTAATAGTGGAGCATGGTTGAAACTAATAAACAAATAGAACAATTCATAAATAAACAAATAGAACAATTCATAAATGTACAAATAAAGAAAATTCTCTACCTAGAACATTTTGTCCAAAATCTCAGAATCAACTACATTGTAACCATTTCTGATTTTACATTCTTGTAATTATTATTTTCATTGTATTTCTGATTCTTACTGTACCAAATTTCCAGGTATCTATAACTCTTTGGTACAAAAGAAAAAATAGCTCTTCTGTTGTATCTTTCTTATTCTCTTTCTCAGTATTTTAACTTACTATTAATAGTTATTGACCTGGTGTATTGGCTCACTCCTGTAATTCCAGCACTTTGGGAGGCCAAGGTGGGCAGATCACGGGGTCAGGAGATTGAGTCCATCCTGGCCAACATGGTGAAACCCGTCTCTACAAAAATACAAAAAATTAGTCAGGCACTTGGTTAATTTTAAAACTTTAAATAATATATTTAAATCTCTACTTCTGAATTCATTATTGTGATTAATTCTAGTGCCAATTTTATTATCATTCTTTGCAGATAAAACTTTTTTTCTTTTCTTAAGAAACTTTCCATCATCTTGTTTTTTTACAGTGAAAAAAAAATCTTAAGGAGTCGTACATTTTCTGTGTTTTGTCCTCTTTCATTTCCTCATTACTTAATATTCTTATGTTTTATTTTTGAGAATGTTATCAATTGTTCATTCCAATTAATTTCTATTTTCTCCTTGGAAACTACTGGTAGTTAGATTTTTGACTTCTTAGGTTCAGCATATATTCCAGATTTTCCTTTTATCATATTTTAAGCCATTTTTCCATACTATGAGCAGTTTTTTCAAGATTTCATTTTAACACTTTTAGCTTATTAAAAATTTACAATAACTTTATGAATTTCAGAGAGGTCTTATTTTCTAACTGTTCTTTGTTCATTTTTCCTTAAGTGGATGTATTACTTCCTCAAGTATTTCTGAGTGGACTAACTAGATTTATTTTCTCATATTTCCTAAAATATTAGAATCAGTAATTCCAGCTGTTCATTTTCACTTTTCTCCTTTGTATTGTTCACTTACCTCAAAACTTCTTCATGATTGTTCCCCAAATAGGCCCGGTAAGTTTCGTATGTAACTGTCAAGTTTGCAACCATCGGATTTTACTTTCATACGTGTGTTTGCGTGGCATGACATCTGATTCCTTCCAAATATACACATATACATTCTAAATGATAGGATGATGGCACAATACTAGGACATTCCAGTTCCAACATCAAGAGCCCTAACCTTTCTCCTAGGATAGTGAAAGTTTCTTCTCATTTTTTAGAAGTTATAGAGTTTAGAGATGAGTGAATGCCAACCGTCGTCATCTTTACTCTCTACATGCACAGTAGGTGAACCATAGTTCAAAGGAGTGCAGCTGATCTGGAGGTGGACATTTAGCTAACACCATGTTTTCCATTCTATTCATTACTCCCATTCTTCCTTCCTTATACTGAGTGGAAGAGTAGATTCCACAGTCATGTTTCCATTTACTGAGCCTTTCTGAGATGTGTCTTCTTTTGGTCTGCTTTATCCATTGGCCTATTTCCATCTGTTTTTTGTACTTCAGAAATTGATCAGAAATTCTAAATGCTGATTGGCAGCTCCTCGTCACCAAGATTCACCTCCTGGAATTTGTTTTCTGTTTTTTAAGACAAAGTTTCACTCCATCACCCAGGCTGGAATGCAGTAGTGCAATCACAGCTCACTGCAGCCTCAACCTCCTGAGATCAAGCCATCCTCCCACCTCAGCCTCCCAAATAGCTGGGATTGCAAACACATGCAACTACACCCAGATAAATTTCTTTTGTTTCCTCTTTTTGTGGATACAGGGTTTTGCCATGTTGCCCAGGCTGGTCTCAAACTCCTGGGCTCAAGAAATCTGCCCACCTTGGCCTCCCAAAGTGCTGGGATTACAGGTGTGAGCCAACGTGCCCAGCCTTCTCCTGTTGATTTTTTAATGTTGATGGTATAATCTACAATTTTTGAACATCCCAACTTAAACAGGATTTTGTGAAGGAGTGGTAAACAGTGCTTAGTTTGGCATTTTCTCATGCAATATTTTAAATGGGAAATTAATATTATATAGTCAGTATTTCATAATAATATAATCATCAAATAATATTTACCATTCATATTACTAATATTTAATAATTTTAGCAGATGGTATAATAATTATCAGATGGTATAAGTAATAACTATATGTAAATACTGATTTATTTATCACTTCCCATTTATTTGATATTAGTATATTTTGGTGCTTAAAATATATTTTATTAGTATATAACTAGACAGAGATATATCCTTAATAGTGAAAATTTGATGAATTTCTCAAAATAGTGAGCTCAGCTATATTCTTAGTAATTTTTGAAATTTTTTAAAAGTGTATTTTAAAAACGATTTTATTTAAGGTAGAATATTCTATTCAATTATGTTGCTACTTTTTAAATTGCTTTAACTGATTTGTTTTTTAATGTTTGCTTTTTTGGGGAAGGCAGGGTCTATTCTTGAGAAACTAAAAGATGGGTAGCATAGCTGCACTTCAGATAAATAAGACTTGGAATGTATACATTTTTCTGATTAATTTCTCAGTGGTTTAAAGGTCAGAAATCTGTGTTTCATCAATATTTTATTTTATTGACATTGTGTTAGATTTTTGGCTATTTTTCTCAGCATTTATATGTCCATTTCTGTTTACTTTCATTGTTCACTGATGTGTAGTTTCTTTCAATTCATGAACTTGAGTTTTGAGGGGATGGGGTGGAGGGAGCAAAAATCTAGACAACTGCCAATTTAAAATGTATTTCCCATAGAACTCTCCATGATACTCTCACCAGAGAGTTCATTTTTTAAATAAACCCCTTGCAGTTTTTGTTCATTTTAGTGCACTAAAAAATTTAATCATTTCTCTCATGAACAACTAATATCCTCTGAAAAACACACCATATTTCCATTTATGATAATGCCGTTTCATATATGGAATGTGTTTTCTACCACATAATCTTAAAATTGCCTCCTAACAATTTTTTAAAATTAATTTTCATTCTGATTAGCATAAGAGCATATGCTATTCAAGTATCAAGTGACAAGGAAATAGGTACCAATTCGTCTCTCTCTTTTTTTTTACATGATTTTAGTGCTCCATTAAAATTTAGGAATGTAATCAACTATCCCCAGTTCCATCCTCAAAAGATCTGTCATTAACATTTAATAAGATACTGCCTCTGCTTTTTGTGATATAGCTAAGCAAGTTTAATCATGAACTTACTTGTGTTTGGGGCATTTCTCCTTATCCTCAAGGTGCACATTTGTCTCTAATATGAATATTGTGACCTGCATGATGCTTTAATCTTTTAAAAATATCACTAAATGTGAATATTTGCTTCCTTTTGCATCTACTGGATTTTTAATATTTGGTGACTTGGAATCTATGTTTCTTTTTAGAACTAAAATGGACATGAATATAGTTAAAGTTGTAAGAAATTTTAAACTTTTGTATACATTTGTAAAAATGTTTTTCATAAAATATTTAATTTTGTTGACCTATTTCAAAATTTAGCATGAAAACATTTAACAAACATTTGCATGGGAAAAGATGTAAGAGCTGGTTAAAACAATTTTTATAAAATTGGCGCTATATTTAATGTTTAGAGAGTGAAATTGCTGAATACAATAAGTTGTAAGATTCACATCTTGAGATAACCCTCAAAATATGTTGAATTCTGAAAAACGAAGAATTGCTAAAGTTGAAATACTCATCTTTTACTTGCCAGCTTATTAAAGGAGTCATTAACTTTTTTCCAGTAACATTTTTATGTGGTCTAGGACTTTGTTGTTGTTGCTATTATTATTGTTTGTATGTTTATCTTAGCATGAATTTTATAATCAATTGTGATATAGGCCTCATCAGGAATAAACAGTAACAATGACAACAATAATGATGTTACCTACTGGCAGGTGATTACTTGCTATGTTTCAAGTATTTTGCTTAGTGTTTTATATCCATCATCCCATTTAATAATCAAGCAAACCTACAATGTTTTTATTGCCATTTTTGTACAGAAGAAAACATAGAAGCCAAAGAATAATACTTTCACTTTTTAATTATTTAAGTATTATTCAAAATCAAGTATTATAAAAACTTAATTTAACATGTTACAAATAAAGCTGTTAATAATAGTAGCTATTATTACTGAGCATGATGGAGCATTGATCATTTTACATAAGCCATTGAAATTTACTTATCATAGCTATCACAGAAATTAGGTGCAAGTATAATTCCAGCTATGAAGACAGATACATTGGTAGAATGAGCAGAATTTGAACACCAATTGTTCCCAAGTCTGAGCTTTTAATTCCTACACATCCTCTTTCCCAAATATGGTGCCTTGTGCTTACCCATCACAAACCCCATAACTTTTTTTGTCAATTCATATCTTCACAAACCTTTTGCATTATCAAAATGTCTTCTTTGCTATTTATTCTCATTTTTATTAAAGTCGATAAATAATATATAATAGCAAAAAAAGATGTGTATAGCACTGTTAATGTTTTAATATAAAATAGAATATACAGTTCATTTTATTTTAGAATTAGATCCATGGTAAATGATATTTTGGTGAGTCAACTTTCTAAATGTATAAAAATATATTTTATTTTTCAGGGGTATTTCATTTCTGCTTAATAGAATGTAACAAATGTTCTATTACAAAGCAAATTATAATATAAAACATGTTATAATTGAAAATACTTGATTTTTTGAAATCAAGATTATTTTCATTACCTGTCAGTCTCCTAGAGTTTGCGTTAAAGGAGCAAATTGATCTTTCCTTATGCTACTTTTTTGATGTCAAAAATTCATTTATTATTGTGCTCAGATGACTCCTGGTCTCCATCCTGGATCCACTCTGATTCCAATGAATAATATTTCTGTGCCGCAAGAAGATGATTATGGGTATCAGTGTTTGGAGGGCAAAGATTGTGCCAGCTTCTTCTGTTGCTTTGAAGACTGCAGAACAGGATCTTGGAGGGAAGGAAGGATACACATACGCATTGCCAAAATTGACTCTTATTCTAGAATATTTTTCCCAACCGCTTTTGCCCTGTTCAACTTGGTTTATTGGGTTGGCTATCTTTACTTATAAAATCTACTTCATAAGCAAAAATCAAAAGAAGTCTGACTAAATTCAGTAGAATCTTTTGTGCTTCAGTAACTTGAAGTTTAAATTTAAAATGCAGAGAGACCAATGGTTAAAATGTGAATAGTATTGTAACTATTTTAAGGCCTTCAGAAGTAAATAAAGTAGCAGCTTTCAGGCTAATTTACGTGAAACTGATTAGTTGCAAAATCCAGTAGGTTAAAATACTCACATATTTTTACTTAAATTTTCTTTAATTTACTTATATGTTATTATAATTTTGAATTTTTAAGTTCTATGATTCATGTTTTAAAGATGGAATAATTTTAATACATATTTTGTTTAAATATAATCTATAATTGTTTTGTAATGTAAGACTAATTACTAATATTTATGTAGCAACTTTTGTGCCAGAAAAAAGACTGTTAATTTGTTTTTTCTTGCTTTTCATTTGATTACCCTGCTTGAAATACAGTTAGTTGATAACATAAAGCCATAGTTTTCTTGGATTTTCTTCCAAGATATTGTATTCCCAAGAAGAAATTGATTTATTTTTAAACTATCAGTTACTGAAGACTTATGAAAAGGTCAATTTTTACCTGTCTTTTAATCCAGTCCATTTTCTGACACAATATTAAACAGAACGCCAGTTGCATTTACTTTGGTGATTTGCAAACTTGGAATGAAGCCACCAGTCATTTTTTAAGAATGCAAGATGAAAAAATCAGGTAAAATCTAACCATTTTATTCTCTGCTTCATAGCATTTATAATGTATGATGAGGTTAACACTGAAATATTAAAATCTGCAAATGCACATTAATGCAAATTAAATGCAGAGAGAAATGATTATTTTTTTCTTTATGTTTTATGAAAGTGTTGCAGTCCCTAAAATAAAAATATTGAGGAACATTGCTTGTATTTACTCACGTGGTTAAAAAATTATTACCTGGCAAACTGAGTTGCCGGTCATATTGAGGACAAAATCTTAAATATGTGCTATTAGCATTGTTTTTAGACTAGTAATATGCAGAAAACAGTTTTAGGCCTGCGTTACATATTGCCTCTTCCAGCTCCAAAGTTTTGGACCCTGTCAGTTTTGCAACTACATTATACATTATTATAATATTCTTTTTTTTTTCTAGAAACTGGGGGCAGCCTCAAAATCATGTTAAAGAGGGAGTTTTGTTAGAGGCATCTTTAATGAACATGAATGTGAGTGCTCTCTAAATTCTTAGCATCTCACTGGATGTAAAATCTATCAGTTAATAGTTTTAAAAATGTCTCTTTTGTTAAGAATAAATTTAGGCTTCAATCATTATAATCCTGTAAGTAGCTTGACATACCAATTGTTTATAAGATTCATCACATAAATTTCTGGAGAACCACCAGGTTTAGCTTGGAAATAACCTTTAAAGATTGTTTCTGTTGCCAAGACCAATGACCATGATGAAGAGTTTTATGATCACAGCCTATCTTACTTAAGGTTTGAGAGGAAACCTGTCACCTCTGCAATTGTTACTCTAGTTTTTAATGTTATAATTCCGCTGCGTGGTTAGTGAATGTCTGGCATGATTATACACGTGTATTGGAAATATCTAGTTTTTTAAATTTTTAATTAATTTATTTATAATTTACTGTGTGTTCCCAGCTAACTCTATTTTTTTTTTCACTTGCTCATAAACTTCTGGAAAAAAATAAGCATGAATCAAATGGTAATGCCCAATATCCACCGACACTGCTTTTCTTGAATGAACAGCCAAACTAAACTTTGGCCATCTATATATTCATTTACAGATTATTCATACATTCATTTTAATAACATTGAGTACTGATGGATGTTTTGAAAGTGAGCATTCATTTAAGGATAAATAAAAAATAAAGTAGTAATAAAGAATAAAATACTTTACTAAAATATTGTATGGCTATTTTCATGTTTGAAGCTATAGCTTACTATCATGAGACAGTTTTGATTTTGGGACTCTTTCAAGTGTATCTGAGCATGACTGTATTTTAAAATACTTAAAAGTGCTTGATATAAATAGCTTTTCCTTCTGAACCACGTTCTATGTAAAAGAAAAAAAATAGCTTTGATTTTCTCACTGGTGTTTCATTAACTTGGTTTTAAATGTTGACAATATTTACAAGTGGAAATAAAATTTGTAAATATATGAAAGATGCCTTTCCTTGTATATACCATCAAGCAAGCACTTTGTTTTCAAAGCAAGTGGTATTTTGATCAGTTTTATTTAAATGTGTGATCAGAAAGAATGGCGTACAAATCTTATTATTTCTAAAAATAAGAATAAAAAGGTAAAACTACATTTAGACTTCTTTCTCAAGAAATCAAATACAGCTTTTTTTCAAAGCTGATTCAGTTCATTTCCTGTTCCTCTATTCCAAGTATAAGTTTCACCACCTTGAGAAATAATTTTTTTAAAAAATCTTCCTCTTTCTCTGGGGAGTTATATAATAATTTATTGAATTTATTGGAACTTGATTTTCCTGGATGCTTTCAATGTTTTTAATGCTAACATAGACCCCAAAATTAGATATAAAGAATTGGGAAGGATACCTGGAGCACAAGGAATAAGATCATTTGTAAAAATGTTTGTTTATATAGACCTATCCTCTAAATATGTGACAAGGATCTAGAAATTCTGAGAGGGGAAAATGTGATTTTGGATTTACAATGACAGGGTAATATTTTATTTATCTTCGAATTCCATGGACAAAATTAGGCTCACTTAAATTAATTTTTGTAAACCCAAGTAAGTTCTAAAAAAAAGTAAAAAATACATAGAATACTTGAGAATTTAGCAGGGACAGGGAAAAATTTCCCAGTAAGTCTGAAGTCTTGATGTAAGTGGGAATTAGATAACTAATTGGAGGCATTTTATTTTAAGTTAAAGACAGATTTCTTTAATAAGTTTTTAAAATTGATCAACTTTAAATTAAGCACAGTAAATGTGTATAAATATGAAGGCAATCATAAGGATTTTTTCACTTGTGTTTCCATATTCTGGCATTAGTATATCATCATAAAATAGACAATGTTTTTGTCTCAAGAACAAGAATAAAATTGAAATCTGCATTCATGCCAATTCAGCATAAAAAAGAATAGGCTACAGTTCTCTCACACCAAGGGCCCCATAGTTATAAATGTGAAATTATATTCCAGGTCAAAATTTGTGAAAAATACACAAAACACTTTGATTTTACAAGAGAGGAGCTTTAAATAAGATGATTTTAGTAGATTGAAATAAATAACCAGTATTTAAGTAAATGTATAACGAATGAATAAATACATGCATAATATTTTCAAAGTTCTATACCAGTACCTATTTTTACTCTTACAAAATTTCCTGTAAAAAAATACTACATTTGAAATTATTTCATTGGTTTTAGAACTGGCATTGAAGGTACCCAGTAGACTCTTAAGCCTTTACTGCTTGTCTCACTAGAAACATTTATTTCTGACCTACCAAGTTTTCTTCACATCATCAAATTTATTCAGCTTCTCAGTGCTGTACCGTATGATGGCAAGACATACTTGGTATTTCCATTTTTGTTGGTCATTCTTTATTGCTTTTTACTGCTAGGAAGGTCTTGCCAGGCTTCTATACAGTTACAAAAACCATTACCAAACTTTATCAAGGACTTTCCAAATGGAGTTTTCAAATACTATTGACCACATTGCTCTAGTTAATGTAAGGTCAGCTCTGACTTTTTGTGTTTGCATTTCGGAAGTGAGGTAACCTCATTCAAATATATATGCAGCACTTTCTGTGTACAAAGTACTGTTCTAAATACAAAAGGGAATATAAAGATGACTTTCAAGGAACATATAATGTAGTCAGAAAGATGAGAGGATTAGTTATACAATTTAAGGAAGGGAGGATAACTTTGGGAAGGTTTTGTGGAGGATATGTGTTTAGAGATGCGAGCTGGGGATTCAACAGGTAAGAGGGAGAGAGATCACAATTTCCAACTGGGTAAACAGCTTGAAAAAAGAAACAGAAGCCTGGGCACAAATGAAAATTCCATATTAATTGGAAGTTAAGATTCATATAGAGACAATGAAAGGTTAGGTTAGAACAATAAACTGAGAAGTACGAATGTGGACTTCAGGAGGCTAGGGGAAATTACGAAGTCATAAAAAGTTCACAGAGATACTTGAGTACAAAAGATACATTATTAAAATTTCTGCAGAAGTTTCATCTTATTTGTGTGTGATGGTTTGGAATATAACAAGCCAGTTAGGCGTATAAGCTTATAGTGGCTAATATGAGGATGAAATCCGTACTCTTGTGACACAAGTCTTCAGCGGAGATGGGGGATGATAGGCCCAAATAGAAAGAAAAGTGGCAGACATTAAGCTTTGACTAACAGACAACATAACTGAGAGACATGGTGTGTTGGGTGGAAGGGATCCTGTAGTAGATACTTGCTTGCATGTAGATGGGTACAAAGACACCATAAGGAAATTCTGAATGTAATACAAAGGCTTATTTTTCCTGTTGATTTATCTTTTTCACACATAAAAGATGAAGAAAAAAATAATCTGAAATGTAAATCCTAAAGTGATCTGTCTAGATTCTTATTTTTTGAAAAATGTTCCTCACTAAAAGAGTTTTCTATTCAAATAACCATTTCCAGTTTTCTAACTGAGACATACATACATATATATATGTATAAAATTATATATATATTTGGACAAAGAGAATAAGAGAATTGCAGGTAGAAATAGTCTACTGTGTGTAGACAAATCCAGAAAGTTGATTTCTGTTCCTCAAACAATTTCTGAAATATTTATGTCAGAATAAATAAAAGAATTGTTATTGTTGGACAATGAAACATACCTGGACCCTTTGAGTGTGTGAATAGTAAAGGCTGTGATAACTGAAATGCAGCTAAGCAAAAAGGGCTAATTAGAAGACTTTTGAGACATGATTTACCTAAATGGAAATAGTTTGGTTTTCAATCCTTCACTGTAATAACAATTATTTGCATCTATTAAGTGTTTGTAGTCACTTTGTATAATAAAGTTTTATGGCTTGTGATTATAATGGCTTCTGTTATTCTGCTACTGCCTCATTGTTTTGAGGAACATTTGTAATTTTGTGGCAAAGGTGTCTCAATTTTTCAGTGTTCTTTACTCTCATGATCCTTAGAACAAAAAAAATACCAGTAACTTGTTATAAATAAAGAGTCACATTCTCTTAAATTGTGTCTTTCTTGATAGTTTTCATACAGCTATATCCCTTCACTGTTTCAGAGTATGTGATCATAGCTTCAGTATTGAAGTTCACTTCTGATCCTTGTAATTTCACATTAGTTTTTCAATTAAGAGCCTTAAAAAGTTTCTTCTTGACTGAGACTTTTGAAAAGGAGTTTAACTTGAAAAGCTTAGGTAAAGATAATTGAAGCTTATGCATGATTTTCACTGCTCTATGAATGTCTGGATTATTCTAACTATTTGTGATTTTACCCTGTTTGAACGGCCAGGTATTCTTCAGTAGGTGTGCCAGTGAGAGCAATATATATTGGTCAGGATGAATATCTAGACCATTCCAACTATCCCATGTTATGAAAAACTCTATTCCACTTGAAGGAACAGTTACTGAAGGAAAATTAAAAGTCAGAATATCAAGAGATAAGGTATTATCTGCTTCATTCTCCTAGTTCTCCCTTCCCTGTTGCCACAGTACAATATTTTTTAAAACTTTGTGATTCTTCTCTCAGGTCCAAATAACAGATATGCTATTTTCATAAAGCTGAAGAAGGCAGGGGATGACTGCTGTTTCTGGAGTACCTGCTATGTGTCTAGAACTACAAATGCATTATATATTAATAACAGTTTTCAAAGCAGAGAACACTATTTAACAGGTGAAAAGACCAAAGCTCAGTATAGTAGACACATTCTCCAAGTTCATATACCTGTAACCTAAAATTAAATTTAGGTACCTGTATCTGTAAAGACCTTCTCTTTCATTTACATGGAAGGACTCTGATGGTAGAGTGACTGCACTTATTCCAACACTAGAACATCTTTCCTTCACAAAAGAGAAGCAAAGACCTGAAAAACAGCCCACTCCATTTGCCTAAAGCATGAAAACACTATATTATTTAGTAACAGCATAATAGCATGCTCTTTTCATCCTTTATTTCTAAAGTGGATTTCATTTCAGCTGGAACATTTTAAACATGTACTAGGTATGTTTGTAAAAATTACTCCTGATATTCACTCAAAATATAGAGAACTCACTTTTTAAGAAAGATATTGGCAAACTATGGCCATAGCAGTGACTAATAGGATACAATCACCTTGTTCATTCGCTATTGTCTATGGCTGCTTTTTCGCTATTGCAACAGAGCTGAGTAGTTTCAAAAGAAATTAAATGGCCCATAAAGCCTAAATATTTACTCATTGTCACTTTACAGAAAAAAGTTTGCCAACTATTGTTTTAGAAAAATTTTACTACTAATTAGAAAGCACCAGATATTTAAAGTGCTTTTTTAATTCTTTTAATTTTTAACTTTAAAAGGAAAAGATCTGCGTTGAAGGTGTGAAGTAATGCAATTAATTGCTCTCCACTGTACTTCATCCTCTTAGCTTCTCTCAAAGCGACATTAATTAAAACTATGCCCTCTTTTTTAAGATCTGTAAAAAATTATTATAAATCTGTTTCATTAATGAAAATACATGCTTCTTCATAATTATTTCAATATTATTTGAAGTAGATAAAGTAGGTTAATCTAGAGAGAAAGTTGTTGTCACCACTAAAATTGACACAAGATGCTTTAAGTAAAAGAAAAGTGAGAAATACAAATATTAAAGTAATTTTAGTGTTTTCCCTCTTGAGGCAGCATAAGGTATGTTTTCCCATTAAGATTGTTTGTGTCAATATGAAATCTTGCTTTTAACAATATATTTTTGCAGCACTAAAACCCAAGCAGCCCTTTATGAATAATTTAGTAATTTCATCAGAATATTTAATTCACTTTGTACATTACTCATAGTCTTTCCTTTTGCATTTCAGTATGTGCATTTCAATGATTAAAATTTATATTTAAAATAGTCATAAAGAGTAGTTTGTTAAACAATTGTATACTCTGAATAAAATAGGAGAGCTCCTTCAAGTTAACACCATAGAGTAGGGAAGTTTAGACATGCATACTCTATGTTTACCTTAAATAAAATATCTGAATATTGATTCAAGTCACTACTAAAATTTTCTTACATTCATACTGATAATTTGATTTTTAGTATTTAATTCTCTTTACTTTTTGCATTCAAATACTTTGGCTAAAATCTCAATTATTACCTAGTCTATCATTTTTTAAAATTACTATCATAATAAAAAAGATTTGAAACTTTGAAGATCTCTGTTTGTATTAACATTAATAACTAATATTAGCATATTGTTTTACTGTACACACGTTTTCATATTAGTGATATCAGCTGGCCACTATCAAAGTCTGTGGAATATGAGGCACAAATATTAAGCCCTCCACTTGACAAAGAAGAAACTAATGAGCCAGGGAGCTTGGCTGACCTATACCATATTATGCACAGCAAGCTCAAGGCTTTTGCTTATATGTTCTGTGTTTACAAGGCAAACCCCAGGTTTTAAGGCATATTATAAAAGAATTCAAATGATTTATACCACATACATAATCTCTCCCATCTTCCCTGACTTTGTCTCTTTAAGGATGAGTAAGGAAGGTATGAAAATTTGTTTTCATCCCAAGATGTTTTTTATGTGTTTTTTAGTAATGATCTCAGAAGAAGAATCAGATGTTCAAATCATGTAATTTGCAGAGGTTTTAATGAAAGGACACTTAACAAAAGTATGGGAAAGAGTTAGAGTTAGGATATACCCCTAGGCTCTTCCAGAATCCTGAAACAAATTACAAAAGGAGGAGGTGGAGATAAAGGACCAAGGGGAGGGAGTAGTTGTAAAAAGCTGTAAAACGCTGTGTGGCCAACATGGTGAAAATTCGTTTCTACAAAATACACACACACATGCACACAAATTAGCCGAGGGCGTGGTGGTGCACACCTGTGGTCCCAGCTACTCTGGAGGCTTACTCAGGAGAATCACTTGAGCCTAGGAGGCAGAGATTGCAGTGAGCCTAGATCGTGCCGCTGCACCACTACACTCTAGCCGTGTAGCCGGGGCCAGGGAGAGTTAAGTCTCAGGGGGAAAAAACAAACAAACAAACAAACAAACAAAAAAACTCTGTGTGCAAAAGAACATCTGACATGAAGTGTGGCCTTCATCAGTTAAGGATATAGGCAGCTGTGACAACGCTGCTGGAGGGAACCTGTGGAACAAATATTCCAGTGGCATGACTTTCTCCTCCCTCTTCTCTTCTGCTAGGCCTCCCAACTGGAACAACCTAAGCAGAGGCCAGATGGCAAGGGGGCCATTGATCTAAGCCATACATCTCTTTTCTGGGACACAGTGCAGAGGGCAGAAGGGTGGAGGGAAGATTTGGAAGGGAAAATGGAAATACTTAGAGTATGTCAGGATATTAATAGGATTCAGAACAGATTAAAGTTAGTGCACTTTATGGTCACATATATTCTTTCTTCCTACATGAAAAACAGGAGCTAGAGGCACCCCTAGCAAATCTCAATTCTCAGCCTCATGTTACAGGGTCCAATAGCCATGGCTTAGCCAGGATGCCTTGGCAAGCTTGACCAGTGCATCTAAGAAGATTGTTCTTTTTCCCTCTGGCTCTGTATTTTCGGATACTGGCAAATAAAATTTTTGGCACATTGGTGTAGTAAATTTTGAGACATATGTTTGTTGTAAGAGCCAAAATCTAATTTACTAGATTTCTTAAATTTACATGTGTTGCCAAAAGTTCTGTTAGCCAAAAATATATATTTTGGTCTACACTACATACCTTTCTTGGACAATTTGTAGGAGGGGGAAAAAAAAAAAAAAAACCTGGACCACCACAAGGTCGTGGTCTTCCTGGCTGTTCCTTTCCTGCTAGGAGTATAACAATAAAAATGCCATAGTTACTGGCTAAATAGTTTAGAATCAAATGAAAAAAACAAATAATAACCAGAAAATTATGAACAATCTGATATGAGCTATGTAGAGGAACTAAATTGAGGCCCAAATAGGTGAAAAAAATCCAGGCTTAACTGTTCAGAAGCTAATCTGAGATGTAAAAGATTATTAGGAGTAAGTCATTTAAGTGATGGTATGGTAGGAAGCAAGATAATATTCTAGAGTATGAGTATAAAAAGTGATTATTTTAATTTTAATCCTCCTTTATCCTCTTTCTTCAGAGTCTCAAAGGCAGTATTCCTTATTTTTGAATGTCTAATTGGGCATTCTGTAGTATTTTATCCAAAAAACTCCTTTAAAAATGAATTCTCCCTAGAACTCTAACTATATGAGTTCATTATTGTCTTCAGTTCTTGACAGTATCTATCACCCATGATCACTACCCACCCTCCCAGACTTTCTAAACACCTCTTAGCCAATAATTCACCAAGGAGTGCTTGGGAGACCACCCACATTATATTTAGGCACTAATTTAAATGAATATGAATTTATTGCCACACTGTGAGTTTCCCCTCTATATAAAAGGAAGTCTTATTGGAAGCAACCAATTTCACTTGAAATTGTAACAACTGTTTTAAATTGTATTGCTTATCTTGCAGCTGGTTTTATGTGTATAGATACTGGATCAAACACTGTAGGCAGATTATTTCTTGAAAGGTTGGCTTTTGTTGGCACCAGTATTTTCACTTCGATGAATAGTCGTGTGATCTATCGTAGGACTAAATACAGTAGAATCATTTTTAATTTTTTCTGGTGTCTTGACACTAAAATAGAAACGTTGATGCATTTCATAAAATAGTTTATGGAAAGTTCTAGAATTACTAAGATGACCACGCACTTCAGTATAAATTTAATACAACTCATTTCTCACTTTGGTGCGTATTTATTCAATTTTTCCTACGGAGGCATCGGCACACAGACACTAAAGTGAGAGAAGAATCATTAATTTTTATAGAGTAAAATATTATGTATTGAATTTTTACTATGTGCACAAAATTATTTACAAAAATATAATTGGGCATGTACCAAAGTGTATTGATAATATCGACTGGCCCTGCAATTGAACTTTTACCTACCACACAAGCACATCTTAGTTTAAATCTAATCTGACCACTTTTAACAAATAAGTGTAATACATGAAATTAAAATGGGAATAGGAGTCATGTTAGACACGTTTTTCTATGAGGACTTATGTGAGGGAATGGCTTTTGGGAATAAAGAATGAGAACATAAAAATTAATATGACAATAAGAAAACATAATCATAGCCAGTGCTGAATAAATATTGGCAGTGCCCTAAGAGCTATATTTATAATAACCAGTTTCATCCTTACAACATCGCTAAGAAATAGCTACTATTATTATTTTCACAGGAGAAATCTGAGCCACAGAGTGGCTGACTACACCTGCCCAAGGACACAGAGATAGCGATGTAGTGGTTGGCGTGCCTGCCAAGGACACAGAGATAGCGATTGCAGTGGTACAACTGGGTTTAAACCCAGGCATGCCAGACTGAGCCTATTCTTATGAGCACTCTACCAGATTGCCTGTCTATGAATCCAGGCCCCACGTACCCAGACTAAACCCTAAAGCATTATTATGAACGTATTTTGTTGTGGTCACTAACATTGGAGTACAGAGTGAGCAGCATACACATGTCCAGTATAAGACTGAAAACAGAATATTTAATTAAGGTTCTGAAAAATTGGAGAAACAACATTGTTTACTTTAATCCATATAACTGGAAAATCAAGGCCACATGTTAAATGTCCAGACACAAGATTGAAGAGATGAATGGGGGACAAACAGGCAATCACTAAACTGGGTCTACAAATTTATTTATTCATTTATTTTTCCATAAGTTATTGGGTACAGGTGGTATTTGGTTACATGGGTATGTTCTTTAGTGGTGAGTTGTGAGATTTTGATGCACCCATTATCCGAGCAGTATACACTGCACCATATTTGTAGTCTTTTATCCCTCGCCTGCCTCCTGCTCTTACCCCCAAGTCCCCAAAGTCCATTGTATCATTCTTATGCCTTTGCATCCCCATAGCTTAGCCCCCACATATCAGTGAGAACATATGATGTTTGGTTTTCTATTCCTGAGACACTTCACATAGAATAATAGTCTCCAGTCTTATTCAGGTCACTGCAAATGCTGTTAATTCATTCCTCTTTATGGCTGAGTAGTAGTCCATCATATATATATATATATATATATATATATATATATATATATATATATATATATATATATATGTCTCACAGGCTTTTTACCACTTGCTGATTGATGGGCATTTGGGTTGGTTCCACAATTTTGCAATTGTGCATTGTGCTGCTATAAACGTGCATGTGCAAGTATCCTTTTCAAATAATTACTTCTTTTCCTCTGGGTAGATAACCAGTAATGGGATTGCTGGATCAAATGGTAGTTCTCCTTTTAGTTATTCAAGGAATCTCCACACTGTTTTCTATAGTGGCTGTACTAGTTTACATTCCCACCAGCAGTGTAGAAGTGTTCCCTGTTCACCACATCCATGCCAACATCTACGGTTTGGTGATTTTTTTTTATTATGGCCATTCTTGTAGGAGTCAAATGGTATTGCATTGTGGTTTTGATTTGCATTTCCCTGATCATTGGTGATGTTGCATATTTTTTCATTTTTTTTTTGGCCATTTGTTTATCTTATTTTGAGAATTGTCTATATTCATGTCGTTAGCCCACTTTTTTGGAATTGTTTCATTTTTTTCTTACTGATTTGTTTGAATTCATTGTAAATTCTGGATATTAGTCCTTTGTTAGATGTATAGATTGTGAAGATTTTCACCTACTCCGTGGATTGTCTGTTTACTTTGCTGACTGTCCCTTTTACCATGCAAAAGTTCTTTAGTGTAATTAGTTCCCAGTTATTTATCTTTGTTTTTATTGCATTTGCTTTTGTGTTCTTGGTCATGAAATCCTTGCCTAAGCCAGTGTCTAGAAGGGTTTTTCCAATGTTATCTTCTAGAATTTGTGTAGATTCAGGTCTTAGATTTAAGTCCTTCATTGATCTTGAGTTAATTTTTGTGTAAGGTGAGAGGTGAGGATCCAGTTTCATTCTCCTACACGTGGCTAGCCAATTATCCCAGTACCATTTGTTGAAAAGGGAACACCTTTTCTTTCCGAACTTTATGTTCTTGCTTGCTTTGTTGAAGATCAGTTGGCTGTTAACATTTGGGCTTATTTCTAGGTTCTCTATTCTGTTCTATTGGTCTATGTGCCTATTTTATACCAGTACCATGCTGTTTTGGTGACTATGGCCTTATAGTATAGTTTGAAATCAGGTAGTGTAATGCCTCCTTTGCTTAGTCTTGCTTTAGATATGTGGGTTCTTTTTTGGTTCCATATGAATTTTAGAATTGTTTGTTCTGTGAAGACTGTTAGTAGTATTTTGATGGGGATTGCATTGAATTTGTAGATTGCTTTTGGCAGTATGATCATTTTCACAATATTAGTTCTACCCATCCATGAGCATGGGATGTGTTTCCATTTGTTTCTGTCATCTATGATGTCTTTCAGCAGTGTTTGTAGTTTTTCTTGTAGAGGTCTTTTGACTCCTTGGTTAGGTATATTCCTAAGTATTTTTTTTTTGCAGCTATTATAAAAGGGGTTGAGTTCTTGATTTGATTCTCCACTTGGTCACTGTTGGTGTATAGGAGAGCTACTGATTTGTGTACATTAATCTCTGGAAATTTTGCTGAATTCTTTTACCAGTTCTAGAAGCTTTCTGGAGGAATCTTTAGGGTTTTCAATAGGACTTCCAATACTATGTTGAAGGGCAGTGGTGCGTGTGGGCATCCTTGTCTTGCTCCAGTTTTCAGAGGGAATGCTTTCAACTTTTCCCCATTCAGTATTATGTTGGCTGTTGCTTTTTCATAGATGGTTTTATTACATTAAGGTATGTCCCTTGTATGCTGATTTTGCTGAGAGTTTTGATCATAAAGATTGCTTGATTTTCTCTAATTTTTTTTATCTGTCGAGATGATCATGTGATTTTTGTTTTAAATTTTATGTGGTGTATCACATTTATTAATTTGTCTGTGTTAAACCCTCCCTGCCTCCCTGGTATGAAACCCACTTGATCGTGGTGGATTATCTTTTTGACATGTCATTGGATTTGGTTGGTTAACTAGTATTTTGTTAAGGATGTTAGCATCTATGTTCATCAAGGATATCGGTCTGTAATTTTATTTTATTTTTTTGTTATGTCCTTCCCTGGTTTTGGTATTAAAGTGATGCTGGCTTCATAGAATAAATTAGGGAGGGTTCCTTCTTTCTTTGTCTTGTGGAATAGTGTCACAAGGATTGGTACCAATTCTTCTTTGAAAGTCTGGTAGAATTCTGCTCTGAATCCGTCTGGTCCTGGGCTTTTTTTTATTGGTAATTTTTAATTACCATTTCAATCTTGCTGCTTGTTATTGGTCTGTTTAGGGTATCTAACTCTTCCTGATTTAAGCTAGGAGGGTTGTATTTCCCCAGGAATTTATCCATCTCTTCTAGGTTTTCTAGTTTATGTGCATAAGGGTGTTCATACCAGCCTTGAATGATCTTTTGTATTTCAGTGGTGTCAGTGTAATACCTCCTGTTTCATTTCTTAGTGAGTTTATTTGCATTTTCTCTCTTTTCTTGGGTAATCTTGCTAATGGTCTATCAATTTTATTTATCTTTTCAAAGAGCCAGCTTTTTGTTTCATTTATCGTTTGTAATTTTTTTGTTTCAATTTCATTTAGTTCTGCTCAGATCTTGATTATTTTCTTTCTTCTGCATTGTTTGGGTTTGGTTTGTTCTTGTTCTTCTAGTTCCTTGAGGTGTGACCTTAGAATGTCAGTTTGTGCTCTTTCAGTCTTTGTTATATAGGTGTGTAGAGCTAAGAACTTTCCTCTTAGCACTACCTTTGCTGTATCCCAGAACTCTTAACACTATCTTTGCTTTATCCCAGAATTTTTTTTTTTTTCTTGAGATGGAGTCTTGCTCTGTTGTGTCCAGGCTGGAGTCCAGTGGTGTGATCTTGGCTCACTGCAACCTCCACCTTCCGGGTTCAAGCAATTCTCCTGCCTCAGCCTCCCAAGTAGCTGGGATTACAGGTGTCTGCCACCATGCCTGGCTGACTTTTTGTATTTTTAGTAGAGACTGGGTTTCACCATTTTGGCCAGGCTGGTCTCAAACTCTCGACCTCAGGTTATCTGCCTGCCTCGGCCTCCAAAGGGCTGGGATTACAGGTGTGAGCCACTGTGCCTGGCCTCAGAAGTTTTAGTATGTTGTGTCATTATTGTCATTCAGTTAAAAAACTTTTAAATTTCCATCTCGATTTCATTTTTCACCCAATGCCATTCAGAAGCAAGTTATTTAATTTCCAGGTCTTTGCATGATTTTGAAGGTTCCTTTTGGAGTTGATTTCCAGTTTTATTCCACTGTAGTCTGAGAGACACTTGATATAATTTCAATTTTCTTAAAATTTTTGAGGCTCATTTTGTGACCTATCATATAGCCTACCGTGGAGAAAGTTCCATGCGCTATTGAATAGAATATGTGTCCTGCGGTTGTTGGATGAAATGTTCTGTATGTATCTGTTAAGTCCGTTTGTTCCAAGGTATACTATAAATCCATTGTTTCTTCATTGAGTTTCTGTCTTGATGACCTGTCTTGTGCTGCCAATGGAGTACTGAAGGCTCCCTCTATTATTGTGTTGCTATCTCATTTCTTAGGTCTATTAGTAATTGTTTTATAAATTTGGCAGTGCCGGTGTTAGGTGCATATATGTTTAGAATTGTGATATTTTCCTGTTGGCCAAGACATTTTACCATTATATAATGTCCCTCTTTGTCTCTTTTAACTGCTGTTGCCTTAAAGTTTGTTTTGTCTGAAATAAGGATACCTACTCCTGTTCCCTTTTGGTATCCATTTGCATGAAATGCCCTTTTCAACACTTTTCTTGTAATAATGACTTTTGGATCCATGACAGTAATAAGAAGCAATACTGTGTACCCATTGAAAATGTGACTCTAAATTCACAAGCCCAGTTTCTAGCCCAGCTCCATTAATAACTGACAATATAACTCTTGGAAACCTACTTAAGCTCTCTAAGCCACACTCCTCTCAACTGTAAAATGTGGATAAGAATAACAGCCCTGATCATAGAGGGTGTGCAGCCGACACTGCTAGGTGCTAACATATACAGAATCCCTAGCGTTTCTCTACTGTAGAGGCAAAGGAAGAAAAAGTATTTGTTGTACCAAACATTTTTATATAGTCTAAAGGTGATCATGTGACCCAGGTCTAATTAACAAGATATTAGAAAGTGTCTGAGTGGTCTTTCTGTTAAGCTTTCTTTTTTTTCTTTCTTCTTAAGGAATATACTAGGCTAATGTGTAACATCAGTCCTTAGAATTTCAGGTTTGGTCTTCCCCTTCTTCTCTGTTATTCAGAAACAAATCTTGGAGATGCAAAAGTGAATATATGGAAAGGTTATTTATCCACTTCTAAATTTCCATATGTGCTTCAGGCTATGTATCCCAGAATTTATTGTCTTGATGGATAGAACAAAAAAACACACAAAAACTGTTCATTTAAGATACTGTATAGACCTACTGCGAACATTAAAGGAAGTAAATGGAGATAAGTACTTAGTGAGGTGACTTGCTTGCAGCAAAGTATTATTAAATGACAGGCATGGCTAGTTTAATGTGCTTCTTATAATCTTTCTCTTCTATATTCTATTACACTGAGTGTAGGTTAGAAGAATGTCCTGGTATCAATATACATGTGGGTCATAATTCAACACTTTTATCATTCTCTTAACCTTTGACAGTAAATACCATGAAAAGCCAGTTGTACTACAGGTTTTCTCAGTTTTTCTTGAGCTAGTTCCAATATATTCTAATTGATAAGCTGAAAAGTTAGGAAAGCAGACATTCAAATATGGATGTGAATATATTTTAAGAACTTCCATAGGGTTAAAAATCATTTCTGGTATGGATTTTACAGTAGCAATAAAAAAAATTAGACGTGCATCTGGCTTGGACTGTTTTGATGAGGCTTAAAATATCTTGGGGAGAGTAGGGTATATTTACCATATGCTCAAGCCTTAGTTCATTGATTGGTTTATTGAGCCATGCTGACTTCCTAGTGTAAAGCTGATTCATTTTGTGATTCATCATAGGAAAAGCTAATAAGAAACTGAAATGCTTTTTCTACTATTCTGGAAAATGTATATTTCTTAATGGTCTTTAAATGATGTAGTTTTCAACCATGACCTGCATTCCTTAAACTGTCAAGATGAAAATTAAAGTAACATTTAAACTAAAATGATATATTCGATGAAGTAAAGATGTTTCTACCTTTTTGAAAGGTAGGTATAGTCTATCATACTTCCAGAGTTCCATTATTTACTAAAACTACATGCATGATAAGTTGTATTTTCCAGAAATGGTTCCAACAATATTCCCCAATGCATGTGTTCTTACGATGCAACTTTGACCTAACTTCCATTAAGAGGTCAGACCTATGTTACTTCTTTATAATCCTGGTAGACTTGCGACTCTGGTAGAAGTAATGTTAAGAGTATTGCAGTGTTAGATCATAAAAGATAACACATTTGTTTGATTCTCTTGGGGTACCTGGTCCAGCAACCAACCCAGTGTACTGTGAGGGAGCCCAAAATAGTCCATACTCGGAGATCACATGAGAGAGGTAATGCATAGGCTTTCTAGCCATTAGGCCAGCAAATATTTCAATTGACAACCAGAATCAACTACTGCACATTTGAGTAAAGATGACCCCAGAAAACTCCTGCCCTCAGGTACTGAATCACCTCTAGATTTCTAATCTTCCCTGCTGATGCCCCAGGCATGGTATAATCAGGATAAACCATCCCACCTTCCCCACTGTGCTATATCTAAATTCTTGGTCTACAAAAACTGAGTCTGTTAATGTGATTGCTTCATGCAGTAAGTTATGGTGTACTTTGTTAAACAGTAATAGTAACTGCTACAACTTCTTTTCTTTAGAAGTTAAGAAACTCTGAGTGATGGAGCCAGGATGCCTTAGTAATAGGAATGCTGTAACCTATATACTTATACATATTATCCCTCCAATTATGCTGAATGAATGTGAGCTTCATGAATGCATGCATATGTATATTCATCTCCTTAAATGTCTTCTAAGCCAAATAGGTTACCTAAATATATAATTTCTGAAGCAGCCTAGCTGAGACTGGTAGACTGGTAGATATGGTAGCAAACTGCAAAGAATATGCATTTCTAACTAGTGGCATTTATCCTAACTAATGGCATTGACATGAAAATTTATTCATGATTCTGGGAAAACACATACACTTATACTGTATTTCTGTTGTTTGTACCTCCATAATTCATTTTTCTCTAGCTGTACTGCTCCAAACTAAGGAATACCATTTTCGTGATTTCTCCTGAACTACTAAATTGGCTCAATATCCTGTTTTTTCCACTTCCACTCTTGTTCACTGCAATCAATTTTCCACACAGCAGCTTGAGCCATTTTCTGTTTTTGCTTTTAATATAAATTAAATTAGGCACTTATTTCCTAGAAAGCTCTGCAATATCTGGCCTTGCCAACATCTGCAAGTTTCTCTAGTGCCGTTTTAAAGACCATAAGGTGTTCACAGCTAAGAACCTGTTATTTCAGCCTAGACTGTTCTTTCCCCTATGATTTCTAGGCCCCTTCTTATCTTTTCAATCTAGGCCTAATTGTACTCCAAAGGAAACATCCTTTGTGTACCCTATAAATGTGGGAATCCCCCCACATTGAGCCCTATTTATTCACATTAGAGCACTTATTATAGGTAGTAACTTTTATAAATAAACGCACATTTATATATTTCATATATATATATATATATATATATATATGTGTATGTATGTACATTTCTGTCCTCCATATTGACTTCATAAATAAAACCAGGGGTCAAAATAGCTACCACATAAGAAGTAATTAATAATTATTATGTAAAAGTATCATTGAAATAATGGTTCCAGAGAAAACTAAAAGTCATAATTATAGTGGTTAAATATTACATATAAACACACATACACACACACACACACACACACATATATATGTAATAAATGTTAGAAAAATTATTTTTAAAAGTAATGGAATGAAAGCTGTATTTAATCATGCAAATGAATAATTTTTAATGCTATCATTATCAACTAGAAAGAACATAAATTGAATAATAATTCAATAAAATAATAAAACAAACATAAGAAACAATGGAAAATAGAAAAATACTACAGATGAAGACAGAACATTATAAATTGATAAAGAAAATATGAATCGATTTGATAAATACAGGTAGGAAATAATAAATATAAATATTGGATCTCTGCCCAGAATCCTTAGCACAGAGCTTCTATGATCCTTGGATTTCTTGAAAGTTAGGGGTTCCAGGAGAATCTTTTGTTCTAATATTTGATATCTGAACTGGTTCTTGACACAGAGCTCCTAAGGCTTTTATAATTTCCTGAGTGATAGAAGAATCTGATACAAAGCTCTTAAATCACTTGGAATTTCCTTGGTGATAGGAGATCTTTTCGTCTAATGGGTTAACTCTTGGTGTGCTCCTGGATGAGTGCTCATCACTAGAAAGACCAAGCCATGATTATAAACTTAGAGCTTTCAGCCCTAACCTCATTTTCCAGAGATGGAAGAAGGACTAGAAATTCAGTTAATAATCCATCATTCATCAGCTGCCTGAATCCATCCAACTGTGAGGTTCAGGAGCTTCCAGATTAGTGAACACGGCAAGGGCTAGGAGGGTGTTTTTTGCCAACTCCACAGGGACAGAAGCTCCTGCACTCCAGATATTACCAGATCTTGCCCTATGTACCTCGTCATTTGATTGTTCATCTGTATCTTTTATTAATAAATCAGTAAATGTAAGTAAACGTTACTGAGTTCTGTGAGCCACTCTAGCAAATTAATCAAATCCAAGAAAGGGGCAATGGGATCTCAGATTATGGCTCGTAGGTCAGAAGTATAGGTGACAACCTACTACTTCTTGTGACTGGTGTCAGACATTGGGGGCAGTCTTGTGGGACTGAGCCCTTCAACTGTGGGATCTTACCCTATCTATAGGCAGTTAGTGTTAGAATTGAATCAAATTAGAGACACCCAGCTAACGACTGCTGGAGAATTGTCTGGTGTGTGGAAAAATACTGCCGCGCATCTGGTGTCAGAAATGTAGTGCTGAAGGACTATATTAGAGAGTAGGAGAAACACTTTGTTTTTTTTTTCTCTCTGCTCACAGATAAGCAATATTAAAATTAAAATAGAAAACAAAAACAAGAAAGACTGGCAAATGAAGTGAAAATAAAGAACAACATTCATGTAACCGAAGTTGGAAATGTACGGAAGATAAAACATCAGATAGAGAACTACTTGAAGCATCTGAGAATACTTTGTACAATTACACAATGTACACAATTTGTATAATTACACAATGGTAATGAGGCAGTGTGGAATATCTGAGATTGACCTGAAAGTATCAGCTACAAAACAAGAGCAATGTGAATTAAGGGAAAAAGGCACTGAAGCCGGAGAAATAGAACAGTGAATAATTTCAATATTTCAATGGACACAACTGAAATATAGTTTAAAACTACTCACAGAAAATTTATTTTAAATTATGAAAATAAATATAACTAAGAAAACTGCAACTCTGTTGCATTACTGTGTAGAAGCAATACATTCTTACAGAAAGAATAATGAAATTCAGCAAACAAATAAAATTCAGCAAACATACTTCCATGGCTGACAGAGAATATTACGGGGTACATATTACCATGATCTTCTGAAATGGCAGTCCAAGTGTGTGATCAGCAATTCCTCACAGAAATCACGAAGATGTAGCTACAGAGAGCATTTTCCTGATGCTAGATATTCATTTCTGCAGGCTGAATATTTAGTATGACATCTTGTACAGTGGCAATTTAAAATAATATTGTTAGCTCAAGACTTAGAAAAAATATTATGGTAATAAATGTGCTCATATACGAATATATTTCTAACATTTCATGGAAAAGAGTTCAAAAAGAGCAATTTATTAATTATTTCTTTCTGGCAAATTTACCATTATTGAAGACATTTTAAATCAAGTAATATATTGAGGAAACATATACTAAAGGTTTTCAATAAATATTATTTTTTGCAATTTATAAAACTTAATTCCAAGTTGAATATCTAAGTGTATACGTCTTTCTCTCTAATTTTCTTTCCCACAAGAAAGTTTCATGCAGTATATGTTTTTCACAGCCAGCTGGAAAAGCATTTGAACTGTTTTTACTGAATTCTATTATTTGAAAAATTCCTTGCTGGAGATGAGGGCAAAGGTAAGAAATATAACCAGGTCAAAGAGAAAACTCGTTGTCAACATGGGATTAAATAATGGCAATGCTCGATACACGATTTCATTTAATTCCAGTACTACTGAAGGTCTTAATACTAGAGTTGTGTGTTTCAGGTCATATTGCTGGTAAATGGTAGAGTGAGATTTGAATTTAGATGAGGCTGGTGGCAAAACCAATATCCATGGTCTTTGCTCCAAATCACATATTATTTAATTTTATATTAACCTCAAATTAAATAGTGTGTATGTATGCACATGTGTGAGTTATTGCATGTGTGTAAACATCCTTCTTTTATGCTATGATATGGAGAACAATAAGAGAAATGTGTGGTTACTTCCATAAAAACAAAACAAAACAAAAACAACAAGAAGCAATTTACAGAAACATTAGGAACTGTGGCTGTGTATTTGAGATGTAATAAAAATAATGGAAGAGTTTTCTAAGTGAAATCGTTTTAGAATAATATTTTATTTCCAAATTAGTGAAATACCATAAACATCCTATTATCTCAAAATACATTAACAAAGTAATATATTGAAGCCAAATTTCCTTCAGCATTAATGAGAACAGCTATTAATGAACTAATGCTTTAAACAGTCATAAAAATCAAGAGCAATTTTAACAAGCTTCAAATTTTCTAATAAATTGAACAATTGAAATAATTAACATGTTTGTGATAATCACAAAGTACCTGAGGATTCTGGTTACTGTTTTTGTTCCTATTCAAATTTGTTGAAATATAATGATGATTTCTTTGGCAGTGATTTTAGTGGTCAGAAGCCACCAAAATCAAAGAAACATGTGAAAACTTTGGACTTGGCTTCTTTCCTTTGCCTCCCTGGATTATTCTATTATACTTCTAACTTTCAATGCTTACAAATAACTATAAAACATCTACACTGAATGTTCAACATTGAATTTCAATGGACATTTACACAAGGGTAGCTTAACTAGTTTCAAGTTATAAAATGCTTTTTGTTTTGTTTCTTTGGTTTATGAAACTCTGAACTCTGCTTCTAATAGTATTCATTTTATATATATTACACTTAGTATTTTTATAAAAACCACGAAAAAATGTTTAGTTAGAGCCAAACAAAACACCTTCCATCTACTCTATTCAATCACATTAAATCTATGATTACAGTTCTCATTTCCCAGTTCCCTCTCATTTGGATACAGTCCAAGTATTTTGAATCTCTTTTTGAAAATCTGAATCAAAAGTCCTTCCAATACCATCTGCTATTCATTACTTTTTCAGTAACTTTTTTCAGACAAAGGGTGACATCTTCCAGCCCTAAGAATAAGAGTAGAAACACTTGGACTCTTAAGATTCAACTTTCAAAACTAAGAACTACCAAAGCATTCAAAATACAGTTGATGTTATTGAGAATAACTAGATGATCTCATCTCACCAGAGAATCAATATATTTTTATTTATATTACTGGTTTCCAAACAATATATATGTTTTATTTATCCTTCTTATGTGTCCTCTTTGAAGTAAATACTAGAAGCTCATCCTATAAAAGAATTACTTCCTTTCTTGGTGCATATGTAGCAGTGAAGTACAGGGAAATATGTATCTTGTGATAGTTGGTTTCTTCAAGAAGATGAATCCAACATGCAAAGAGATATGTGAGAGATTCATTAGGAGGAATGCCAGAGAAGGATGAAAGAAACAGCCAGAGAAGACAGGAAGAGCCTCAGACTGTGATGCATGTCTAACACCTGTGATGGAAATGAAGAAAGAATTGGGTAGGAGGATTCTGTGACTGCAGCACAGCTCTAAGAAACGTTTGGTCAGGCCAATTAGGAGTCCTCAAGCCAATTCACCTGTGAGAGAAATACTGGGTCTCCTAGAAGTGTCTCAGAATTGTGATGCTCATCATGCTCATTCACTGACTGGGTACAACTTGAAAGAAAAGTATCCTCAGTACAAGCACTGTAGTAGATTCAGAGGGGAAGCAGTGTGGGTTACAGGTCAACTATGCTTTCCATGGCAGGAGATCTGAGTTGTACATTAGTATGGTTTTCACATATAAAATTCAGCACGATTTCTGAACTAAAGATTTAGCAAATAATATATCTTATTACTTAGTTTTTAACTTCCAGTGCTTTGGGTTTTTTTCTGTTTCCTCACATTCAATGATAGAACACTCAAGTCCCTTTTTTGTCTATAGATCATGTAGATGCCACTGATAGTTTATCAGTAAAAGCAAATGCTTCTCTGCATTTCAAAGCAGACTGAATAAGAATGTCTTAGAACATATTTCCCTATTATCTACTGGGTTAATATAATTCAGAAACTCCCTACACCATGTACATTAGAGATGTCAATCATGGCACCTGCTGTCCCTTGAAATTCTTTAAATACAGCTGATTGCAAATCAGAAATGACTTCCTGATCCAAGGGCAGCTATTCTTCTGAATATCCTATAATCCAAAATGATATTTTTGGATGTAAAATATAATCTTGGCAGTCTAATCCTCACTTTCAAGACTCTAAATTGGGAAACACACAGAAAATTATACATTCAGCAATGGGTACTGAAAATACAAGATCATGGTTCAGGAAAAAACCCATCCCCTGTGTAGCACATTTCAAAGACTTAAATCTGATTTGATTGATAACAGAATACAAAACTATGTCACATAATTATCCTTTACGTTTCTCCTGATATTCCACCTTTCTCTCCCTCTGCTGGTCTCCAGGTCCACTGGCTTTCTTTAACTCCTTTAAATGTTCCCAGTTCTTTCCAAGTCTGGAACTTTAAATATTCTGCTTCTTTAACAGTTTATCTGGTGGATCAATGTCTCTTGAGGCTAACTTCATATACTTGAGGCCACTCAGTCTAGTCCTAGAGTCAAGAAATACTTATGTGCAGATTTGGAATCCCTTCAAGATGACAGTTCCTAAACTCAATGCTGTAACTTCCATCATTTGCTTTCTGCTCTGGTATAATGGTGAGAGAAACAGTCAGATGGCAGCCTGATTATCATGCACAAAGTTGCTACCTGGAAGTGGTGGTAGTTAAAAATGTCTGAATAAACTCTCAATCAATGAGGAAAGGGAAGTTATGAATCAATGGTTCTTTCTGTGGTATCCCTCAAGTGGAAAATTATGGGAGGTATCCTATACACTTATCAGAAGATTATGGCAAGATGAAGCCCTTAATTGCTCATGGCTGAAACCAATTCCTCCTTCTTTTATTATTCTCTCTAGTCTTTGAGTTACCTGGAAAATGTTTACAGCATAGAAAACAGGCTGCGGAAGAAGATAACTTTAGTTGGAGAAAGGATATAGTTACCATTTATTGAAAACCTGTGACATAAGATGGGTTCAGTGGCCTATGCCTATAATCCCAGCACTTTTTGAGGTTGAAGTGAGAGACTGTTTTTGCATGTAAGAGATGATCTTGCAAATCTTAAACCCAGGAGTTTGAGACCAACGGGGGCAAATTTTGGAGATAACATGATGAGATTTGTTGAGTTTATTTTAATTTTTGGAGTCCTGATATATCTATATAGAGGTTTCCCAAACGCAATAGAAAATGTGGAAGAGGAATCAGAGCTGAAGAAGCACCTGCCAAAGTAGTAATCATATTAAATAAGATTCTACAACAGAAATATACATCACATGAAACAATTGTTAATAAATATCTTAAAAATAAAACTTTTGCATTTTAAATATTACTTAGTATATTCAGGTGTAAACTATGGGGGGCTAAAAGGTAAAAACATTATTCATTTTATAATAAATGTTGTTTCTAGACATTCACAGCAAGAAAAAACCTATTGTGGCATATCATTCATTAAATGCTCTTGATAAACAATGCTATCATCAGAAAAATCATTCATAAAGTCTTACTCTCCTAAATAATACATCACAGAAAATATTTAAATTGCATAGTGAGAAAAATTAATGATATGAATTGTTCAAATTAGTCAAAAACAAAATACATTTCAGCACCTTGGACAGAGGCACCCACCAAGTTTCTGCCTTAAAATGTTACCATACAGAGTGTTTTTTTCTTTTTTTTCTGTTAAAATACATTTTCCAGCTAGAAATCTGTCAAGTACTAGTACTTATCTCATAGCAAGGCTTTAAGAATTTATGGTACACATTAAATTAGTGTTATCTAATGTGTTTTCTTATTGTTTTCTTTGTTCCCCAAATATTCGTGTTATGAACATCTTTTCTTAGAAATATTTCATGGAAAACAATCCCTTTATCTTTAAAGTATTACCTATGCTATGCAATAATTCTATTTTAAAATATATAAAGCTTTCCCATATACATTGAATCAATTCTGAATCCTATCAAAACAGGTTTCCCAAGGGCAAGAACTTTTGTTCATTCATGTGAGTTACCTGTCATTATGTAAGTTACTTACCATTGTTTTCCACAGAAGAGTTTCTGGAACATGGTAGTCCTTACTACTGCATAAATTAATGAATTTGGATCTTACAAAAATGGAAGTCAACTGGCTACTGTTTATTAGTTTCATTTCACAGAATAAATAGTTACTTTATCTTCAAGTCTGTTTTTCCTTTTTCTTATCCTAGCTTGTCCCTCATAAGGCTTTTCTGGGCAATGTTCTTACCCTTGTCCAGCATTCTCTCTAAGATCTCTTCTGAGGAGGGGCATCAAATCAGCCATCAGAGATCAATTGAGGTTGGCCTCCAAGCTTCAATCACACTGTGAGACTAGCATCACAGCAAATAAAGATTAGTCTTTAGAATTAAATGTATCTAGGTTTGCAGCCAACGTCTATTACATAAAAGCTGCATAGACTTTAATGAGTAATATACTTGATCTGATACTCACTATTTTCATTTGTAAAATGACATTGTGCTATTAAGCATAGACCAGGCTATGCAGTGCCAACAAACAACCCCAAAATTTGAGGAAGAACTGTTTATTTCTCACTTCCATTGCCCATGAACCCTGTTCATTGTCGCTACTTAGGATATTCTGGCAGAGTAGCAACCAGTTAAATGTTGCTTGTCACTATACCAACTGTGGAAAAATGAACTCTCAAGAACTGGAAATATGTTGTAAACTAAATTAATGACCACTATTGCCATCGATACCTTGCATAGCTTTTAAAATAAAAGTTGGAGATAACCAGTTTCTCTCTCTCTCTCTCTCTCTTTCTCTCTATTTTTTAAGAGGTGAAGTGTCACTGTGTTGTCCAGGTTAGTCTCAAACTCCGAGGTTTAAGATTTTCAAGATTATCTTTTACATGCAAAAATATTCCCCCACCTGGACTTCCAAACATGCTGGGATTACAGGCATGAGACACCGAACCCAGACTATATCAAGTTTTTCAATAAATGCTATGAATATATCCTTTCTCCAACTAAATTTATCTTTTTCAGCAGGCTGTTTTCTATGTTATTCCTTAGATTTAGTAACAGAGGAGAGATCTTGTCTTTGGAAGGCCTCTGTTAAGCACTCATATACCTCTTTATAATGATGGGAGCTTTCTAGGGCTGCTTCATGGCTTCCTTCTGCTAAAATAAATAAGTTCAACTGAACAATAACTACTTACTTTGTGTGTGTCTTACTGTTTACAAGGTATATTAGGGATCTTATTTTATTATAATCTTCACAATGTTAAGAGATAGGCCAAAGGTATCACTAGCCCCATTGCACAGGTAATGAAATAAGAACTAATTATTGTTTGAAATTCAAAGAAATAGTAAAGTAGGGCCAAAGATTTGACTTTTTAAATCTAATTCCAGAGTTCACTCTGCCACAACACCATTCCTGTTTGATTAGTGAACTCTCCCTTTGGCCAGCTCAGATATCTAGCCCTGTAGTATGTGAGGAGAGAGAGAAGATTTCTGGTATAAGAGAAGTGCCTGGGTCCACAAGAAAAAAAAAAAGACCTTTGAATAAAGAAATATCTGAGGCCAGTGAGTCTGGTAGATAGCCAGGAAATAAAGGGGCAAAGACACTGAAAGCACTGAAAGATGGGAGGAGAGGCGTCAAACTTCCCTAAGCATAGTCTGCCTCTAGGCACACGGTAAACCCAATATATTCCACCAATAAGTTAACAAATGTAACACTGTAGTAAAACTAATATTGCAAGATTTAGTCACACAGCACCATATGTAAGTCATTTAAAACTATACATGCTAATTGATTCCCATAATAATGTGGCAATTAAGTTAACTTTAGAGATGAAGGATTTGGGACTCAGTGGTTTAGTGACATTAATAAAAATAACCAGCTTGCAAGTTGCAGAGTAGAAAATAGAACCAGATTTTGAAAACTATTCCCATTTAATTTCCTTTACATAAATTTCAGTGAACTTTAATTGTTATGTTTAAGATATTTTGGTCCTTTGACTCCTAATGATAATATTAAAAATATAATTAAGAATAATATTTGATGGGAGTCCGAGATGGGTGGATCACCTGAGGTCAGGAGTTCAAAACCAGCGTGGCCAACATGGTAAAACCCTGTCTCTGCTAAAAACACAAAAATTAGCCAGACGTGGTGGCATGCACCTGTAATCCCAGCTACTTAGGAGGCTGAGGCAAGAGAATCACTTGAATCCAGGAAGCAGAGGTTGCAGTGAGCTGGGATCTTGCCAGTGCATTCCAGCCTGGATACCAGAATAAGACTCTGTCCAAAATAATAATAATAATAAATAATAGAATAATATTTGAGTAATCTTAAAATTCTTATTCAATATAAGCTGCTATATAAAAGCTAATTTAATAGACACACTTTATTTTTAATAAGTGTATAAATAATATTTTTCTATGTATTTAGATTAAAATCAAAATTGTCCTTGAGTAAATTTCAGTATTTTATCTTAAGAAAAGCTTAGAACACACTATATGTTAATAAATAGATTTTAATGTAGATTAACCTTTGTTTACCAATTTTAGTACTGAAGAAGCTGTAAAAATATTTGAAAAAAATGATTAATTGCTGTTATATTTGAGTAATTTGTAGTTATAACACTGATATAGTTTGGATATTTGTCCCTGCCCAATTTTCATGCTGAAGTGTAATCTCAGGTATTGGAGGTGGGGCCTGGTGGGAGGTGATTGGATCACGGTGGTGGATTTCTCATGAATGGTTTAGCAATATCCCCTTGATTCTGCCCTTGCAATAGTGAGTGAATTATCACAAAATCTACTTGTTGTAAAGTGTGGCACCTTCCCCTGCTCTTGTTCTTGCTTTTGTCATGTGACATGCTTGCTCCTGCTTCACCTTCCACCATGCTTGTAAGATTCCTGAGGCTGCCCCAGAAGTCAAGCAGATGCTGGCATTATGTTTCCTATACAGCCTTCCAAACTATGCAGCAATTAAACCTCTTTTCTTTATAAATGGTGCACTCTTGGGTAGTTCTTTATAGCAATGCAAGAATGGCATAACACAAACACTAGGTGTCTTAGTTTGTTTTATGCTACTGTAACAAAATACCACTGGGATAAATACCCAGGCTGGGTAATTATAATGACTAGAAATTTATTGGCTCACAGTTCTGGAGATTCTGAAGTTCAAGAATGAGTGGGCAGCATCTGGCAAGGTCCTTCTTCCTGCATCACCCATAAAAACAAAGAGAGGGGAGAGAGAGAGAAAGAAAAGGGGACCAAACTTCAAACTTCACCTTTTATAAGGAATCTCTTATTGCAATAAGAGCATTATGCAATAAGAGCATTCATGAGGACAGATCCCTCATGGCCTAATCACCTCTTAAATGTCCCACCTCTTAACACTGTTAAAATAGCAATTAAAATTCAACATGAGTTTGGGAATTCAGTTTCCAACACATGCCTTTTGGGCGACACATTCAAACAACAGCACCTAGTTTGTGGCTTATCATTCATTCATTTGGGCTATAACTATTTAGTAATCTTGCCAGAAGAATTAACAGTAGAAAAAATAATAAATAAAATAAGATTTGTTTATTTATTAATTCATTAATTTCTGACCACAGCGTTAGTGGGAATATGACTGTATTAACAAATGGGCAGAAGAGCACTTGTCTACAAGAAGTGCTTATAGAATTTTTAGAACAACTACCTGAGCTAGAAAAATGTTAAGAAAATCATAATCCAGGTCAAATGCAGGACAAGACCGCAATATAAATTAAAGTTACACAGGGTTGGTAAAAAAGAAAAATATTGAATTTGTTCTGATAAAATATGTAAAATGATAATTTACACTATCAGGAGCTTAGCTGGGAGAAATAGCTGAGCTGCCAGGTGTTGGAGTAGCTAATTAAAGCAACAAGCCAAAAATGAGAGTTAAGCCTTTAATCACTTATTGCAATGGTATATGCAAGCATCTTAAACAAGAAAAACACATCAACTCTCCCTCCCTGCTCATTCCATTTCCTACCCACCACCATGAAATGGCACACTAAGGAATCAGCCAAGATGTGGGGGTCATCTGGCTTTTGAGGGAGCCAAGAATACAAAGCTCTAAAAGTTGTATGGACCCTGGGGCTGAGGAAGAAGTATGGGAGTTGAGGGATAGGAATGGACAAGTCCAGGGTCTGAATAAGGGTGAGAAAATGTGCCTTCATTTGTGTTCCCCCTCCTCCCCAAAATGAGGCCTATGCAGAGGCACTTGAAGAAGACCTCTGAGAAGGCCTCAGATAGGGAAGCCTGAGATTAAAGGCTCTGAGACTAGGACCACAAATATGAGAAAGAGTGTGACCAGCCAAAGGGGCCTGAGTCCTTGACATCAACTCCCCTTCCCTCAGAGGCTGCAAGGCACTGGCTGTGCCCCAATTCTGGCGTGAGGTGGACAGCTTTCCCCTGTGAGTCCTCCCAGGTAAAGTCTTTGTAATTGTGTATGGCCAGGCCTGAGAAATAGCATATAGCTTTTTAAGCAGTATCCAGACTCCTCATACATGCTATTCTCTTTCTGTGGAGCCAAAATGTATTCCATTTCTTTCTAATTCTAAAAAATAAAATGAATAGCAGTTCATAGGAAATGCAAGCAAGCAACTATTCTTTTACTCGACTTTCAAAGATATAGCTTTACTTTCAAGCATTGCAAATATGGGAATTGATAGATCTGATGAAGGAATTTAATCCTGTATTACATTTTTAGAGTATAGGAATTTATACTTAGATCTCAGTCCTTGGACTAGTTTCTCTATAATTCACTCTCTTTCTTGGTAGTTTTATCTAGTAAATGGTATCTAAATGGTAAAGACTCCCAAATTCATATATTTTCCATGAGCTCTACATCCAGCTGCCAACTTAACATATTTACTTAGTTGTCTAATAGGCATCATAAGCCTTCCTCAAACTCTAGATTTCCATCTCCTCAGACATGCACCTCCTTTAGTCTTCCTCATCTTAATGAAAAATAACTTCATCCTTCAATTTAGTTGTTCATGTTAAACAACCTGCAGTTGTCCCCGACTCCTACTTTTAATTCACACTTCTCATTCAATAAATCAGCAAATCTTGTTGGCTCTACCTAAAAATATGAAGATTATGGCAACTTTTTAGCACATCCAAACTTGATGGCAACACATCTGGATTGATATACTTTAATTTGCCTCCTCTATTCTCCATACCACCACGAGAGTGGCCTTTTGAAATGCATGCAAATCAGCTAATTTTAATTGTCTCCTTGAAACATTTTACAGTAGCATTCCCACTCCCCTTATTCAAGGTTTTGCCCTCAGTGGTTTCAGTTACCCACTGTCAACCATGGTCTCAAAGTATTAAATGGAATATTTCAGAAATAAATCACACATAAACTTTAAATCATGTGCCTTTCTGAGTAGTATGATGAAATGTTGTACCATCGCAGTCCATTCCACCCAGGACAGGAATCAACCCTTTGTCCCAAGTATCCACATTGTATATGCTACCCATCTGTTGGTCACTTAGTAACCATATGAGCTGCCAGAGCCACTCTCATGGTATAGCAGTGCTGTGTTCAAATAATCTTTAATTTACTGTTTTACTCAATAATGGCCCCAAAGCACAACATTAGTGATGCTGGTAATTTGGATATGCCAAAGCACTTCCTGTAAGTAAAAAGAGGAAAGATCTCAATAAGAAAAGAAAAAAAAAAAATTGCACGCTGTGGGTGCTAAGATATATGGTAAAAACAAATCTATCCATAAAACTGTGTAGAAGAAAAAAAAATATGTAGAGTATATACATAAATAAAAGTTCAGTACTACCTGTGGTTTCAGGTATTGACTGGGGATCTTGGAATGTGTCCTCTGTGGATAGGAGGGGACTACTATATTGGCTTCCTATCCCTTTTAGGTACAAATCCAAAATGCTTAAAATGGCCTGCAAATTTACTTGAAATAAACTCTTACTACCCTCTAGACTTAATCTATTTTCACTTTTCTCCTTACTCATCTTACTCTGGTGCCACTAGCTTCCTTGCAATTTGCTCAAATGCGCCACACCACTCCAGGCCAGGCTTAGTACTTGCTGTTCTCTCTGCCTTAAAAATGCTTCCTTATGATATCTTTATGACTAGCCTCCCCAATGTCTTCAGGTCTCTGTTCAAATATCACTTTATCAAGGAAGTCTTACAAATAAAGTCTCCTGAATAAAATAGCAACCTCTTTCCTCCCTTTCCACTCCAGTTGATAGTTGCTACCTTCATAGACTTTTCTCTGGGGTTTTTGGTGACAATTTTGAATGAATCAAATGAGTGGCCACAGATTCTTTTTCTACATTTTCTGTTACAGTGTTACTGCAAATGTTTTTATATAAAATTTTAATATGTAAAGCTATAGTGTTAAATATAAGGAGTGGTGTTAAATTATTTTGAATGTACGTTTTTCCAGTTTTTATTTTCACTAAGATAAACTTCTCAGTAATTTTCTTACCAAGTCAATATATGAAACAAAAGTTTACCTTTATATAAAACTAAAATTATCATAAGGATAAAAACTGATTTGTGAAATACTGCATTCAAGAGGAACAAGCTCCTCAAATACTCTTATTCATTCAGACACTTAAATTTATAGAAAATGTTCATTTTGTTTTTTTTCTGTGTCAAATTCTAGGTTAGTCATTCCATATGCAAAATTAAATTTAAGCAAATTTAACTATTTACCTTTTTCAGGAACTTGATTTGCCTAATTTAATCATAATTGTTTAGTCAATTAAGTAGGCCAGATGTTTATTTGGACATGCTAACATATACCTATATGGCAGCACTATTTAAAATTACTTCATACTTTATGTTTTGTAATAAGAGCTGATTATCTTTATCTTGATCTTTTTTTTTTTTTTTTTTTTTTTTTTTTTGAGACAGGGTCTTTCTCTGTCACCCAGGCTGAAGTGCGGTGGCATGATTTTGGCTCACCGCAACCTCTGCCTCTTGGGTTGAAGTGATTCTCGTGCCTCAGCCTTGAGAGGCATGTGCCACTTACAGTCATGTGCCACCTTGTCCAGATAATTTTTGACATTTTTAGTACAGATAGGATTTCACCACGTTGGCTAGCCTGGACTTGAACTTCTGACCTCAAGTGATCCTCCCACCTCAGCCTCCCAAAGTGCTGGGATTACAAGCAAGAGCAACAGCACCTGGTCAACAGCTGATTATCTTTAAGTGATTTTCCAGTGATTCTGATTTTTCAGCAATTCAGATAACATATCCTAATTCCACCTTAGTGAAGTTTGATATTATCATTTATATTTCTTCCTTGTAAAAGACTTCTTTGGGCCTTTTTAGAATAAAGCAAATTTGTTCTTGCAATATCTTATCAAGCTAACTGGCATAATTTTCTTCCATCTCTTTTGTTAGATGGAAATATTCATATTACAAGGACATAAACTCATAAAACATTTGTTATGATTATTAAATCATGAGGAACAGAATTATTTACACTATTTTTAAAGAAAGACTATATTTGTATCCCGTTGACTTCAAATATAGACAGTCTGATAACGGAAAATATTTATACTTTCTTTACTAATCAGTTTCTTCTATTCTTCTTCTATGTAGGGTTTCTTTAAAGCAATAATGAGTTCGGACAATTATACCTTATTATTTATGAGAAAATGAAGTTGTCTAGGTAGATGTTTTTAATAACATATGTTCTGGTTCTAGAGAATTCATTTTCAAATGCCTTGATATCTGACTTTCCTATTTCAGAGAAGCAAAGGAATTTGGTAAATCAAGGGATTAGCTAACCATTTTAATAAAACATGTGATCAGATTCATCTATTCTGAAAGTAGTCCAGTTTCTTTCTTTACTTTTTTGAACTTGTCACCTGATGTCAGCAGCATCAAAAGGTATCTCAAATTAGGTTTTTAAGTAGTGATAAGACATATGTTCATTATGACAGGAAACTGACTCAATTAAGTTTCGAATCATATCATTCTGTATATATCATATTCCAAAAATTACCAGATAAATTTATATTTCTATAACTAATGTTTAGTTTTAAGTCTCAAGTCAAAATTATCTAGTGGTCTTACACTACCTTCATAGAGGCTAAGAGAAAAAAGAGATATAAAAAAATGAAAAAAGGGCCCTTAATTATTGAAACTTACAATGTTATTAGGTGTTATGAGGACACAGTCAGCTAAATGTTATAAAATATCTTAGAATGTAAAAGTTACATTATCCTTCTAGTCAATCTTATAGAGACATGGTCAACATGGAAAAAATCAATGAATTCATAAAACTGCTATTAGAAACTTTTCTTATAAGATTCCTATTACTTCTTATAGGTTTCCTAATTTCTTTTCAACAACTTATCAAATATCGCCAACTGTTTTTAAATAATTAAAATGAATATAAAAGTACAGTTCATCAGATCATTAACAATAAAATGTTTAAACTAAACAACTATAACAGAGAAAAAAACATGGGGTATAGGTAAAATAGTCAATTTTATACTTGGATATTCTCTGCGGTTTGCTAAAATGATACCAAAAAAAAGAAAATTGGAATAGAACATATGGCACTCAGAATTCATTAAGACAATAGTTAATGACTCCAAAGATTAGAGATAGCAGTGGAGAATAAGCTACACAATTTAAATAACTGGGCAAAATGTTACTAGAAATTTGAAGTCACATCCTTACATTTAGAATATTTGGAGCGGGGGAATAAAACCACCAGCATTGCATCCAGACTGTAATAAAACTTTTCTACAAAAACATATTATTTTATATTTGAGTGGGCTGCATAATAAATTATTGTTCATAATTTTACTTACAAAGAATTAAGTTATAAGTAATGTAGAAAAAATGCTCTATAAAAGATCATTCTTGCCTGAATTTATTCTTATTATGAAATATGTAGAATGGTAATTTTTCTACAATTGTAGAAATTGTAATTTTTACATTTATTAATTGATATTCTACTGTATGGAAAAGCTTTTCTTTATTTCTGAATTTGTATGCTTGGTTTTTACTACCAACGTGTATTTTCCAGCATTCTAAGGCCTGAGAAACAGAAAAGCCAAGGCAGTGTGTTCCAGTCTGAAAGCTGGCAGGCTCAAGACTCAAGAACTGATGTTTCAGTTTGAGGCTGAAGACAGGAAATAAATAAATAAATAAATAAAAATTCAGCTCAAGAAGTCAGGCAGGAGTTCCCTCTTACTCCTTGGGGGAGGGGGCAATCTTTCTGTCCTCTTGGGGTTTGCAATTGATTGCATGAAACCCGCTCATATTACAGAGGACAAGCTACTTTATTTAGTATACTGATTTAAATGTTCATCTCGTCCAGAAACGTTCTCACACACATACAAAAATAGGACAGAAAACCGCATGTTCTCACTCATAAGTGGGAGCTGAACAATGAAAACACATGGACACAGGGAGGGGAACAACACACACCGGGGCCTGTTGGGGGATGGGAGACTGGGGGAGGGATAGCATTAGAAGAAATACCTAATGTAAATGACGAGTCAATGGGTGCAGCAAACCGACATGTATATTTATGTAACAAACCTGCACGTTGTTTACATGTACCCCAGAACTTAGAGTATAATAAAAAAATAATAATAATAAAAAATAGTGTTTGACCAAATAAATGTCCGGGCACCCTGTGGCCAGTAAAGTTTACCAATAAAGTTAGCCATCACAACAAGTGAAATATAAATGTGTTTATGTTTCGTGTGTTATAATTCATAACTTTATTTATTATGAAGACTTACCTTCCCAGGTTTTCTCAGTGGGAGATTTGTCAAACTTGTTCTTGTGTATTTGAACTTTAATCTTCCTTTTTGATTGATTGTAATAGTTTCTGGCACAATAAGATATTCCAGAATTATTTCATACTTGTCCTGGAATACATCATTTATCCAAGTACTTAGGTTTTACTTTTAATGGGGAACAGCATTTAGAAACCAAGTTATAGTGGCAAGGTGTGCTTATTGTCACCGGAGTTTCTTTGTTTCCATATCCTTTTACGGTGCAGAAGTAGAAATTATACCGTGTGTGTGTATTGTAAGACTGAGCAAATGAGTAAATACAGTGATATTGGGAGTCAGGGTTCCAATTTTGGGAGAAAAGTTAAATACAGAATAGAGAAAAATAACGTATTGTATTGAACTGGCATTAAATATATCAGCCTAAAATTATTTTTCTCATTTGAAATTTTTTTTCTGTAAAGACTTTAACTTTTGAACTCATCTCAGTTTTCTCAATTAATAGATTATTGCTTTCACTTCCATTGAAAAAAATGAAATTTTTCTAAGTATTTTTAATAACTTTATTTTCATAACATTTTGAACAACAGATTTTGTAGTCATTAGAAAATATTGCATCCTCTTTCTCCCATCTGGAGGCAGATAAAATGCACAACAGCATTTGAAAGCTAAAAAGTCTGACAATAAAGGAACATGTCTAACCAATTTTCCCAAACTATTTTTATCACAGAATACTTTTCTCCTTTTGCAAAGAGGAAGTCCAATCAAACTGGTATGACACAGAATACATTCTGAGAAATGCTCTTCTAGCTTATTTCTGTAGAGATATGTTTTCACATTTGTCAATGTGGCCCTTAAGCAGAAGGAGCAAAGCTAAAGGGAACATACACTTTTCATACATGCAAACTGTACACAAATTTTTATGCTGCCTTGAATGAAAAGGCATCCAAGGATGAGTTTTTCTGGAATGATCCAAAGGAGATTTGAGTCAAGATATGTTAATGATGCTCTTCACTGTCTTGAGCTTATAGCATGTACATGATGGTCCCATATACATTAGGCAATCCTAGTGTCTGGTTTAGTAATCATTTCAATAGAGCCTCTCATTTTAAAACCAAATGTAGGGTCAAATAAATTGTTTCCTCCTTAGTCCTGAAGCATTTGTCTTTCATTATGTAACAGCAATGATTTCAGTATATGAACACTTGGACTTACAGTGTGACAAACATTACTATATGCCTAGAGCTGCATTCACCATACATACACCTCTGTTGCCGAAAAAATTGCTTCATGCTTACATCAATCAGGAGTTGTTTCAGAGGTAGAAATTAAAGTTAGTAGTCATGTGTCACTTAACCAAGGGAACACCTTCTGAGAAATGCATCATTATGCAATTTCATCCTTGTGTGAACATTGTAGAGTGTACTTACACAAACCTCAATGATATAGGCTACTCCACTATATAGCTTCAGTATAATCTTATGAGAACATGGACAAGTAGTCGTCCTTGGCGAAAATGTCCTTATGCAGTGCATGACCATAATATAATTATTGTTAAAGGCCATGCTCACTATTGTGTTATACAAATTAAAATTCACAGAAACCCTTTGTATATTTTAGATAGACATATTATTTATTTTGTGAAATAGGAAAGATAAGTCCAAGCCAATGTTTCTTAAAACTATATAATATTTTTAATAAATGAGAGGATACACAATTTAAGTGATTTAATCTGTTTTACGGTTTTGTTTGTCTCCTGGTTTTAAATAAATACTTTTGAACCACATTAAAAGCTGCATAAACCATTATCTCAAATTTCTCTCAGCACTCAATAAGCACAAAAACTTAACACAATTCTCAAATATATGTACCTTTGTATTATATCTGGTACTGCATTTATTTAATACAGATGGCACTGCATTTTCAGTTTTTGTTTTCAAAGTGCGTATTCACTCTGAAAATACTCAGCCCTTACTATTTGCTATATACAATATATGTTAGATGTTTAGAATACCAGATACATGGGCCTGGTCATCAAGATTGCTTATAGTATAAAAGGAAATTGGGCATGTAATGAAATGTTACAGCAGCCATAAGAGGAAGAAGAATAAATTATTGTAGGAATATAGAGATTAGTGTCATCTATAATATTTGGAAAAACTTATGATTTTCTGAATTTTCATTAACAATTTCATATTAAACCATATAAGCTAAAATTCTATGAAGATAGGTGCAGAGTATATTCTAAAATTTAGGAAAACACTAATACGTAAATTAGAAAATTTTAAACATGAAAATATTGAATTTCCATATATGAGCTTCAGAATGTTGGCAAAAAAGATGTCCCTCCTCGGTAATGGGTGACAGATGTCCTGGAAGGAACCTCACTCAATATCGTGAGTATTGGTACGTAACACTTCTTTCATGCATTTTTAGTTCTAGTTCAAGGACAGGATTTAAAGAATACCATAGACTTCCAGCAGAGTGGCTTTAGCAGTAACATGAGGTTGTTGGATTATTCAATTCTTAAAGGACCTTTGAAGTTTATGATTCATATATATCTCTATATCGATCCATATCATCTCTATATCTATGTAATCATAACACCAATAAATATAAACAGGGCGGAATGCAGATGGCTGGCAAGATGGCTGAATAGGAACAGCTCTGGTCTGCAGCTCCCAGTGAGATCAATGCAGAAGGCAGGTGATTTCTGCATTTCCAACTGAGGTACCCGGCTCATGTCACTGGGACTTGTTAGATAGTGGGTGCGGCCCGTGGAGGGTGAGGCAAAGCAGGATGGGGACTCGCCTCGACCTGGGAAGCACAAGGAGTCAGGGAACTGTCTCTCCCTAGCCAAGGGAAGCCCTGAAGGACTGTGCCACGAGGAGTGGTGCACTCCAGCCCAGATACTATGCTTTTCCCATAGTTTTTGCAATCTGTAGACCAGAAGATTCCCTCAGTTTCCTGCACCACCAGGCCCTGGGTTTCAAGCACAAAACTGGGCAGCCATTTGGGTAGACACTGAGCTAAGCGTGGCACCTGGAATGCCATTGATAAACAACCATTCACTCCCCTGGAAAGAGGGATGAAACCAGGGAGCCAAGTGGTCTAGCTCAGCAGATCCCACCCCCATGGAGCGCAGCAAGCTGAGATCCACTGGCTTGAAATCCTCATGGCCAGCACAGCAGTTTGAAGTCGACATGGGATGCTTGAGCTTGGTGGGGGGAGAGGGGTCCACCATTACTGAGGCTTGAGTAGGTGATTTTCCCCTCACAGTATAAACAAGGCCACAGGGAAGTTTGAACTGGGCAGAGCCCATCGCAGCTCAGCAAAGCCACTGTAGCCAGACTGCCTCTCTAGATTCCTCCTCTCTGGGCAGGGCATCTCTGAAAGAAAGGCAGCAGCCCCAGTCAGGGGCTTATAAATAAAACTCCCATCTCCCTGGGACAGACAACCTGGGGGAAGGGGCGGCTGTGGGTGAAGCTTCAGCAGACTTAAATGTTCCTGCCTGCTCGCTCTGAAGAGAGCAGCAGGTCTCCCAGCACAGTGCTGGAGCTCTGAAATGGGACAGACTGTCTTCTCAAGTGGGTCCCTGACCCCTGTGCTTCCTGACTGGGAGACACTTCATACAGACACATCATACAGGAGAACTCCGGCTGGCATCTGGAGGGTGTGCCTCTGGGATGAACCTTCCAGAGGAAGAAACCAGCAGCAATCTTAGCTGTTCTGCAGCTTCTGCTGGTGAAACCCAAACAAACAGGGTCTGGAGTGGACCTCCAGCAAACTCCAGCAGACCTTCAGCAGGGGGGCCTGACTGTTAGAAGGAAAACTAACAAACAGAAAGGAGTAGCATCATCATCAACAAAAAGATGTCCACACAAAAACCCCATCCGAAGGTCACCAACATCAAAGACCAAAGGCAGATAAATCCAGGAAGATGAGGAAATACCAGCATAAGAAGAAAATTCCAAAAACCAGAACACCTCTTCTCTCCAAAGGAACACAACTCCTCACCATCAAGGGAACAAAACTGGACAGAGAATGAGTTTGACAAATTGACAGAAGTAGGCTTCAGAAGGTGGGTGATAACAAACTCCTCCAAGCTAAAGGAGCATGCTCTAACCCAATGCAAGGAAGCTAAGAACCTTGAAAAAAGGTTAGACAAATTGCTAACTAGAAAAACCAGTTTAGAGAAGATCATAAATGACCTGATGGAGCTGAAAAACATAGCATGAGAACTTCCTGAAGCATACACAAGTATCAATAGCCGAATTGATTAAGTTGAATAAAGGATATCAGAGATTGAAGATCAACTTAATGCAATAAAGTGTGAAGACAAGATTAGAGAAAAAGGAATGAAAAGATACAAACAAAGCCTCCAAGAAATATGGGACTATGTGAAAAGACCAAACCTATGTTTGATTGTACCTGAAAGTGACGGAGAGAATGGAACCAAGTTGGAAAACACGCTTCAGGATATTATCCAGGAGCATTTCCCCAACCTAGCAAGACAGGCCAACATTCAAATTCAAGAAAAACAGAGAACACCACAAAGAAGTCCATGAGAATAGCAACCCCAAGACACATAATCATCAGATTCACTAAGGCTGAAATGAAGGAAAAAATGTTAAAGGCAGCCAGAGAGAAAGATCAGGTTACCCACAAAGGGAAGCACATCAGACTAACAGCAGATATCTCTTCAGGAACCCTACAAGCCAGAAGAGAGAGGGGGCCACTATTCAACATTTTTAAAGAAAAGAATTTTCAACCCAAAATTTCTAATCCAGCTAAACAAAGTCCTTTACAGGCAAGCAAATGCTGAGAGATTTTGTCACCACCAGGCCTGCCTTACAAGAGCTCCTGAAGGAAGCACTAAATAGGGAAAGGAAAAGCCCATACTAGCCACTGCAAAAACATATCTAACTGTAAAGACCATTGACATTATGAAGAAACTGCCTAAACTAATGGGCAAAATAACCAGCCAGCATCATAATGACAGGATCAAATTCACACATAACAATATTAACCTTAAATGTAAATGGGCTAAATGCCCCAATTAAAAGATATAGACTGGCAAATTGGATAAAAAGTTAAGACCCATTAGTGTGCTATAGTCACAAGACCCATCTCACGTGCGAAGACACACATAGGCTCAGAATAAAGGGATGGTACCAAGCAAATGGAAAGCAAAAAAAAAAAAAAAAAAAAAAAAAAATTCAGGAGTTGCAATCCTAGTCTCTGATAAAACAGACTTTAAACCAACAAAGATCAAAAAAGACAAAGAAGGGCATTACATAATGGTAAAGTGATCAATGCAATAAGAAGAGCTAACTATCTTAAATATAAATGCACCCAATACAAGAGCACCCAGATTCATAAAGCAAGTCCTTAGAGACCTGTCAATATTAGACAGATCGACGGGACAGAAAATTAACAAGGATATTCAGGACTTCTTTAACTCAGCTCTGGACCAAGTGGACCTAACAGACATCTACAGAACTCTCCACCCCAAATAAACAGAATATACATTCTTCTCAGCACCACATCGCATTTATTCTAAACTGACCACATAAGTGGTCAAAACACTCCTCAGCAAATGCAAAAGAATGGAAATCATAACAAACATTCTCTTAGACCACAGTGCAATCAAATTAGAATTCAGGATTAAGAAACTCACTCAAAACCACACAACTACATGGAAACTGAACAACCTGCTCCTGAATGACTGCTAGGTAAATAACGAAATTAAGGCAGAGATAAATAAGTTCTATGAAACTACCGAAAACAAAGACACAATGTACCAGAATCTCTGGGACACAGTTAAAGCAATGTTTAGAGAGAAATTTATAGCACTAAATCCCCACAGAAGAAAGCAGGAAAGATTGAAAATCAACACCCTAACATCACAATTAAAAGAGAAGCAAGAGCAAACAAATTCAAAAGCTAGCAGAATTCAAGAAATAACTAAGATCAGAGCAGAACTGAAGGAGACAGAGACACGAAAAATCCTTCAAAAAATCAATGAACCCAGGAGCTGGTTTTTTGAAAAGATTAACAAAATAGATAGTCCGCTAGCCAGACTAATAAAGATGAAAAGAGAGAAGAATAAAATAGACACAATAAAAAATGATAAAGGGGATATCACCAACGATCGCACAGAAATACAAAGTGCCATCAGAGAATACTATAAACACTTCTACCCAAATAAACTAAAAAATCTAGAAGAAATGTATGAATTCCTAGACACATATACCCTCTTAAGACTAAACCAGGAAGAAGTCGAATCCCTGAATAGACCAATAAAAAGTTTTGAAATTGAGGCAGTAATTAATAGCCTACCAACCAAATAAAGCCCAGGACCAGACAGATTCACAGCCAAATTACACCAGAGGTACAAAGAGCAGTTGGTACCATTCCTTCTGAAACTATTCCAAACAATTGAACAAGAGGGACTCCTTCCTAACTCATTTTAAGAGGCCAGCGTCATCCTGTTACCAAAACCTGGCAGAGACACAACAAAAAAAGAAAATTTCAGGCCAATATCCCTGATGAACATGGATTTGAAAACCCTAAAAAAAATACTGGTGAACTGAATCCAGCAGCACATCAAAAAGCTTATCCAACACAATCAAGTTAGCTTCATCCCTGGGATGCAAGACTGGTTCAGCATAATACAAATAAATAGATATAATCCCTCACATAAACAGAACCAATGACAAAAACAACATGATTATCTCAATAGATGCAGAAAAGGCCTTCAGTAAAATTCAACACCCCGTCATGCTAAAAACTCTCAATAAACTAGGTATTGATGGAATGTATCTCAAGATAATAAGAGCTATTTATGAAAAAATGGAATGTATCTCAAGATAATAAGAGCTATTTATGAAAAAACCCACAGCCAATATCATATTGAATGGGCAAAAACTGAAAGCATTCTTTTTGAAAGTCAGCACAAGACAAGGATGCCCCCTCTCACCACTCCAATTCAACATAGTTTTGAAAGTTCTGGCCAGGGTACTAAGTCAGGAGAAAGAAATAAAGAGTATTCAAATAAGAAGAGAGGAAGTAAAATTGTCTCTGTTTTCAGACGACATGATTGTATATTTAGAGACTCCCATCATCTCAGCCCAAAATCTCCTTAAGCTGATAAGCAACTTCAGTAAAGTCTCAGGATAAAAAAATATGTGTGCAAAAATCACAAGCATTCCTATACACCAATAATAGACAAACAGAAGACTAAATCCTGAGTGAAGTCCCATTCACAATCGCTACAAAGAGAATAAAATACCTAGGAATACATCTTACAAGAGATATGAAGGACTTATTCAAGGAGAACTACAAACCACTGCTCAAGGAAATAAGAGACGACACAAACAAATGGAAAAACATTGCATGCTCATGGATAGGAAGAATCAGTATCGTGAAAATAGCCATACTGCCCAAAGTAATTTATAGATTCAATGTTATCCTGATCAAGCTACCATTGACTTTCTTCACAGAATTAGAAAAAAACTACTTTAAATTTCATATGGAACCAAAAAAGAGCCCATATAGCCAAGACAGTCTTAAGCAAAAAGAACAAAGCTGGAGGCATCACGCTACCTGGCTTCAAACTATACTACAAGCCTACAGTAACCAAAACAGCATGTACTGATACCAAAACAGATATATTGACCAACGGAACAGAACAGAGGCCTCAGAAATGACACCACACATCTACAACCATCTGATCTTTGACAAACCTGACAAAAATAAGCAATGCGGAAAGGATTCCCTACTTAAAAAATGGTGTTGGGAAAACTGGCTAGCCATATGCAGAAAACTGAAAATTGACCCTTTCCTTACACCTTATGCAAAAATTAACTCAGGATGGATTGAAGACTTAAACATAAGACCTAAAACCATAAAAATCCTAGAAGAAAACCTTGCCATTTCCATTCAGGATATAGGCATGGGCAGACTTCATGACTAAAACACCAAAAACAATGGCGACAAAAGGCAAAATTGACAAATGGGATCTAATTAAACTAAAGAGCTTCTGCACAGCAAAAGAAATGATCATCAGAGTCAACAGGCAACCTACAGAATGGGAGAAAATTTTTGCAGTCTATCCATCTGACAAAGGGCTAATATCCAGAGTCTACAAATAACTTAAACAAGTTTACAAGAAAAAAACAAACAACCCCTTCAAAAAGTGGCCAAAGGATATGAACAGACACTTCACAAAAGAAGACATTTATGCAGCCAACAAACAGATGAAAAAAAGCTCATCATCACTGGTTATTAGAGAAATGCAAATAAAAACCACAATGGGATACCATCTCACGCCAGTTAGAATGGTGATCATTAAAAAGTCATGAAAAAACAGGTGCTGGGGAGGATGTGGAGAACTAGAAATGCTTTTACACTTTTGGTGGGAGTGTAAATTAGTTCAACCATTGTGGAAGACAGTGTGGCAATTCCTCAAGGATCTAAAACCATAAATACCATTTGACCTAGCAATCCCATTACTGGGTATAGACCAAAAGGATTATAAATTATTCTACTATAAAGACACATGCACACGTATGTTTATTGCAGCACTGTTAACAATAGCAAAGACTTTGAACCAACACAAATGCCCATCAATGATAAACTGTGTAAAGAAAATGTGGCACATATATACCATGGAATACTATGCAGCCATAAAAAGGATGAGCTCATGTCCTTTGCAGAGACATGGATGAAGCTGGAAACTATCATTTTCAGCAAACTAACACAGGAACAGAAAACCAAACACTGCATGTTCTCACTCATAAGTGGGAGTTGAACAGTGAGAACAAATGGACACAGGGAGGGGAAGATCACACACCAGGGCCTGTTAGGGGGTGGGGGGCTATGGGAGGGATAGCATTAGGAGAAATACCTAATGTAGATGATGGGTTGATGGGTGCAGCAAACCGCCATGGCACGTGTATACTTATGTAACAAACCTGCACATTCTGCACATGTATCCCAGAACTTAAAGTATAACTTAAAAAAAAAAAAGAAGTGTGTCCATGCAGGGTGTGGGCCAGCTCCAGTGGATCATTGGAATGGAGAAATTTTGACAACCAGGTGGAAACAAAATATATTGGCCTTTGTTGAGAAAGAACAAATACAGCAGGGCAGAGTTGGGGGAGGGCTATACATAAACGAGAAGGTCAAGTGGGGAGTCTAAGGTAGTTCTGTCTACATTACCAATAAAAAAGACAGAAACTTGAATATTCTTTCAGATATTATTAAAAATCTTTGCTCTGATTTTCATGCGGCAACGCAGGAGAACCAAACACCTACCCTTACAACTTCTTTCTTTGTTAAACTGTACACATGCAGAGCAAAGAGCTGAAAGTCAACCTTGAAGAAGCCACCCTCTCCAGACAGGGCAAGAGGTCCCTCTTTTTTCTTTGATGAAGGGTTCCTGGGTGAAGGGAAAAACATCCCACATATGTGAATGAAATCCCATTGGTATGAAATTTGTGCAAGAAACTGGAAGGAGGCAGTTTTCATGTGGTTTGGGGTTTACTGATGAAAATTTCACACTGTTCTAGTTTGTTCCTTTCCCCTAGGAATCTTCATAAGTATGCCTGTGTAAAGCAGTTCTGAGCAGACATTTCAGTTTATTTGCTTTCCTTTCTTTCTCCTGTGGCTGCTTTTAATCTTTCTCTTTCAAATTCATGCAGCCTGGTCCCTCATAGCTGTGTTAAGTTAAATTTTTATTGCATTACTCTCAATGACCATGGTAGAAATGGGATGACCCCTTTCATTATATCACATCAGCTAAACACTCAGGGGTGAAATTTTCTATCAGAAAGCTTACTTGTGTCCATCTAGCTCAACATCATTAATTGCTTGAAGATCAAAGTGAGGATCAAAGAGGATGAGTGAGATTGACTTGTCTACTTCAACTAACCCTAGTGAATTGAAGCTGCCACTATCTCTTCCCTTGTTTACTATGACATCTACCAAATGGGTATCATTGCCTTTAGATTTGTCTTTTTCAGCAAACTCTCCACATTGATGAATGAGTACTCATTAAAAAATGTACTCTTCATGCTGTAAAATCTCCAAATGGTTTCCCATTGCAGAAACAACAACAACAACAACAACAACAACAACAACAACAACAACAAAAACTCCTTATTTTCCATGACAAGACTGTGACTGATCTGGCCACTTAGGATTATCCAGCTTGAACTCTTCTTATCTCTCCTTCTCAAGTGCTATCCTCCAGCTCCACTGACCTCACCATGTTCTTGCATGCCTCTGGGCTTTGACAAGTACTGATCTCTTGATTTTTATGGAAGACCTCCTTCCCTGGAAATCTAACTCTTACAGAATGCAGGACAGAACTAAAATGTCACTAATACCTCCTTTATAATGCCTTCGTTCCATGCACCATATTCCCCAAATTCCACTTAGCAATTATAATTGTGCATTGGAAATATTTTAGTGTATATTTGTCCACTAGACTGTGAGCTCCACTGGGGCAGAGTTTTTATATGTTCTAGTTAACTAAACTCTGCAATTAGCGCAGAATCTGAGACACAATGGATTCATAATATCTGTCTATAAAATAAAATCAAAACTGGAAAATTATTTTCCACCTTTCCAGTTTAATGCTCTTTCCATTGTCCCATATATTTTGGTTTACCTATAATTCCAATAATTTAATTGTACAAATTATGTTACATTATCACTTGCCTAAGGCTTTTTCAATCTAAAAGCAAAAATTACAAATTATAAAATGTTATTTTTAGGTCACATAAACATTTTATCTCTCATGATAGATATTGCCAAAAAGATTGCAAAAATGTTTATTACAAATTTATATTCCCTCCAGCATTAGGCAAAAATGCCCTTTTCCGTGTAAACTCCCTGCATAATATATTATTGTATTTTTAATATAGTTGCTACTTTGAAAGGTAAAAGAATTTTTAAAGTTTTTTTTTTTTCATCGTACATTTCTTGAGAGCTTGTTTGGAGGTTCTAGCAAGGGAGCACAAGTAATCATATACCCTTTACTGAAGACTCATCCTCATCTATTGAGGATGGTCGTCTTCTTTGACCCAGCATGCAGCTTTGGGAGGCATGCACAAGGAGTGGTGAGGGAGGAAGGGGACACCTGCCTAGCCAGCCAGATCAGCCATATTTACCCTAGTGATCAATGAGGTGACAGATGTCGCAGCCTGATTGCCCTAACATCCTCATTGTACATTTCTGTGTGTACTCATGAGCCTTACTTTTTTCCATAAACAATATATTTCTTCCTTTTTGAATTAACTATTTATGTCTTTTCTCCATTAATCTATTTTAAGTATTTCAAATAGATTTATGAGAAAAAAATGTAATAAAAATTGTCATATTTATTGCAAATATTTATTTTGTTTTGTTCTTCATATTGACTTTAGACGTTGAGAATCATTTTGAGTACTTTTTGCATATTATTGCTCATCCATGTGCTTTAACTATATTAACATATTTTATCTTCATAACAGCCTCTCTAATTGTATCCTGTTATTATTCTTATTTTAAATATAAGGAATCTAATGAATAGAGATATTAAATACTTAGCAGTAGCAGAGTTAGAATCTTAACCTAAATCTCTGTTGTCAGAGCTTATGCTCTTTGGCAGTATTTCATGCTGTCACTTAGATATTAAGATATTTTAGACATTAAATTAATCATAAAATGTAATTTTTTAAAAATTACTTTACCATTTTTGATATTATTCAGAAAACTTTAAATTTTTTTAAGTAATAAAGTATGATTCTGTCAGTAGAATTTAGATCATTGTACATTAGAATATTAGGTAAATATATGTGTGTGTATATATATATATGTGTGTGTATATATATGTATATATATATACACATACACACGCACACACACATATATTTATGTTACAATTCTGATCGTTCCCTCTTGATCTTGGATGCCATATACTATCAATTTTTAGGATTTCAGATGTCTGACATATTTTAGTTGACTGTAAGAAAGCAAGACTCTTTCATCAGATGTTGGGAATATGAACAAAACAATCTCTTCTCAATTCACTGTGAACTCAAATTTGATATATAGATCTGGCTTAGGTAATGTGAAACTTGATTTTGATTTGTTGAAATTTTATTTTATTTTAATTCTCTCAATAATTGAATTCAAAAAAGTCAACTGTGTTTTTTTAATGCCATTATTCATAAATATTTGGTTTATTATTTCAAAGGGAATATTTGACTTCCTATGAGTTGTCTGAAAAATGATTTGCAAACTTGAGATATCAACTAGTATGTAAACATCAAACAATATGATTTCTTAGAAAATATAGTAGCAGGATGATTTACAATGCACATTAAATAAAAAAGTGAATGCATAAAATAAGCCTTCCAGCCGGAATTTTTTGTACATGGGACTAAGGATCTGTAACGAATGTTGGTTTAAAAGATACTAGAGATTTCCAATTGAAAAGAAAATAAAAGGAAAATAAACCCTAATTAATGAAAATCCTGACCTTACTTTTGTATAAAAGAGCAAATATATTAAAAAATCAACAGGGAAAACCATGTGCCATTTACTTTTCTCTGTCGTATAATGGGACAGGCTTTAGGTTTTGTAAGCAGTGGTAATGTCTACTACAGAAGACGCCAGAAGGAGACTGTTCTGAAATGTTAACCCCAAAGCCCTGATTATTGCTTTCACAGGTAGAGTGAACAGTTAGATTGGCCAGCTTCAAGGAAAACCTATAGGAGGCTCCATTCTTCTACACTCTTACTAATAATGTAATCTCTAATGAATATAGTTTTTATGACATTAAATTTTTGGCCTTGTATTTTATTGTAAAGCTCAGTATTTTCCTTTCTATATCACATGTACCTTAGTATGTGTTAATAATTATATTGACCATAAGTATATATAACATATATTGAGCACTTAACTGCAGGACATTTCTCCAGGTGGCCTTGGACCCACCCAGTTCTCTTCCCTTCCTTGCTGATCATTAGAATGTTTTGGATGGATCCTGAGATAAGGAGAAATTGACCTTAACAGCCTGACTCTGTTCCTTTTCCCCCTAAAAACACAATGTCCTTCAATACTTTAACCAAGAAAACCCATATTGTCTAGGGGTATAGAACTCAGAGTGGGCCGCTTTTTGCTGTCCCTCAGCTTCAGTGCAAGTGGGAGACACACAGATGAAATTCCATCCACCCTGGGCTGCTTTCTTGAGGGTTGGGGAACAGAATCACAATAAACTCTAGGTATCTGTTGTTTCTTGCTGCATAGCTGCAAATAATAAATCCACTTCATGCAGCTTATTGTGCATGGGTATTATGTCTCACTGGACTCAGACAAGTTGGCAATGTGAAGTAAGTTCACTGTGGACTCTGCCCAGTCAATCAGCTTCACATTAGCATGTGCCAAGTTTTATTCTCACAGCAATCCCTAGTACTAGGTGGTGCTACTGTCCTTTAGGAGAGAATTAAGATATGTCCACAACAGTTTCCAGTGATCCCAAGGCTCAGTATTTCAATATAAAAATTGATTGCAATATATTTATTTTCATCATTATTACATAATTATTAGTGAATGCATATTAAATTTACCATACAACAAGTGAACAAATTTTATTACTAAGTCAGATATATGCAATGAAGAAATTTCAAAAGCATTTTTAAAAGTTTTCAGTAATTGCATAGGAAGAGTAAAAGGAGATAATGAGATTGTTAACTGGAAATTGATGCAATCATAGTTTGAGGAACCAGCTGGTCAAGGATCCAGAACACTGCATTCACAGATGTGAAATAAAGGAGCTTTGGTCTGATTTACAGCCACGAAATAAATGCCTAAAGCCATTGATCTGAAAGTGCAACCGCCATAGAAGTCGTTAACTACAAATAGAGGAATGGTGAGACTGAGTCCCACTAAGGTCATAGTAAGGTCCTCCCAACCATGGAGAAGAGGCTGATGAGGGATTAACAAGTTGTTGCAGCTTTCAACAACTTCAGGAAAAAATGAGGACATATTCAAAATGGTATAGCAGAAATCTTATCACACTGTCTTTGCACACTTGGTAGACAAGAGGAAATAGGGAGAAGCTCAATTCAGGCCTGGGGCCTCCATTTATCCATCTCGGATAACAGGTTTAAAACAAACAAAAATCCTAAATGCTGACTCCATTCATTGCATCCAAAGGCATTTAATATGCCAACAGGATCATTTTTATTGACCTGCATACAGAAAGGATCTGCATTTGTCAGGCTTCAGGAATTGGGAAACTTAGCACAGGCATAAGAAACACAGATCATCAAGTATTATGATTATTTTCTTATTGATAAAGTAATGGGCCGGGCGCGGTGGCTCACGCCTGTAATCCCAGCACTTTGGGAGGCCGAGGCGGGTGGATCATGAGGTCAGGAGATCGAGACCATCCTGGCTAACAAGGTGAAACCCCGTCTCTACTAAAAATACAAAAAATTAGCCGGGCGCCTGTAGTCCCAGCTACTCGGGAGGCTGAGGCAGGAGAATGGCGTGAACCCGGGAAGCGGAGCTTGCAGTGAGCCGAGATTGCGCCACTGCAGTCCGTAGTCCGGCCTGGGCGACAGAGCGAGACTCCGTCTCAAAAAAAAAAAAAAAAAAAAAAGTAATGACATTGGATCCTTAGGAAAGGATGAGCTCTTAATTATGCAAAGAAAATTCACCAGTGAAGGAGGGTGAATATCTCTGTGTTTGATATCTGTTCATTAAATTAACAAATAATAATTGAATACTTACTAAGTACCAGGCATGCTTATACATACCAGAATTAAAGCTATCACAAGATAGTAGACATTTAGATTCTAGCAGGGCAACTTTCATTTTCCTCTTCTTTTCCACAAAGCAGAGAAATTATTTATTTTACAGTCAGAAATTCCTCACATATGTATTTTTGTGGTGGGATCGAGTAACACTGAATTTTGATGGAGTCTCTTTTTAAGATTTCCTACAATGTTTTGTGATATTATTCTCTAAACACACAATAAAATGTGAATTTTGCTGTTAATGATTTGTGAAAAAATTGTTTTCTGACTAACTGTGCCAGGTTGTTCTAAAAAAGGCTATTGATGTTAAAATAGCAGATTAGTTTTGTTTAGTTCTCTATTGTAGACAGTTAAGTTCTTTGTGGTTTTCCATTCATGGGATAATTTTAATGTTATCATCAGCCTTTACAAATCATCTTCCTTATTTTATATTATATTTCATTTTTCTGCTTTTTGAAGCAGACACAAACATCACCCTTAAGAGGTTCCCATGTTATATATTAGCATGGAAATATATGAATATTTTAAAAATATATGCAGTATTATTGAGTGTATGTGTATGTTTTAAATGCGTACTAAAATAAATAATAAACATTTCTAAGAATTATTCAGCTATTGATGTGTGCTAGGACCTCTTCTATATGTTTATATTAACTTACTTAACCATTGCAACAGTTTTATGGTATTAGTACTATTACTTTCTCCACTTAGAGATGAGAAAACTGAGACGTAGACAGGTTATGTGAGTTGCCCAAGATCAGACAGCTAGCAGGTCACACTAAAAAATAATCTGGTCCCAGAGTCTGGAGGCTTCAATATGTTTATTGTTTATTCTACATACGTTGTGTCATGCTGCATATGTATTTTCATATCTCAGTTTTTCACTTGATATTACATGTTTTTAATCTGTTCACCTTAGTGTATAAATGTTATTCATTTTTTCAAATTGCTACTGCTGCATACAATTTTATCATACATATTCACAACATTTTACTTACCTATTCTTTGTGTAAGACATACCTAGTTCTCTGAGTGGACTTGTGCTGGGAATTCAACAACCTGAGATTAAGAGGAATTTACCAAGACCGCCAGGAATCTGTTCCTGTCTCTACTAGAACAGAATGTTGTTTAACACTTTAGCCCAGTGCAACATATTCCCCCAGAGTGTAAAACCAAAGCTGACCATGTTCCAGAGTCCCTCAGTTGTAGTTCAAGTGGGGAACATGCAAATGAGACTCCAACCACCCTGGGCAAATTTCCTGAATCTTAGGGGACCAGCCTTGAAGAACAGAATCCTTGGCTTCTGTTGCCTTTTCTGCCTATCTGTAAGTAATAAACCTGCTTAATGTAACTCATGTGTGAGGGTTTTGTCTTACCAGACTTGGATGAGTAGTAAAAGTGCAGCCCAAGGTGCAGTGGACTAAAGTGATAACCAGTGCCCAGTGAACTTTCTTTGCACCTAGATTATTTCCAACTCTCTTCTTCAAACAATCCTGCAGTTATCATTCTGCAAAATTCTGTTTTGAGCTTCTTTGTAGGTTTGGAAGGGGAGTGTAATTGCTGAGTCATGATATATACGAACATTCAGTTTTAGTCTATTTTGTAAAAGAACTCTTCAGAATACCTGCATTTTTTTCCCACATTCATTTGGAGGAATTCATATAGGTTATTATTTTGTCACATAATATTCAACCCTTGATGTTTATCTAATGTATACCAGTTTGACTGTGGTCATAGTTTGCCCTTTTCTAATTACTAGTGGGGTTAATTGTCTTTTTATATAGTTTTACCCATTGGGGTTTCTTTTTCTATAAGTTGACTGTTTATATTTCATGTTCATTTTCTAATTTTTTTTGTTTACATTTTAACATTTTTATTAGTCCCTGGATAAAGTAATAATGTTTTTTCCTCATTGATTTGAAGTAGTTGCTTGGACATTCTAGATATTAATGTAGGCAATTTTAAAAACCACATTATTATTTATTTTTTAAATCAACAGTTTAGTGTTACCTACACTAGTCACAATCACAGTCAAACTGCAATCAGATGTCCTTGATGGAACCACAAAATTTGGTGACATTTTAATAAACAAATTACCAAGACTGAAACAAAAAGAACAATGGCAACAGCAAACTCACAACCCAGTGTCACTGAAAATGGACTAACATATTACCTCAAAAAGTATACTAAGCAAAGCAACCCATTGGAGAAGGCATTGCTATCCTAATTTTAATAATGATAAAAATACAGGGTTGGTAATTAAGGATCAGTAACTTGGGCAAGGTATAACACAGTGGTTCTGAAATCTTCATTTTTATCAGCAGAACAAGTGATTCTGATGGATTTTTGTTGTCAATAAGAAAGACTGATTACCCATCTAAATCCTACATTTGTCAGATTTTGTGACTGATACTCTATGTGCAGAGAGAAAAAATATATATATAAAAGCATGAGTGAGGAATAAATCAATAACTTCTTCACCAGTTTTACCCTTCTCTCTATAAATATAAATGCCCAAGTGATTCTTGGCCCACATAGAAAGAGAAAGGTATGTTGGCAAAATATACCAAAAACAAAATCTTTTTTTAACTCCATAAATGTAGTAAGGCAAAAAGATATTTTAATTATTGAGTGAGCATTAAATCAGAAAATGATGCACAATCACAAGCAATCTTCGAAAAGTTTTCAAAGACAAACAGAAATCTCATTTTATATAGCCAAGCAACGAAACTCATTACATGTTCTTAAGATAAATAATAACTAGTCCTTGAGTAGGAGAACTTGACAACACAATTTGTTACACATAATTTATCTTTAATTCACCCAGTAATTGGGATGATTCACCTGTATTAATTAATTGTCTTTATATAAATACAAAATAAATTTCTCATACTTTTAGGATGGGTCAGTTTTGCAACATGGAGCCAACACAAGTTAGGCACCTATTCACCTACAGAAACTCTGAGAAAGGAGTGCCATATCCTTGGATGTTTACATTTTAATGAGATGATTCTCAGGTCTTTAAGAAAGACACACCTTGGCTATAAAGCTAGCAAAAAGCTATTTTAGCCTTTAAAGGGATTTAAATGAATTTTAAAGGGATGGAAAAAGAATTAATGATTACAAATTTTCCAAAGTAAATTATCTAAGAAAAGCGTGAGATGAAATTTTCTCCTTATCTTTTCTTTAAAAAATTATTTGATTTTAATTAACTTATTATTTTAAATTTTTTATATTATTTTATTTTTAACTGACAAATAATTGTATATATTTATGAGGTACAATGTGATGATGTTTTGATACATGTATACATTGTGGAATGGTCACAAGCTGATTAACAATGCCTAGTTAATCAGGCTAATTAATAACAGGACACATGCTTGTAATTTCTTTGTCGTGAGAACTTTTAAGATGCACTTTTAAAATTGCTTTTAGGAATTTTGCAATGTGCTTATGTATTCTTCACTTTAGTCACCATGTTGTGCAATAGATCACCAGAACTTATTCCTCCTAACTGAAACTTTGTACACTTTGACCAACATCTCCCCTTTCCCTATCTTTCCCTATCATCATCCTCTGATAACCATTTTATTCTCTGCTTCTATGTTTTACATTTTTAGATTCCACATATAGGTGAGGCAATTTGGTATTTGTTTTTCTGTGCCTGGCTCTTTTCACTTAGCATAATGTTCTCTAGAATCATCCATGGCATCGCAAATGACAAGATTTTCTTTATTAGGGTGAATATTATTGTATTTTACATGTACACCACATTTTGAAATTCAGTCATTCATTGATGAGGACTTGAGTTGTTTCCATATCTTGGCTTTTGTGAATAATGTTTCAATGAGTATAACTTTGACCTACTGATTTAAATTTCTTCGGAAATGTATCCAAAAGTAGAATTGCTGGATTATATGTGAATTTTATTAATTTTTTCAAAAATTTCCATACTGTTTTCCAAAATTATGGTATAAGATTACATTCTTACCAACATTATACCAGTACTCCCTTTCCTCCACATCTTTGCCAATGCTTATCTTTCATCTTTTTGATAATAGCCATTCTAACAGGTATAAAGAGATATGGTTTCACGGTTTTAATTTTCATTTCACTCTTGATTAGTGAGGTTGAGTATTTTTTCATATACTTGGTCATTTGTATGTCTTTTTTTTTTTTTTGAAAAAATGTCTATTCAGGTATTTTGCCAACTTTTTAAAACTTTAAAGTTCAGGGGTACATGTGCAGGTTTGTTACCTAGGTAAACTTGTGTCGTGGGAGTTTGTTGTACAGATTATTTCATCAACCCAGTATTAAGCCTAGTATCCACTAGTTATTTTTTCTGATCCTCTCCCTCCTCCCAACCTCCATCCTCTGAAAGGCACCAGTGTGTGTTTCTCTGCTCTATGTGTCCATGTGTTCTCATCATTTAGCTCCCACTTGTAAGTGAGAACATGCGGTATTTGGTTTTCTGTTCCTGTGTTAGTTTGCTAAGGATAATAGCCTCAAGCTCAATCCATGTCTCTGCAAAGGACATGATCTCATTCTTTTTAATGACTGCATAGTATTCCACAGTGTATATGTACCATATTTTCTTTATCCAGTCTATAAATGATGTTTTGCCCATTTTAATAGGATTATTTGTTTCTTGTTAGTGAGTAGTCTGAGTTTCTTATATATTTTCAATATGAGCTTCTTATCTGATGTATGACTCGCAAATATTTCTCCCAATCCGTGCACTGTTTCTTCACTCTGCTGATTGTTTCCTTTGTTGCACAGAAGTTTTGTAACTTGATATAATTAGAAAATTCTCTATTTTTATTCTTACTGCCTATGCTTTTGAGGTCATATCCAAGAAGTCACTGCCCAGACCAATGTTACAGAGATTTTCCCCAATGTTTCCTCTAGAAGTTTTATTGGTTCAGGTCTTATATTTAAATCTTTAATTCATTTTGAGTTGATTCTCACATATAGTATGAGATAAGATTCCAATTTCATTTTTCTGCATGTAAATAGACAGTTTTCCCAATGTCGTTTATTGAGGAGATTGTTATTTTCCTATAGTGTATTCTTGGCACTTTTGTTCAATATCAATTGACCTTAGAAGTGTGGGTTTATTTCTAGGCTCCCTATCCTATCAATTGGTTGATGTGTCTGTTTTTATGTCAGTATTAGTACTGACATAACAAACTGACATAACAGTAAGCTGTTTTGATTACTATAACTTTGTGAAATATTTTGAGATCAGACATGATACCTCCAGCTCTGTTCTTTTTGCTCAAGGTTACTTTGGCTATTCAAGGTTTTTTCTGGTTCCATGCTCATTTTAGGATTGTTTTTCTATTTCCATGAAAAATAACATGGCAATTTTAGTAAAGATTGCACTGAATATATATATTGCTTTGGTTTAAATGGATGACATTTTCCTTTCAGTTTGTCTTTTTCCTTACAGATATTAGTATATTCTGTAGTTAATGCTCACGGATACTCTACAACGTGTTGAGTGTATTTTGTTCATTGGTAATTAGGCTAACAATAAATATACTAGGGTCAAACAAAATGTATGCATTGATAAAATGCTTTATATGCATTAAAACTATTTCTTTTTATCACAATTTATAAAAGCCGTATTATTATCCCCTTTCACAGATGAGGAAATTGAAGCACAGAGCTAAAATAATGATAGTCTGGTTCTAAAGTCTAGACAATTAGTCACTGTAATACCTGGAATCTTTTATCTATAATTTTATCTGTTTCTCTCTGTCCTCTCTTCCCAATATCTCCCACTTCTCCTCAAGAAAACGTTGATAATGCTTTTAGTTGTGAAAAACACTAGTAGATAGTTTACTTCCAGACACAAAACAAACTGAATTTTCTGAAGAAATCAGACAGCTCTGACAGCAAGTGACTGCTTTGAATGTTTATAGTTTATGTCTAGTTAATTCCTGCTCAGTAAAACAAAAAAATCATAAAATCTAAAACAGGAGATGAAGCCATATTTCCTCATAGTCCTTGTTCTTTCTCATTACGAAGGCTATAGGACAGCCTCAAAAACTCTGAAATGTATTTCTATTAAAATGGAAATTTTGGTATAAAACAATCATATCTATGAACATACAGCTACCAAAGCAAAGCTCTAGGCTGCCAAATATATTTTTCCTTATTAAATCTCCAAGGAGTATAAATTAAGTGTCAGTATTAAGCTAAACACTGAGAATTGTAGAGGAGGATAAGGTCATGGCCATCAGATATTTACATACTAATAGGAAAGGTGGACCTATTAACATTCCAAACATTGTTACAGTTACAAAACCTCTTTTGCATTCATTATCTCATTTGATCTTCACTGCAACTAGTGAAGGAGGTCTTATTTAAACTCTCACTTTGCAGATAAGAAAATTGAGGCTTAGAAAGGTTAATTAATTTGTCCAAATGTACACTCTAAATGAGATTCTGAACTAAGAATTTTCTTTGAAAATTTATGCTCATTCTACCCTACAAAGCTGCTAATTCACTAATACTACCATTTAAAATATAAAACTAATATTTTTATTATTAACCAATTAGGCAATATTTTACTGAAAAGTGTTTTGATTGATTTCCAAAATGTAATTTGAAGCATGTAATGCACATTTCTTGTTTTGTGCTACACAGCACTCGTTTTATTCATATTCTGGTGGAATGCATCCTGGTTTTCCTTAGCGTGAGACCTCTAGCTACCCCTTTCCGTTAGCGTTTATAGCAAACATCGTTAGTGAGCTGCCCAAATGCTTTGATCCTTTTAGTTTTCTGTGTGCTGCCTGCCCAGCTTCTATGTGAAATTGCTTCCACTGGCCAAACCTCAGAAACCTGGAGCCACTTTGCTCTCATGCACGAAAAGTCTGGAGCTTATGTTTATGTATGGCCAGTAATTTATAAGTGTAAGAAAAAATTACACCGCAGATTTCTCTGTAGGAAAAGGTTGGAAACATCTTTTTCTGCACTCAGCTGAAATCATACCCTTACTTGGTTTCTTCTTTTCTGTCCTCCTGTCTGGTTTGTGCCTTAATCACTTACACAGTGACCATTTTTCTCAATATCTATTTCTGGGTAACCTAACCCAAGACAGGAGTGGATCATGTGACCTGGCCCTAAGCCCATTGGTAACTCATATTCTTCTCTCAGAAGTTTGTGTTTAGGATTGGTATTAAATTTAAACCAATAATAAACAATCAGATTTTCCTGGGAATCCTGCTGAAGAGAATATTGTCCTTTCATAGGGAATCAAAGCTAAGAGAATGTAAAGTCTTGACATCCTGCAGCTAGATTTTTTCAGCCTGTCATAGGGGAGCACCAAAGACTAAAGAAGAGTCAAGATGAGCCAGTACGTGGGAGGAAAACAGATGCTAAGCATATCATTTATGCCTGTACATCAAGCTATGCCTGAAGGCAGCCCAACTTCTGGACTTCTCAGTTAAAAGAGCAAAAACAATTCTCTTTTTGCTTGTGCCAGTGTATTAATTAGTGCATTCTCACACTGCTATAAAGAAATACCCAAGACTGGGTAATTTATTTTAAAAAAAGTGGTTTAATTGACTCACAGTTCCACATAGCTGGGAGGCCTCAGGAAATTTACAATCATGGCAGAAGAGAAAGCTGGCATGTCTTACATGGCGGTAGATGAGAGAGAGAGAGGGAGACAGAGAGAGAGAGAGGAGAGAGAGAGAGAGAGAGAAGGGGGAAGAGCTCTTTATAAAACCATAAGGTCTTGTGAGAACTCACTCACTATTATGAGAACAGCATGGGGGAAACCACCCTCATGATCCAGTTACCTCCCTCCCTCAACATGTGGGGATTACACTTAGAGATGAGATTTGAGTGGGGACACAGCCAAACCTTATCAGCCAGGTTAATTCAAATTCTCTGAAGAGTAAAGAATGACTGCTGATTCATAGAGGGAACAGATTCATGTTTCAATTGAGATAAAGTAAGAAGTGTTAAGTCCTCTTTTTCTTAGCAATAACAAGTATCTTGAAACCATTCAATTGTCTGAAAGACATACTCTGGAAAAATTAAATTTAACAAGAGTTTAACTGAGCAAAAAACGATTCGAGAATCTGGCAGCCCCCGAACCACAATAGGTTCAGAGTGATTCAGGGGCTGACACATGGTGGGTTAATATTGTCAACTAAAAAAAAAAAAATCAAACTTTTAAAGCATTAAAGTTAGTTTCATTTAGAAGTCTTACGGAGGACTATAAACTGAGGCTTATAGCAGGGGAGCAGTTTAGTAATACTGCTGCAAAACAGTGTTTCAGCTCACAGCTTATATACAGGTGGTAGAAGTTCAGAACATGCAAAATGACATGAAATTTTCTCAAAAGTTATGTTAAAGCAGAATTACATCAAGATTTCCATGTAAGAATACATCTGGTTTTAGACTACAGAGGCATAATCACTAACCTCATCAGAAGTTATCTTATGTGCAAGAAAAGGCAAACACTAGAGTCACTTATCCTTTAAGAAATGTAGTGACTCAGGCAAGAGCTATGGGGACCATGTATTCTATCCTGTTCTGTCTTCAAACATCTTTCAGGAAAGCTGCACGTGGTCACAGAGTCAGGGGCTTTGTGAAATTATGCTAGCAAGCAGAAATGAGGAAACATGGTGTCTTATATTTGCTACTTTGTCTCACAATATTTATGAACAGAAAAGGGAAAGCGATGTACAAAAAACTGACCTGAGTTCACCCAGAAACAGCTGGATTTGTTACAGCTCTGTGTTTGCTTTATTTGAAGAGTTGACCTTCAGTGATTGGTCAAGACTCAACCTCTCAATTTGACCAAAACCTTAAACATTGACATCAAAGATGAAAGCAGAGGGCACTTCCTTATTATGCTGGAATCTCCTGTTTTCAGACAGAAGAAACAAAAACAAAAACTGGTCTGTCTTGGGATCTATCTGGTTCTTTAAAGTCTCAGTTTGGTTGCATGGCATGTAGCATGATTGACTCCATTTTGGCTTGGTCTGGTCTGCTGAGGATTGGTGCACACACTCAGTCAAAGACAACAGCCTTCCATAATTTTGATTAATTCCCCTCTTTTGGTCAGGTTGTCACCTAGGTAAGAGTGTGACTAAAACTTAGAGCTTTAGCACTACACTCAGTTACCATCATTTTGGGTTTCCAGTTTCAGCATGTCATTCATAGGTTACAGTGTCCTAATTATCACAAATTTCTTGAGTTTTTGCCATTCCAGTTAAGGAGAGACCATTTGACATTCTATGGATGGCTGCATGGAAATGTTTAAAACTTTTGAGACAATAAAGCCCACGTGGGAGACTATTATTATGACTCTCAGGAGGATAATACCAAGAGTTTAGAATACACTCCTTAGCCAAGGTCCCCATGAAGCAAATCAACTAAAATTAAATAGATCAAAGAATAATCCAGAGGAAGAGTTTACTTGTTTTAACCAAGCAGCCTGTTTGATAATCTCCTGAAATTGAAACTCTGTAATACCCAGTGTATTCTTCCATGTGCAACAAGAAGTGTCAGTAATTGCACAGATTCTTCCCTACTCAGCCAGTAGGTAATCTAGAGCAATTTTATGATCTAGTACAACTTTAGCAAGGAAATTTAAAGAAGTCTGTTGTGCAACCATTGCCTTTGCAGTAGGATCTTCAATAGAGCTTATTATGAGGGACAAACTTCTAATTATTGTCTCCTTTACTCCAAATCATGGAAAAAGGGACCTAACAATGATGTGCATTCAGTAAGTTGAAGGTCCCCATTAATATTTTCATTAACCTATGATGTAATGCAAATAATTCCAAAGATTGTATATTCTCACAGATAGTAATATTGCTATTATTATTATTAATTAGAAGTAATGTATTGCTGAGTGTGGGTTATGAAATTACATGGCTCCTGAAGTCATATACATGTTTTCACAGATTCTAGCCAACTAGCTGTCTGATTTTGGAAAAAATAATTTTTTTGAGACTGAATTGCCTTATGCATAAGATGAGAATTATGATGGTATTTATAGTGTTATGTTGTCTGAGGAATAATGGTGACAATACATGTTCAAATTTTCAGCACAATGCTGTCCATGTAGTAAGAATGTAATGTTAGCAATTTTCATTGTTTCTAAGGGTGAACTAATTTATTCACATTTGTTACATATGCTGCTTAAAAAAAAATTGTTTTTCACAGAAATTATCTCTTAAAGTTAGTATATAAAAAGCTCACATAGCTAAAGGTAAAATATTTCATTTTATCCCATATCTTTAAAAAGGCTCTCAATGCAATATGCACAGTAGTCAAATTAAGAAAAATGTGTGATAGGCTTTCAGGCGGTGCATAAGAAGTGTTTACTGAGTTAATGTGCGCCTCTTCCTTGAGAAGTTGTGCTTATATAACATAAAAAAGTAAAGATTTAATTTTAAACAAGCAACTATTTCATTCATTTATGACATCTTTGAATAAAAGCTTTAATCAACTTTTAATGAATATTTTTACTTCTTTTTATTGATTAATGTATTAAGATTAAAATTGTACAAATATCATAACTAAACATAATAACTAACCATAATATCATAATAACTAAACATAATAACTAAACATAATATAATAACTAAACATAATAGCATTGTAAAGTTTTAAAAATTATGAAACAGTTTCAAATATATTAGCACATTTAGCTCAAAATATCAGTATGGCTGAGAGACTGTATTATTATTCCCATTCACAAACTAATAAACTCAGGTTTATAGAAATAAGATAAATTAAAAGAAGTTATAGAGTTGAGCTAATGAGCCTGTCACTGGCCCCAGATCTCATTGTTTGTAGAATAAGTTTTGCCATTTTGAAACAATCTTGTGCTCTGTGGTAAAATCTTACTTATGGGAAATTTGGGGATTAAACCTTTGAGACGCAAGTGCAGGGTAGCTCTGCATGATCGAAATTCAAAAAACCCTGTCATATAACATGTCTAGATGAGAGCCAAAGGCAATGCTTTTTTTTTTTTTTTTTTTTTTTTTTTTGAGTCAGAGTCTTGTTCAGTGTCCCAGGCTGGAGTGCAGAGGCGTGATCTCAGCTCACTGCAAGCTACGCCTCCCGGGTTCATGCCATTCTCCTCCTGCCTCAGCCTCCCGAGTAGCTGGGAATACAGGTGCCCGCCACCACGCCCGGCTAATTATTTTGTATTTTCAGTAGAAACAGGGTTTCACCGTGTTAGCCAGAATGATCTCGATCTTCTCACCTCGTGATCTGCCCACCTCAGCCTCCCAAAGTGCTGGGATTACAGGAGTGAGCCACCACAGCCGGCCAGGCAATGCTTTCATTTTGAGAAAGTATGACATAAAAAACCCCGCCCTTCCTAGTGCTCTTCTGAGGCAATCACTAAATTGGTGTGAATCAGGCAGAATTTTGTCAGTTATTTTATCTGAGAAAATTTGATATCAAAAATCATAACCAGAAATTGAATTTAAAAAAGCGTAAAGTTTTAAAGAGGCAAAAATGAAGCATTAAGGTAGTGGTTATCAAAGTGTCATCTATAGACAGCTGAGAATCACCAAGACTATTTCATGAGGTCTGCAAGGTTAAAAAAGTTGTAAGAAATTAAGGTATGGTTTGTCTTTTTACTTTACTATCATCCTTCTATGAGTAAAGTTTTCCTAGAAAATATGTCATGTGTGATGACATCACTGGACTGATGATTAGGGGAATAGTTCCTTATTCATTGTTTTTTCTAGACTTTTCTAGACTTGGTTAAAATAAATACACATTTAGGGCCGGGCGCGGTGGCTCACGCCTCTAATCCCAGCACTTTGGGAGGTCGAGGTGGGCGGATCACGAGGTCAGGAGAGCGAGACCATCCTGGCTAACTTAGTGAAACCCCGTCTCTACTAAAAATACAAAATATTAGCCAGGCGTGGTGGCGGGCGCCTATAGCCCCAGCTACGAAGGAGGCTGGGGCAGGAGAATGGCGTGAACCCGGGAGGCGGAGCTTGTAGTGAGCAGAGATCGCGCCACTGCACTCCAGCCTGGGCGACAGAGACTCCATTTAAAAAAAGAAAAGAGAAAAACATATTCAGGTATTACCTCAGTTTGTACTGTGTTCTTACAAAGCTATCTTTGGTTATACTGGCCATATTCTCTGCAATTTCATTATTGTCCAACAAATAGTTATTTTGAAATCCCTGAATTTTTTTTCTTTTCTTTTTTTTTTTTCTTTTTCTTTTTCTTTTTTTTTTTTTTTTTTGAGACAGAGTCTCACTCTGTTGCCCAGGCTGGAGTTCAATGGCGCGATCTCGGCTCACTGCAACCTCCGCCTCCTGGGTTCAAACAATTCTCCTGCCTCAGCCTCCAAAGTAGCTGGGATTATAGGCGCCTGCCACCAGGCCCGGCTAATTTTTTGGATTTTTAGTAGAGTCGGCGTTTCACCATGTTGGACAGGATGGTCTGGAACTCCTGACATCAGGTGATCCACCTGCCTCGGTCCCCCAAAGTGCTGGAAATACAGACATGAACCACTGCACCCGGCCTGAAATCGCTAAATTTTCAATGGGCATATGTATAAATATAAAGTAAAATAAGTATCCTGTATTATACTGCTTTGCAATATTTTATATTTCTTCATATACATATAAAAGTGACTTTTTTAAAACATAATTTTCAAATGAGATGTACATTTGTTTTTACTTTATAATTTATAATATTTTATTAAAAATGAAACAAAATATGTAAGATTTTTTGCTCTAATTAAGAAGTGACCATTGCTTAAATGTTTGGAAGTCTTGCTTTATTAACACACAATTGTACTTTTTCATCTAAGGAGGCAAAAAACATAAAACTTTTACAGAGCAGATACTTTTTATTTAAAAAAACTAAAAAACTGGAACAAACTTAAATGTGATGAATACTATATTTTTCTAGTGTTTATACATGTTAATAATTTGCCTTATTTTGTCTTATGAACAAAACTATCTGGTAGTATTACAGAGCAAGTTAAGTTGTAATGTAATCAGAGATAAAGAATTTCTTCATATGTTTATTGGCCACATAAAAGTCTTCTTTTGAGAAATGTTTGTTCATATCATTCGCCCACTTTTTGATGGAGTTGTTTGTTTTTTTCTTGTACATTTATTTAAGTTCCTTGTAGATTCTGGATATTAGCCCTTTGTTAGATGGATAGATTGCATAATTTTTCTCCCATTCCGTAGGTCGCCTGTTCACTCTGACGATAGTTTCTTCTGCTGTGCAGAAGCTCTTTAGTTTGATTAGATCACATTTGTCAATTTTGGCTTTTGTTGCCATTGCTTGTGGTATTTCAGTCATGAAGTCTTTGCCCCTGCCTATTTGCAGAATTGTATTGCCTAGGTTTTCTTTTAGGGTTTTTTCATTAGAGAAACACAAATCAAAACCACAATGAGATACCATCTCACACCAGTTACAATGCCTATCATTAAAAAGTCAGGAAACAACAGATGCTGGAGAGGATGTAGAGAGATAGGAACACTTTTACACTGTTGGTGGGAGTGTAAAATAGTTCAACCATTGTTAAAGACAGTGTGGCAATTCCTCAAGGATCTGGAACCAGAAATACCATTTCACTCAGCAATCCCATTACTGGGTATATACACAAAGGATTATAAATCTTTCCACTATAAAGACATCTGCACACGAATGTTTATTGCAGCACTGTTCACAATAGCAAAGACTTTGAACCAATCCAAATGCCCATCAATGATAGATTGGATTAAGAAAATGTGGCAAATGTTCACCATGGAATAATATGCAGCCATAAAAAAGGCTGAGTTCATGTCCTTTGCAGGGACATAGATGAAGCTGGAAACCATCACTCTCCGCAAAGTAACACAAGAACAGAAAACCAAACACTGCATGTTCTCACTCGTAAGTGGGAGCTGAACAATGAGATCACATGGACACAGAGAGGGGAACATCACACACCGGGGCCTGTCAGGATGTGGGGGGCTAGGGGAGGGATAGCATTAGGAGAAATACCTAATCTAGATGATGGGTTGATGGGTGCAGCAAACCACCATGTCACGTGTATACCTATGTAACAAATCTGCACATTTTGTACGTGTATTCCAGAACTTAAAGTATAATAATAATTAAAAAAAAGTGAAAAATTACACAAACACACAAAAATAATAAATCCTTTCAAACTGTATTAGGACAGAGCAATTCAAATAAAAAAAAACTACGTAAATGACAAAAACAAGTTTAAGTTATTAGATACTAAATATGCTCTTTATGAACTCACTATCTTCTTCAGCCCTCCAGTTCACCTGAGAGGGTAGAAACTCCTTCCCTGGAACAACCTGTAGGCTCTAAGCCCACTTCCAGCCTCCCAGCATGGATCCATCCGGAACTCTTAACAGTCCTGGCTTCTCATACACCTAATTAGATATTTCCTTTGAGCAAGGGGGAAAAAAGAATTTATTCAATTGACATCTAAAAAGAATGAACACGCCAAAGGATCAAAAAATCAGTGAACATGAAGAGAGGCGAATTAAAATTATCTAATCCTAAAGACAAAGAAAATTAGAGTAAAAAAGCAAAACAGAGCATCCATGAAATGTGGGATTTTATCACATGCTTTAATATATAGCAATTGCAGTCTGAAAAAGAGAAGAGTGTAAAAATGAGACATAATAAATAATTTAAAATACAATAACCATATTTCCACAATTAATGAGAGGCAACAAACAAATTCTTGGAATTTCAGAGAAATCCAAGAAGCACAGATATAAATAGATGCTTAGGTATATCATAGTTACAGTGCTGAAAACCAAAAATAAAGATACATTTTTGTATAAAGCCAAAAAAAAAAGAATAATCCTTAAATAGGGAGAAGAAAATAATGAACTATAGAAAATATCTCTTCAGGAACTATGCAAGACAGAAGATAATGGTGAGTCTTGTTTTAAAATATTGGATAAAAATAATTCAACATGCATATCAATATCAATTAAAATAATTTTTAAAATGAAGACAAAATAGTACTGAGTTAATCTATTGTGGCACAATTGCATTCAAGAAAATGTAGAAATTTATTTATTTATTTATTCATTCATTTACTTATGTATTTAGTAGAGACTCTGTCTTGCCATGTTGCTCAGGCTGGTCTCAAATACCTAGCTTTGAGTAATCCTCCTGTCTTAGTTTCCCAATGGGCTTTGATTACAGGCATGAGCTACTGTGCATGATCATTGAGGAAATTTTAAAGAAGGGATTTCTGGCAGAAAGAAATGATATTATATGGCAATTTAGATCTACCCAAAAAATGAAGAGCACTAAAAATTGTAAAGGTATATATTAATATAAAATAATTTTAAAATTATGCTTACTCTCTTTAACATATAATTTATTACCTTAAAAATCAAAGTATTTTAAAGTTTATAGCATAGGCACAAATAAAATGTATAAAAATAATACCAAAAAAGATGAGATTGAGGCAATGGTAATACACTTTTCTAAACTTCTCAATCTATACAAAAGTACTAAAAGATTATATTAAGGTACACTATGATAAGTTAAATATATACTGTAAACTTTAAGGCATGGTGTAAAATAATGTAAAATATAGATAATAAATATGAGAGACAAAATGAAATACAAATTTACTAAAATAATTAAAACTGGTCACGAAATCAGGAAAATGAGTGAATAGAACAAATTAAATGCAAATTTCAGGTGAGATATTTGAATACATTCATATCAATTATTACATTAAATATAAATGGTCTAAATATTTCAATTACACCATATTTGATGTCAATTTAGGTAAAAATCAAATACCCTAATATTTACTGCCTAGAAGAAACTAACTTAAAATATGAAGATACAGGTTAGAAGTAAAATTATGAGAAAAGATATACTATGTATAATAAAGAAAGATGGAGAGGCTATACTGTTACCAGATAAAATTTAGAACAAAGAATATTGACATTGATAAAGAAGAATATTACATAATGGTAAAATTGTCAATTCATTAAAAAGATAAAATTATATTAGCATAAATGGAAGAATATTCATACTTGGAGGGATGTTCCTTATGTATCTTAAAGCAAAAAATCAGGATACAATGGGATGTCTAGTAAGCACTTATATTTGTAAAAATGAATAATATTTGTGAGTAGAAAAATTTCTGATAAATGAACTCTAATATTTTAATATTGTTCAACTCTGATTAGTGAGTATTATTTTCTTCTTTTTACTAAGTTATATTTTCTTTTTTTATACAATTACTATGATTTACTTTTTAACTTAAAAACCATCACATTTAGGTTTAAAAAGAAAAATATGAGCAAGATAAATTTTAAAAAATATGGCTAATGTTGTACATGCTCACCATAACCAGAGAACATGCACGAGCAAGCAGAAACTTGTTTTCCCCTAATTGCTGTGAATCATTATCAACACATGGCAAATTTGCTGAGAACCATCCATCACTCAGGGTAAAAGATAGGTTAAAAATAATTCATTCCCTAAATATTTCAGAGGAACATAGATAGATCAGAAAATCTCAAGCTCTACCATTAACCTTATACTCTACAGTTTAAAGCCATGCCTCTGGGAAGACACAAGCTCAAATAATTTATAATATATAGCATTCTCTTTTTCAGCACATAATTAAGAAAGAGTCTATGAGCTATTTCTCTAATAAGTGATAAAATGTGTCACAATAACAATATTTTTTAAAGTCTAATTTTTTATTATTTTTAATTTTTCCCCTTCTAGTGTTAGTTTTCAAAAATCAAGGTAGAGACAGCATTAAAGCTGAGACACATAGCAAACTGTTTACAAATGACATAAGGGCTCTGGCCTTTGATTCAGAAGTCTTGGCTCTTAGTGCTGAATCTCTGGATTTGGGAAGCTATGTGTCTTCAAAAGTCACTCCATCTCTCTGAGATTTAAGTGCCTTAGGTGAATGGTAAGATCCTTTCAGTCTTTAAAATTACATTTTATACAACATTTAGAGCTAAAAAAAATTGCCATACAGATTAATGTGTTAATTATGTAATGATTTTTAAAAATCTCATGTCTACGGAGGCCAAATTCCCAATGTTTTCCTCTGAGCAATAATCTACAGTTTGACAGGGTCTCTACTAAGTGACCTTCAGATGGTTTTTTTTCTGTTAGAAGTGGTAATTAATATCAAGTTGGGGTTAAGACAAAATTTTTATTTAAAGGAAAAAACAGAAGATTTTTTTTTCCTTTAAACGTGGGTAAATTTCTGTGGCTCTCTTTAATTCTATAAAATTGATTAAATATTAGCTATAAAACCTAAACAAAAAAAGGAATAATTAGGAGGATAAAAAATGATATAGAAAAAACAGAAAGAGAAATATGCAGTTATGCATTTCTTAATGAAGGGGATATGTTCCAAGAAATGTGTCTTAGGGGATTTTGTCAAATATCATAGTGTATACGTACACAAATTTATATGTTATAGTGCACTAAACACCTAGGTCATGTGGCATAGTCTATTGTTCCTAGTATTAATATATAAACCTGCATAGCATTTTACTGTACTGAATACTGTAGGTAGCTGTAACACAATGGTATATATTTGTGTGTCTAAACATAGAAAATATACAGAAAAAAAACAGTATAAAACAGAAAAAATGGTACACCTGGGTAGTGTACTTATCATAAATGGAACTTGCAGGAGTAAGTGAGTCAGTGAGTGAGTGGTAAGAGAATGTGAGGGCCTAGGACATTGCTGTACACTACTATAGACTTTAAAAACACTGTACACTTAGGCTAAATTAAATTTATAAAAAAATTATAATAAATTATCTTAGCTTACTGTAATTTTTACTTTTAAATTTTTTAATTCTTAAAAACTTTTTGACTCTTTTAAAACACATAGCTTAAAACATTGTACAGCTCTCCAAATATGTAATATTTTCTTCTTTTTTATTCAGTTCTATGTCTTTTTCTATTTTAAACTCTTTTTAACATTTTAAACTTAAAAAAAATACAGAAACACACACATTAGCCTAGGCTTATACAAGATCAGGATCATCACTATCACTGTCTTTCACCTCCACATCTTGTCTGTCCCACTGGAATGTCTTCAGCGTAATGATACACATGGGGCTGCCACCTCTTATAATAATATGACTCTTCTGGAACATCTCATGAAAGACCTGGATGAGGTGGTTGTATTTATCCTTTGTTAATAAGTGGAGGAGTATACTTTAAAATAGCAATAAAATATGTAGTATAGTAAAAGCATAAACAGTAACGTGATCATTTATTATTATTATCAAGTACTATGTACTGCACATCAGGGGTCCCCAACCATGGGGACTGGTCTTTGGCCTTTTAGGAACCGGGCCACACAGCAGGAGGTAAGTGGCAGGCAAGCAAGCATTGCTGCTTGTGCTCTGCCTCCTGTCAGATCATCAGTAGCATTAGATTCTCATAGGAGTGTGAGCCCTACTGTGAACTGTGCAGTGAGGGATCTAGGTTGCATGCTCCTTGTGAGAATCAAGCTAATGCCAGATTATCTGAAGTAGAACAGTTTCATCCGGAAACCATTCCCTCTTCCTCTGGTCCATGGAAAAATTGTCTTCCATGATACTGGTCCTCGGTGCCAAAAAGTTTGGGGACTGCTGCTGTATACAATTGCATGTGCTATACTTTTTTAAAAAAATACTTTAAAATTTGAGATACCAGTGCAGAATATGCAGTTTTGTTACATAGGTATACATGTGCCATGGTGGTTTTCTGCATGCATCAACTCGTCATCTACATTAGGTATTTCTCCTAATGCTATCCCACCCCTAGCACCCCCAACCCTGACAGGCCCCCGTGTGCAATGTTCCCCTCCCTGTGTCCATGTGTTCTCATTGTTCAACTCCCACTTATGAGTGAGAACATGTGGTGTTTGGCTTACGGCTCCTGTGTTAGTTTGCTGAGAATGATGGTTTCCAGCTTCATCCATGTCCCTGCAAAGGACATGAACTCATCTGTTTTTATGGCTACATTATATTCCTTGGTGGATATGTGCCACTTTTTCTTTCCCCGGTCTATCATTGATGGGCATTTGGGTTGGTTCCAAGTCTTTGCTATTGTGAACAGTGCTGCAATAAACATCTGTGTATGTGTCTTTATAGTAGGAAGATTCATAATCCTTTGTGTATATACCCAGTAATGGAATAGCTTGGTGAAATTATATTTCTGGTTCTAGAACCTTGAGGAATTGCCACCTTGTCTTCCACAATGGTTGAACTAATTTACACTCCCGCCAACAGTGTGAAAATATTTCTATTTCTCCACATCCTCTCCAGCGTCTGTTGTTTCCTGACATTTTAATGATCGGCATTCTAACTGGCATGAACTGGTATCCCATTGTGGTTTTAATTTGCATTTCTCTAATGACCAGTGATGATAAGTTTTTTTTGATATGTTTGTTTGCCTCATAAAAGATGGATTAAAGACTTAAACGTAAGACCTAAAACCATAAAAACCCTAGGAAAAAAAAACCAGGCAATACCATTCTGGACATAGGCACGGGCAAAGACTTCATGACTAAAACACCAAAAGCAATGGCAACAAAAGCCAAAATTGACAGATGGGATCTAATTAAACTAAAGAGCTTCTGCACAGCAAAAGAAACTATCATCAGAATGAACAGGCAACCTACAGCATGGGAGAACATTTTTGCAATCTATCTATCTGACAAAGGGCTAATATCCAGAATCTACAAGGAATTTAAATAAATTTACAAGAAAAAAACAAACAACCCCATCAAAAAGTGGGTGAATGATATGAACAGACACTTCTGAAAAGAAGGCATGTGCTACACTTTTAGGACTGGCAGTACAATAGGTTTGTTTATACCACCATCATCACCAACACAAAAATAATGCATTGCACTTGGGATGGTAATAATGTCACTAGGTGATAGGAAATTTTTAGCACCATTATAATTGTGTGGGCCTACCATTGTATACGTGGTCCAGCATTGATGGAAATTTTGTTATGTAGCACCTGATTTTAGTTGCTCTTGAGCATATTAAAAATATTTAAGTTATCGGGAATGCTATCATATCAGCAAAATGGCAATTAGAGTTACCTCCCAGCCCCCAAAAGGACCAAAACAATTATTAAACTACATTTTGATGACAGTAAATGAAGAAGTACACTAGAGGGCACCAGGGGAATCGAAAAATTCCTGTACAGTATGGAATCCCAGGATAGACCATAGTTAAGGGAGCCAAACATTCTGCCTCTGCCAGCAGCTGTGTCCTCTGCCAGAATCAGCTCTGAGTCAGTGTGTACTTTTCCTTAAAGGAAAAAGGTAAGCTGGAAATCCCTCATGATCCCCACTGCTGCCACAAATGCCAGCAAACCTTGCGAAAGGAAAGTCTTCCAGTTTTCCCAGAACATGAATCTAGTTTGTAGAGTAGCTGAGTTCACACAACTGCATTGCCTCAGAGTACGTGCCTAGCTTGAGCACACATGACCCTTGTGACAAAAGCTGCTATAGCTAAGTGCCATCTTAAAGCCAGACCCATTACTAGGGTGCATCCTGTGCCAGAGGCCAGTAGCAACTGACTATCTGTCATCCCTGAGGCCTCACCATTATTTCACCATATTTGCATGGGTGTCTGCAGTAAAATAACCCCAGATATCTAGAGACTAGGCCAAATAATGTCACCGACATCCCAGTCTTTGAACCTTTCTGGTATTCCATCCCCACTTCACCCTACCAAAAAGGCTAACATGCAGATTGGAAGCTGTCAAGCAGCTGGCCGTCAACCTTACCCATGACAACTCACACTACAGAGCTGATTAGCCCAGAAAGCCCACATGTGCTTATCCCTGTCACAAAAGCTGGTGTTTCAGTGGCTTCATCCCCTGAAAGACTGCCACACAGCTTTATAGCCCTGCCACACTCTCACATGCCTGTGCCCAACCTGACAGCAAGCCCAACAGTGGCTCATCCTCCTGGACACACCAATGCAGGGCTATCTGGCTCCACTGTAACCATGTGCACTTGTACCTGAAAAGAGCTAGTCCACCAGCAGCCCCATCCCCTGAACAGAATACTGCAGGGCCACCCAGCACCACTGTTTCCATACACACTAGACTTGACTCCACTCCACTGGCAGCCCTACCTCCCTGGACAGACAAGTGTACAACATGTTACACTTCACATCTGTACACATGCAGCCCAACAACGAGGTTAGCACTCTGGGCCCCAGCAAAATCACATCACTATCATCACAAAATCCTATAGCCTAGGCCAATGAGTCAATCACAGACCTTGCTGATGAGTATTACATCTGAAGAAACTGCATGAATATCGTGATGCTTAGTCCACACAGAACCAAAGCCAATTCAGTATAGCTAAACAACACCCTGGAATCAATCTATAGGAAAAAAAAAAAGAATTCTTCATACAAAAGCTACTTTACAATACTGGAAATGACTATTCCACTAGATGAAAAGATATCGATGTAGAGATCTTCATATTGGAATAATTTTTCCCTTTTATTTTTAATTGTAATACTCTCTTAAGCATTTAGTTTAAGTCTAGTCCAGTGGTAATGAAATTCCTCAGCTTTTGTTTGTCTGGGAAGGCCCTGATTTGTCCTTCATTTCTGAAAGATAGTTTTGCTGGACATAGCATTCTTCGTTGACAGCTTTTTTTTTGTTTTCAGTACTTTGAATATATCATCTTATTCTCTTCTGGCCTACGAAGTATCTATTGCAAAATCTGCTGAAAATCTATTAGAGATTTTCTTACAGGTAACTTGATACTTTTTTTTTTTTTTTTTTTTTTTTTTGCTTTTTAAAGAATTATCTTTGTCTTTTGACAGTTTGAGTATAATGTGCCCCGGTGAGGACATTTTGCAGTTAAACCAATTTGGAAATCTTGGTGCTTTTTATCTGTATGTCTATATCTTTTTCAAGAATTGAATTCCTTTTCAGGCATGTCATAACTATTATGTTATTTGGGGTCTGTTACTAGATAATTTGTTTCTTTGAAGTTAACATATTTTCTTGCTTTTTCATGTTCCTTTAACATATTTTCTTGCTTTTTCATGTTTCTTATGTCCCAAAAATTTCGCTAACATAAAAACACGTGAAATTATTAAAATCAATAATAGAAATAACTTTACAAATCAAGCACAGATATTCAGTGATATAATGGTGCTATGTAAATCTGTCAATCATGAGGCATAAAAGTTTAAAGTCACAATGGTCATAAATAACAACAGCTACAATTATTGGCTAAGGAACATCTAATAGAGAAATATGTAAATTAAGGCAAAATAAATATAAAGTGGGGTGGGGGAGGAAAGCTTCTAGAGTACTTTTATGTAACTAAATTAAAGTTGCTATCACCTTTTAAAAAAGTGTATTATAACTATATGACTCTTCATGTTAGGCCTGTGGTAACCACAGAGACAATACAGCACATAAAATCAAAGAGAAAGAAAATGCAGAGCACCATAGAAAACCACCAAACCACAGAGGTAAAAAATAAGAGAGAAAGAAAAGAACAAGGGACCTACAAAACAACCAGAAAACAATTAACAAAATGGAAGAAGTAAGTTTTTATATAGAAATAATAACCCTGAATGTAAATGAGTTAAATTCTCTAATTAAAAGATATGGAGTGGATTAAAAAACAACCAAGATATAACTATATGCTGCCTGCAAAATACTCATCTCACAATTAAAGAAATATATACTAAAAGTGAAGTGATGGTGTGTGTATTAGTTCTTTTTGCATTGCTACAAACAAATACCTGAGACTGGGTAATGTATTCATAAAAAGGGATTAATTTTGCCTCATGGTTCTGCAGACAACAAGAAGCATGGTGCCAGACTCTGTTTCTGGTGAGAGCCCCAGGAAGCTTAAAATTATGACAAAAGGCAAGGGGAGAGCAGGCATGTCACATGGTAAGAGAGGGAGCAAGAGAAAGGAAAGGAGGCAACATTTCCTCTTAAACAACTAGCTCTCTTATGAATTAATGGAGTGAGTACTCACTCATCTCCAACAGGATGACGTCAAAACATTCATGAAGAATTCCCCTCATGACCCAAAGACCTTGTAACAGGCCCCAGCTCCAACACTGGAGATCACATTTCAACATGAGATTTGGAAGGGACAAATATCCAAACTATATCAAATGTAAAAAGATATCCCATGAAAATAGAAACCCAAAGCAAGCAGGAGCAGTCATACTTAGATCAGATAAAATAGATATTAAATTAAAAAATGTAAAAAATACAAAAAGATAATATATAATGATAAAGGAATCAATTCAACAAGAAAATATAACAATTGCAAATATATATACACCAAACACCTGAGTACCCAGAAATAGAAAGAAAATATTAGTAGCCCCAAAGTGGGAGATAGACTGCATTACAGTAATAGGAGGAGGCTCAAACAATTCACTTTCAATAATGGACAGAAATTCCCACAAAATTCAACACAGAAACATCAGATGTAAACTGGACCATAGACCAAATGGATCTTACAGACATATACAGTACATTCCATTGAATAACTGCAGAATACATGTTCTACACAACCTCACATGAAACAATTTCCAAAATAGATCACGTTAGGCTATAAAACAAGTCTTAAAAAATTTAAGAAGATACAGATTATATCAAATATCTTTCTGACCACAATAGTATGCAACTAGAAATCAACAAGAATAACTTCAGACATTTTACAAATATATGAAAATTAAACAACACTCTTCTAAACAACCAATAGATCAATGAATATGACAGAAATTAAAATTTTCCTTTAGATGGAATACAACAGAGCATAAAAATCAATAATATTATACCTTTTGCAGTGAAATGCATGTAGCTAGAGGTCATTATTCTAACTAAAATAAGGCAGGAACAGAAAACCAAATACTGAGTGTTCTCACTTATAACAGGGAATTAAAGATTGTGTACATATGGACATAAAAATGGCAACAATAGACTTTGGGGCCTACTAGAGGGGGCAGAGAGAGACTGGGGCAAGGGCTGAAAAATTAACTATTGGATATGATACTTACTGCCTGGGAGACAGGTTCATTCATACCTCAAACCACAGCATCACACAATATACCTATGTAACAAATCTTCACATGTACTCCCTGAATCTAAAATCAAAGTTTGAAATATAATAAAAAAATTATTGCGAAAAATGAGAATGGAAACACATTTTGCCAAAATCTAGGGGACATAACAAAAGCCATTCTAAGAGGAAAGTTTATGGCAGTAAACACCTACATTAAACAAAAGGAAAGCTTTCTAGCAAACAACCTAACAATGTGCTTCAAGGAACTAGAAAAACAAGAACAAACTATACCCAAAATTGGTAAAGGAAAAAAAAAACAATAAAGCTCAAAGAAGAAATAAAATAGAGGACAAAATATTTTAAAAGATTAATGAAACAAAGAGTTAGTGTTTTAAAAAAGATAAGTCAATAAATGTTTAGCTAGACTTACTAGGAAAAAAGAGCAAAGCCTCAAATAAGTAAAATTAGATTTGAAAAAGGTGACATTACAGCTGAGACCATAAAAACACAAAGGATCATAAAAGACTATTATAAACAACTATATGCCAACAAATTTGATAACAGAGAAGAAATGAATAAATATCAGAACATATACAATCTACCAAGATTAAATTATGAAGAAATAGAAAATCTGAACACACCAATAAGGAGTAAGGAAATTGCATCAGTAATACAAAGTCTTCCATCAAAGAAAAGCACAGGGCCTAATGACTTCCCTGCTGCATTCTAACAAACATTTAAAGAATAATTAATACGAATTTTCCTCTAAGTATTACAGAAAATTGAATAGGAGAGAATAATTCTAAATTTATTTTATAAGGCTAGCATTACCCTGATTCCAAAACCAGAGAAAAACATAACAACACCAAAAAAACTACAGGATAATATCATGGATAAATATAGATGCAAAGACTCTCAACAAGATTCTAGCAAACTAAATCCAACAGCACGTTAAAAATATTATTCACTGCCGGGCGCAGTGGCTCATTTCTGTAATCCTAGCACATTGGTAGGCTGAGGCAGAAGGATTGCCTGAGCCCAGGAATTCAAGACCAGTCTGGACAACACAGTGAAGCCTCATCTCTACAAAAATGAACAAAATTAGCTGGGTATGCTAGTGCACACCTGCGGTCCCAGCTTCTTGGGAGGCTGATGTGGGAGGATTCCTTTAGTCCAGGAGATCATGGCTGCAGTGAGCCATGATTATGCCACTGCACTCCAGCCTGGGTGACAGGGTAAGATCCTGTTCCCAAAAAAACAAGCAAACAAAAAAATCAGTTGGGGGAGGGTGAGGTGGCTGACTGGACACAGCTAAGTGGAATAGCTCCCACCAAGGGCCTGAGACGACTGGTGTGCTTCTGATGGATCTTCAGAGAGAAGCTGATAGTGGATGGAAGGAAGGCACAGAAGCTGGGCTGAATGGGGAAAAAGCTGGGAAATCTGCAAGGGTTAATGAGTACTGAGACTTATTTTTTAACCATAGCAGCTCTGGGGGAATGGGTGAGTTAAACTGGCAAGGAGCAACCTGCTTTCACCATGGGCCTCTGGATTCCTGGATGGAGGGTCCCCTCAACCATCACAGACACTTGAAGTGGCAGGCAGAGCTGCTTAGAGAAGCAGTGGAGCCGCACACCAGCTGATGTGAAGCCCAGATCATTGAGACAGAAAATTAACAAAGATATCCAGGACCTGAATTCAGCAATTGATCAAATGGCCCTGACAGATATCTATGGAACTCTCCATCCCAAAACAACAGAATATACATTCTTCCCATTGTCACATGGCACATAGTCTAAAATCCATCACATAATTGGAAGCAAAACACTCCTCAACAAATGCAAAAGAACTGAAATCATAAGAGTCCCACAGACCACAACACAATCAATCAAATTAAATATAAAGAAAGACTAAGAAATTCACTCAAAACCATAAAGTTACATGAAAATTGAATAAACTGCCCCTGAATTACTTTTGGATAAATAAGGACATTAAGGCAGAAATTAAGAAGTTATTTTAAACTATTGAGAAAATAGATACAACATAGTAAAAACTCTGGGAACAGGTAAGGTAGTGTTAAGAGGGAAATTTAAGGCACTAACTGCTCACTTCAAAAAGTTAGAAAGCTCACAGGTAAACAAGCTACCATCACAACTAAAAGAACTAGAGAACCAAAGGCAAACACATGCCAAAGCTAGCAGAAGAAAAAAAATAACCAAAATCAGAGCTGAACTGAAGGAGACTGAGACATGAAAAACCGTTCAAAAGATCAATGAATCCAGGAGCAGGTATTTTTGAAAAATTAAAACAAGTAGATAGACTGCTAGCTAGACTAATAAAGAAGAAAAGATAGAAGATTCACATAAGCATAATCAGAAATAACAAGGGGGATATTTCCACTGTCTCCACAGAAATACAAACAATCATCAGAGACTATTATGAACACCTCTTTGCACATAAACTAGAAAATCTAGAACAAATTGATAAATTCCTGGATATATACACCCTCCCAAACTTGAACAAGGAAGAAGTTGAATTCCTGAACAGACCAATAATAAGCTCTGAAACTGAGGCAGTAATAAATAGCCAATGAACCAAATAAATAAATAAATAAATAAAAGAAAAGAGAAAGTAAATCCTAAGTCCAGATGGATTCATCGCTGAATTTTACCAGATGCTCAAAGAACAGCTGGTACCCTTCCTACTGAAACTATTCCAAAAAACTGAGGAGGAGGGACTTCTCCATAACTCATTCTATGAGGCCAACATCATCCTGTTACAAAAATCTGGTAGACATACAACAAGAAAAGAAAACTTTACATCAGTATCCTTGATGAATATCGATGCAAAAATCCTCAAGAAAATACTGTCAAACTGAATCCAGCAGCACATCAAAAAGCTTGTCCATTATGATCAAGTAGGCTTTATCCCTGGGATGCAAGGTTGCTTCAACATGTGCAAATCAATTAATTTGGTTTATCACATAAACAGAACTAAAGACAAAACTCACTTGATTATCTCCATAGATGCAGAAAAGGCTTTTGATAACATTCAACACTCACTCACGTAAAGTCTCTCAATAAACTAGGTATTGAAAGAACATATCTCAAAATAGTAAGAGCTATATATGAAAAATGCACAGCCATCATCATACTGAATGAGCAAAAGCTGTAAGAACTCCTCTTAAAAACCAGAGCAAGACAGGGATGCCCTCTCTCACCACTCCTAATCAACACAGTATAGGAAGTCCTGGCCAGGGCAATCAAGCAAGAGAAAGAAATAAAGACCATCCAAATAAGAAGAGAGAAAGTCAAACTATTCCTGTTAGCAGATGATATGATTATATATGTAGAAAACCCCATAGTCTCAGCCCAAAAACTCCTTAAGCTGATAAACAACTTTAGAAATTTATCAGGATACAAAGTCAATATATGAAAATGATGAACATTCCTATATACCAACAACAGTTAAGCTGACAGCCAAATCTGGAGTGCAATCCCATAAAATACCTAGGGATACAGTTAACCAGGGAAATGAAGCAACTCTACAAAGAGAATTATGAAACACTGCTCAAAGAAATCAGAGAAGACACAAACAAATGGAAAAACATTCCATGCTCATGAATAGAAAGAATCAATATATTTAAAAATGGCCATGGGGCCCAAAGCAATTTACAGATGCAATGCTATTCCTATTAAACTACCATTGAGATTATTCACAGAACTAGAAAAGACTATTTTAAAGTTCATATGGAACCAAAAATGAGCCTGAATAGCCAAGGCAACTCTAAGCAAAATGAACAAAGCTGGAAGCATCATGTTACCTGACTTCAAACTATAAAACAGGGCGGTAGTAACCAAAACAGCAGGGTACTGGTACAAAAGACAAATAGACCAGTGGAAGAGAACAGAAAACCCAGAAATAAGACCACACACTTGCAACTATCTGATCTTAGACAAAGCTGATAAAAACAAGCAGTGGGGAAAGGATTCCCTAATCAATAAATGGTGTTGGGATAACTGGCTAACCACATGCGGAAGATTGAAACTGGACTCCTTTTTTACACCATATACAAAAATTGACTCAAGATGGATTAAAGGCTTAAGTGTCAAACCCACAACTATAAAAACCCTGGAAGACAACCTAGGTAATACCATTAGGGACATAGGCATGGGTAAAGATTTCATGACAAAGACACTGATATGGTTTGGTTCTATGTCCCCACCCAAATCTTATCTTGAATTATACTCCTATGATTCCCATGTCTTGTGGGAGGAACCCAGTGGGAGATAATTTGAATCATGGAAGCAGTTTCCCACATACTGTTCTTGTGGTAGCAAATAAGTCTCATGAGTTCTGATGGTTTTATCAGGGGTTTCTGCTTTTGCATCTTTCTCATTTGCTCTTGCAGCCACCATGTAGGAAAGTGCCTTTCACCTCCTGCCATGATTCTGAGGCATCCCCAGCCATGTGGAACTGTAAGTCCAATTAAATTCTTTTTCTTTCCTGTCTCAGGTATGTCTTTATCAGCAGCATGAAAATGGACTAATATAGTAAATTGGTACCAGTAGAGTGGGGCATTGCTGAAAATATACCCCAAAATGTGGAAGTAACTTTGGAACTGGGTAACAGGCAGAAGTTGGAATAGTTTGGAGGGCTCATAAGAAGACAGGAAAAATGTGGGAAAGTTTGGAATTTCCTAGAGACTTGTTGAATAGCTTTGACCAAAAGACTGATAGCAATATGGACAATAAGGTCCTGGCTGAGGTGGTCTCAGAAGGAGATGAGGAATTTGTTGGGAACTGGAGTGAAGGTGACTCTTGTTATGTTTTAGCAAAGAGACTGGTGGCATTTTGCCTGTGTCCTAGAGATTTGTGGAACTTTGAACTTGAGAGAGATGATTTAGGGTATCTGGCAGAATAAATTTCTAAGCAGCAAAGCATTCAAGAGGTGACTTGGATGCAGTTTTATAAGGGAAGCGGAGCATAAAAGTTCAGAAAATGTGCAGCCTGACAATGTGATAGAAAAGAAAAACCAATTTTCCAAGAAGAAATTCAAGCCAGTTGCAGAAATTTACATAAATAATGAGGAGCTGAATGTCAATCCCCAAGAAAATGGGGAAAATATCTCCAAGCCATGTTAGGGGTCTTCATGGCAGCCGCTCCAGTCACAGGCCTGGAGGCCTAGGAGGAAATGGTTTTCTGGGCAGGGCCCAGGGTCCCTATGCTGTGTGCAGTGTAGAGACTTGGTGACCTCCATCCCAGCTGCTCCAGCTGTGGCTGAAAGGGGCCAACATAGCACATGGGCCATGGCTTCAGAGGGTACAATCCCCAAACCTTGGCAGCTTCCACCTGGTGTTGAGCCTGAGAGTATGCAGAAGTAAAGAACTGGGGTTTGAGAACCTCTGCCTAGATTTCAGAAGATGTATACAAATACCTGGATGCCCAGGCAGAAGTTTGCTGCAGGGGTGGGGCACTCATAGAGAACCTCTGCTAGGGCAGTGCAGAAGGGAAATGTGGGGTCAGAGCTGCCACACAAAGTCCTTACTGGGGCACTGCTTAGTGGAGCTATGAGAAGAGGGCTACTGTCCTGCAGACCCCAGAATGGTAGATCCACCAACAGCTTTCATGGATTGCCTGGAAAAGCCACAGACCCTCAGTGCCAGCCCATGAAAGCAGCTGTGAGGGAGGCTGTGCCTTGCAAAGCCACAGGTGTGGAGCTGCCAAAGACCATGGGAACCCACCTCTTGCATCAGCATGACCTGGATGTGAGACCTGGAATCAAAGGAAATCATTTTGAAGCTTTCAAATTTGACTGCCCTGCTGAATTTCAGATTTGCATGGGTCCTGTAACCCCCTTGTTTTGGCCAATTTACCCCATTTAGAATGGCTGTGTTTACCCAAGACCTGTTGCCCCATTGTACCTAGGAAGTTACTAGCTTGCTTTTGATTTCACAGGCTCATAGGCAAAAGGAACTTGCCTTGTCTCAGATGAGACTTTGCACTGTGGACTTTTGGATTAATGCTGAAATGAGTTAAGATTTTGGGGGACTGTTGGAAAGGCCTGATTGGTTTTGAAATGTGAGGACATGATACTTGGAGTTGCCAGGGGCTGAATGATATGATTTTGCTCTGTGTCCCCATCTTATCTTGAAATGTACTCTCGTAATTCCCACATCTTGTCAGAGGGGCCTAGTGGGAGATAATTTGAATCTACCATGGGGGTGGTTTCCACCATACTGTTCTCATGGTAGTGAATAAGTCTCATGAGATTTAATGGTTATATCAGGTGTTTCTGCTTTTGCATCTTCCTCATTTTCTCTTGCCACCACCTCATAAGAAGTGCCTTTCACCTCTCGCCATGATTCTGAGGCTTCCCAAGCCATGTGGAACTGTAAGTTCAATTAAACCTCTTTTTCTTCCCAGTCTCTGGTATGTCTTTATCAGCAATATGGAATCAGACTAATATAGACACCAAAAACAATTGCAACAAAAGCAAAAATTGACAAATGGGATCTAATTAAACAAAAAAGCTTCTGCACAGCAGAAGAAACTATTAACAGACAACCTACAAAATGGGGGAAAATTTTTGCAAACTATCCATCTGAAAAAGGTCTAATATGCACATCTGTAAGGGACTTAAACAAATTGGCAAGAAAAAACAACCCCATTAAAAAGTGGGCAAAGGACATGAACAGACATTTTCAAAAGCAGGCATACATGTGGCCGATAAGCACATGAAAAAAAGCTCAACATCACTGATCATTAGTGAAATGTAAGTCAAAACTACAGTGAGATACCATCTCACACCAATCAGAATGGCTATTATTTAAAAAGTCAAAAAATAACATGCTGGTAAGGTTGTGGAGAAAAAGGAGTGCTTATACACTGTTGATGGAAGTATAAATTAGTACAGCCATTGTGGAAGACAGTGTGACAATTCATCAAAGACCTAAAGACAGAAATAGCATTCAACCCAGCAATCTCATTACTGTGTATATACCCAAAGGAATATAAATTGTTCTGTTTTAAAGACAAATGCATATGTATGTTTATTGCAGCACTATTCAAAATAGCAAAGACATGGAATCGACCTAAATGCCCATCAATGATAGACTTGATAAATAAAATGTGGTACATATACACCATGAAATACTATGCAGTCATATAACAGAATGAGATTATGTCCTTTGCAGGGACATGAATGAAGCTGGAGGCCATTATCTTTAGCAAAGTAACGCAGGAACAGAATAGTAAGTGCTCCATGTTCTCTTATAAATGGGAGCTAAATGATGAAAACGTATGGACACATAGACCAGAACAACCCACACTGAAGCCTATTGGAGGGTGGAGTTCAGAGGAGAGAAAAGATCAGGAAAAATAACTAATAGGTATTAGGCTTAATACCTGGGTGATGAAATAATGTCTAAAACAGACCCCCAAGACACAGATTTACCTAAGTAACAAACCTGTACCTGTACCCCTGAACTTAAAATAAATGTTTAAAAAATAATACAAATACACAAATACAAATAATAAATATTACATTTATTTTTATTAAATATTTATTATATATACTTATGTATATAAAAACATTCACTATGATCAACTGAGATTCATTCAAGGGATGCAAAGAAGTTTTAACAGATACAAATCAATAAATGTGATATACCACATTAACAGAAAGAGAGACAAAAACTATAATCATTTCAATAGATCCAGAAAAGAAAAGGCATTTCTAAAAATTCAACATCCCTTCGTGATTAAAAACTCTCAACAAATTAGCTATAGAAAGTATGTACCTTAGCAAAATGAAGGCCAAATGTGACAAACACACAGGTAATAGCATACTAGGAATGGAAAAAGATAATTTTTTTCTAAACTTAGGAATAAGACAATGAAGCCCACGTTTACCAGAGGTTGGCCAATAGGTACAAAGTTACAATTAGATAGGAGGAATAAATTCTAATATTCTACATGCAGTAGGGTGACTATGGTTAATAGTAAAATATTATGTATTTCAAGATCAGCATTCGAAGGCTCTCACCTGAAAGAAATCATAAATGTATGAGACAATGGATACACTATCCTGATCGAAACATTATACTACATAGATATGTATCAAAACATTGAATTGTACACCATAAATATATATAATTACAATGTATCAATTGAAAATAAGTAAATTAAGTGTATTTAAGTTATGGTTGTCTTAACTTAGGTTTTGTAAAAACAGAGTCAAAAGTGAATTTAAGTTATGGTTGTCTTAACTTAGGTTTTGTAAAAACAGAGTCAAGAGTGAAAACTTAAATAATAACATTTTATGGGTGAGCAAATCTCAAAAAAAAATGGAAGGGAAAATGAACTAAGTAAAAATAGAGGAAACGTTCACAACAGAGGGGTGTGTTTCTGAGCTAGCTACAGCCACATAACATGCATAGCCAATTATTCAGTGTGAGGGACATTTTCTGAAAGAACCACTGTGTTGCAAACAGTTTTTCTCTTTTCTATCTCCCACTGGCCAAGTTCACTCCAAAGAGCTCTTTATACCCTGAGCTCTAAGTTTTGCCATCTGTTCTTACTGGGGACCTTCTGGGAAAGCTGATCTCAAAGTAGCAGAGGCAGCCATCTAAAAGGTTCAGGGGTGCCTTGCATCTCAGAAGCAACCGGAAAACCCAATGCAGAAGGCAAATTGTTTAGCTAAAGATGTGAGGTGAAACTGTTGTCCATTTAAGTCAGTGTACACCACTGTGGATTAGGAGCCCCAGCTTGAGGTTCTGGCTGGACAAGCAGGTAGATTATCATTAAGACATGGGTTCACAACAAGGTGACATCACAGCTAAAGGATCCTTCTACTCAGGAAGATCAAACCTACATGAATGAAAATAATGTCATGCAATATTGGAGGTTCATCACAAACAGAGAAGAAATTAATAGCTGAGAAAACCTGGTAAGTCACATAAGCTGGGGACAAACACAAACGGTACTAATTTTCTGTTTCTGGACTTTGACTTAGAATCATAACACATCTGTTAAGTAGCACATATTCTAATCTATGCATTCTCTGAAGATAGGTAGCATTCTCTGAAGGAAACCAGTCTACTGCAAATCACTCTGCAAGAAGGTTATCTATACCAGGAAAAGAATAGCTCTATTTGATAGCCAGGTAGATTCACTGAAGGAAATACTGCCTGAAATACTCTTTAAGATTATAAGGGTCACCATAATGATATAATTTCTACCAATTAGCTTCCATTCAATCCTTAGGTGGCCAATGATAACTTTTTAAAAAAACTTTAAATAATATCTAAGAATGAATTTCAAATGGAAAAAGAGCTTTTGACAATGCCTGTCTTGTTTTTTGAGAAGTAATGTCGAAAAGAAGAAAAAAATAACAATTTTCTCCCTTAAATTGATTTTGATATAATTACAGGACTGGAACATTAGTGCTTGGAACTGTCAAACCTGCATCTTTAAAGAACTGGGCCCTTCTTCAGAGAGAAAAGAAAACATCAAAGCTTTACTGAACAATGTTAATGGATGACTTGTTTCTCTTCATGTTACTGCAAAGAAAGATAAATCATGAACCATAAATCTGTGTTTCTTTTTTCTTTCATCTGTATTCAACCTTAGTTCACTGACATACTCTAAGATTTCTTGTCATTAAAAGCTTTTAGGCTGCCTATGTAATTTGGAAGAAATTCTTGTTGAGTAGGAGGAAAGATGATATTTCAATAGTTCAGTAGATTGACTTGACTTCTAAAGAATTATTTTGTGATACAAAGGAACTGCTTAAAAATTGCTTTGAATTCTGAATTTTATTTTATATTAGAATCCAGGAATGTAAATGTTTCTTAAATATGAACTGACCTCAACTGAAATTATGTGATTTTTTTCAGTAATTTTTTTTAGCTGAGGCTGCAATTTTTCTTTTAATATCCTTTTTTTCTCTTTTCTTCAGTCATATAACTCTTAAATATTACCAAGTTGCAGAGTCATGAGAATAAAGACTATCTTCCAAAGTTTTCTTTTCAGGTAGGTATAGCCACCTCACTAAATTTAGCCTATGGATTGTGAGTAGAAGTGTATGGGCACCTTCCATATCTTGTCCTTGAAGGAATGGATAATACTCTTCACTTCCCTCTTTACCACTTCCTTTGGCTGAAATGAAGCTATGGCAGAAACCATTTTAGGAATAATTAGCTGTGGCAGAGATAGTAATGCTCACCAAACATTCCATATGTTGGCATATGCCCAACATATCCTTGGCTCATGTTGCTAGGTAAGGCCAAATGACTACTTCTGTCCAATGCTGGGAGTAGAAATGACCTACATTACTTCTCGAGCTAGGCAGTGAAAAGGCTACGTTCCAATTTGTAGTTTCCCTCTTCCTTGGCTATGGGGACCAGGAAAGCTTCATACTCCATTTAGTAGTGCTATAAGGTGAAGAGTCTCCATCATCTTATGTCTCTGAGTGACTTTGTGGAGCAGAGACCTTTGCTTATGATACACTACAGAGTGACTGGAAAATAAATCTTTCTTATATTAAACTTTTGAGATTTAAGATGTCACCCTGAGATAATCAGATGGATCAGAATCCAGTTTAAAGAGTTTACTGAAACAAAAAGCTGGGAATGATCATCCAGAAGGAAAAGACTTCAGAGAAATGAAGTCAGTGCTCCAAAGTTAAAAGTTAAGTTCTTGCTTCTGTAGTTAGAAAACGAAGAAGCTTAGTAAGATTACAACATTTTCTATACAAGATTGGTTTATGAATTATACCAATTTAATTGGTTACAGTTGTAATTATTATCATCCAAGATTATATTTTTAAAGTAAATATAAATATATAATTCTGACATTGCATTACCTTTTATGTTTATAAATATTTATTGAACAATTATTATATTCCGGTAATTGTATTAAGTAATTTATGTAAATTACTTTTACTCTTTACAACTCTATGAAGTAGATCTATAATTACGATTGCCATTTCTTAGGTAAACTGTCTGAAGTATAGAGAGGAAAGTAACTTGCTAAAAAACACATAAGCAATAAATAGCAAGGCAAGATGGAAAACAAGTTTGCAATGATTCTAGAGCCCAAATACTACCCATAATACTTGTGATATTGTGAAATGTATATTTGGTGTTTCCCCCCATTTCCTGGTACACCGCTCTAAAACCTTTAGAATCTCAAGAGTGACAAGAGTGTCACTTGTATGCTAATGAGATTAGTGGTGGCTGGAGTTACCTAGATAGCCTCTGGATGGGGACTGGTTGCCATAGAACCACCCATGATTAAAAGGTTTCACCCATTAACTCGCAGCACACCAACATGGCACATGTATACATATGTAACAAACCTGCACATTGTGCACATGTACCCTAGAACTTAAAGTATAATAAAAATATATATCTATATAAAAATAAATAAATAAAAGGTTGCAGCTTAGTTCTACCTGTGACCTCTGGGGAGGAAAGACAAACTGAAGGTTAAACTGATTATCAGTGGCCAATGATTTAATTAATCATCCCTACGTGATGAGACTTCCTTAACAGACCAACAGCACAGTGGTTTGCAGGGCTTCTGGATAGCAGAACATGTGGAGATTTCTGGAGGGTGATGTGCCAGGAGAGGGCATGGAAACTCTGTGCCCCTTCTGTTCAGAATATTCTTTGTAATATTCTTTATAATTAAGGGGTACACATAAGGAAAGTATTTCCCTGAATCCTGTCAGCCAATCTAAAAAGTAATAGAACCAAAGCAGGGGGTAATAGGAATTTCAATTTTTAGACAGTTGTCCAGAGGTACAGGAGACAACTAATGGTTGCAACTGGCATCTGAAGTGGGAGACAGTCTTGTGGGACTGATTCCTCAACCTGTAGGATCTGATGCTATCTCCAGATAGATAGTGTTGGAATTGAATTTAATTAGAGGACACCAGCTGGTGTGTGCTAAAGAATCATCTGTAGAATTGGGTGTTGGTGGGTAAACCTGGGGTCACAGATGTGTTGATTGTTAAGTGAGAAAATAGAAAAAAAACTTTGTTTTTTCCCTCCTATATCCACACATAACATATCAGCATTCATGGTGAGTTAAATGCACACATGGCTTTAAAAATATTTTTAATTGCTAATTTTATATTTATATCCTCTCCGTTTTCTCTCTTTTCTTCTTTCATTTTTTTCTCCATTTCTTCTTCTTAACTGGTTCCTTTCCTCTCTTCCTTTATTCCTCTCTTCTTCTTTCCTTTTATTTCTTGTGTTTTTGTTTTCTTTCATTTCTTCTTCCTTTGAGAATGGGATGCACACTACACTCAAGATTTGAAGTTTGTAGGATCGCTGGGTTTGCCTTTCACTATATGACAACAGATCTGTGTGAGAAATCATGAGCTCCCTCTACTTGCATGAAATCTCACATTACTCCTGGAGCCATAATTTCATATCTGGAAAACTGCCTTCAGAAAACAACAAATTCATTCTGTAGGATTATTGTGCAGATGAGCCTAAGGGGCGAATTAATTTCCTTCTTATTGTGCCTTTCTGTTCAATGATGCAGGTGCCTGTACTGCTCTTTGCCACGTCTCTGCATTTCAAGTAGTTGATAGCCAATTTCTTGGTGTACCGTGAAAAGCCTATAACCGAGCTCATGGCTTGTTTCTGGGAAGGCTCACAGGGTGAGTGTGAAACATACGGCAATTTAACTAGAAAAATTCTATGATAGTATTGCTACTGATGCTTCTAATGTGCTTTTGATATGTTAACATAATGAAATATGTGGTAGTGCTGGATGTAAAGAAATAAAAAGCGTAATCTTGAAATACATGTTACACATGCCAAAGATTTAATACAGATATACATCTTGTATTGTGGTGGCTGAAGAGAGGTGTATGGGCCTAAGTTTCTGCAGACATGGAAAACATTGAGGTAGAGCTTATACAGCAAAGAACTTGTTTGAGCCCAATTTGAGTGACTGAAGCCTGAGAAGCGCTTTCAAGTTACAAGTGCTCTAGAGAACTAAGGAGAGGCTGGCACTTTTAAAGAAAACAGAATGAATCAGGAGACGGGGTGCTTATAAAAGTTATTTTTTAACTATTACAACTGGTGTGATGTGTCTGTCTAAAGCAATCTTGGAGTCAAGGGAGAGACTGTTAACAGTTAAGAAGGCAGCTATGATTAGGGGCCTCCCAGTTCAGCAGACAATAGTCAACAGATATTTTGGAAATTGTGTTCAGGTAAGAAGTTTGACCTTGTGGATTGAGTATTCTCTGCTTGAAGCAAGCCTGATGTTCCAGCTGGAATGGCTTATCACCTCCGTTTTAGGTGCTTTCACTGATCTGTTGCCGTTTTTCTTTATCAGGTCACAAAGGGGAAAGGGCAGGGGTTTAGGGAGGGCTCTGGGAGGACGTGTTAATTGCTCTGATTCTTAAATAGAGAATAGTATCCAATTAAGCAGATAATAATACTATTAGGTTGGGATGCATAAAATTGCTGATACTTTATCCTTTTTTAGTTATAAAAATGACAATTCCACATGATTTAACCCAACATAATGTGTGCTTTGTACCAATCTAAGAGTTTGATAAACATTAATTTATTTTAATATCATTATAATCATAGGAGTTAAGTATTATTGTTTCATAAGAGGAAATAAGCATAGAATGGTTAAGCATATCCTCCAAAGTCAAAAAAGGGATTCAAATCCATGCCGCCTGGTTCCAGAATACATTCTCTTAAGGCATTCTCTTGACTGCAAATCAGTCTAGTCTTGATTTGTAGACAAACAGTAAAGAGTCCTTTTCTCTATAAGGGTGGATTATTTTGTTTGCTTCCATATACATCTAATAATAATACTTTTTTTTTTTACAAATTTTACCAATTCCCAACATTCATGTTAGCTTAGAGACCTCTTTATTATAGAAAAGGGGACTATTTATTTGAAATATTCATTCACACCAAGTATAGTAGTATGTGTCTATAGTTCCACCTACTTGGAAGGCTGGGATGAAAAGATTACTTGACTCCAGGAGTTAGAGGCCAGCCCAGACAACATAGTGAGACACTGCATGTACAAAATAAATAAATAAATAAATAAAATTTAGCTGGGCATGGTGGTACATGCCTATAGTCCTAGCTACTTGGGAGGCTGAGGTGGGAGGATTGCTTGAGCCCAGGAGTTCAAGGCTGCAGTGAGCTATGACTGTGCCACTGAACTCCAGCCTGGGCACCTGAGTGAGACCCTGTGTCTAAAAAATAAATACATAAGTAAAAATAAAATTAAAATGTTTATAAAATATCTATTTACAAACAGAGCTCTATATCTTGATGGTCTCTGGAATACAACATTAACAAGGTGGTATTGTCAGGACATCTAAAACTTCAAAACTATAAAGCAAAATTGTGCTAAATTAATTGAGTGTTATTTTCTCCTGATTAAATTTATCTGTTTTAAAGACTTAAGTGTGTTTAAGTGCCAGTTTAAATATTTATTTTGATGTGTTTGTGTGTGTGTATAATCATAACGAGAACATTAATAAGAATTATTAAAATAGTGTATCAGTCCAATTACAGAAAAAATAAATTAAGTCCTAATAAACCATTTACAAAACAGCAACAGCAACCAGGTTTTCTTAACAACATTATAGCATCCTGGTGACGAGTAATATAAACCAGTAGATTTGCTACCTAATTTAAAATAAAATCATTTTTGAATGCATGATGTGGTTGTTAGGTTTGGGTACAACTCAATCAGTATTTGTTTTTATAACACTAATGTAGACTGACAAAGTTATATTTGGTCAAAACCAAATAAAATATTTTAGTTAAAATGTTTTTGAGCCGATTGCTAGTCCTGCAGACTTTTAGCTTGATTCTCCCATGGGGCCTCATATAGGCAAGACCATTCCAAAGTGAGTAAACATTCTCACCAGTCAAGAGATTTCATCTGTTACTTTCTTTATGTTTTAGGCATTTAAATAAAACATATATGTAGTTTTAAAATATTCACCAAAATTAGTAGCATTTTATAGACAAGGTCAAAAGTAAATGTTCTAAATGTTAGTATTTTATTCATTTATACTTGCTATATGTCTAAACTGTTTTGTTAAGAAGGACAATTTAATAAAGAGTATACATTTCATGTTCAGCCACTGAAATATAATTGTGTATATAATCAGGGCAGATGCCACCAAATGGCAATGCGATTGTTTATACTATTGATCTGATAGTTATTCACAGGCAGTTGCAATTTTTATATTCATATCTAGAAATGGATGAGCAAAAGATTCACAGTAAGATGATTTTAATTGTTTTTCTCTTATTATTATTTTCATCATCATCAGTTTGTTAAGTAGAATGGCTAGCTTACTCCATTTGGCATTAAAAGAATAGGTATTTGTTGTGTCCCTAAAGCATCTTTTTCATGTGTCTTACTAGCCCTTACTGGAAACCTCTTCAGTTCCTCATTAACTCACACAACTTGTCTGTAGCATTTGCATATTTGCTTATCTTAAAATTTATTCAGAATCAGCCCTACACTCTTCCAAGGTTTGTTGAGATTGCTAATTCTGACTATACTTTTCTAAAAAGGCAAGACCAACACCATGTTTGAACACTATTAAATGGAGAAAGATCAAAAACATTCTGTCTCCTAGAATTATCTATCTTTATTACAATAAACACTTCCAGGTGAAAAGTGAGAGTGTGTTCTTTAAATCAGGAGCATCTTCCATTTTCATTGTTCTTCCTATTCCAGGGCTAGTTTGCCAAAAAGTTTCTTCTAGGGATGTTACCAATAAGGAAATCATGGGCTAGGGTGGATGGTGGAGTTGCCAGGTAAAGTCATACGCTCCTTCATATCAGTGAAATTCTTGAAGTATTAATAAATAACACCTTTTAAGTGATCACCATGAACATGAAACTTCTCTGCCTTGCCACCTTAAAATGGATTGAATTCATTCAAGTTTACTCTTCAGCCTGGTTGCAGTACCCTCATCAATTTTTTATTCATTGCCCAGTCATTCAAAATATTAGCACATATTTATTAAGCTACTGCCTTGTGCTAGAACTATGCCAAAAACTGGGTGTAGTAAATCAGAAGCTTCGGGTACTTGCTAAGTGCTGATGTCAGCATGGCCACCTTCTTAAAGATCCATTTTGCTTAGGTTAAATGACCAGCTCACCCCTTTCTCTATCCACCTGTCTGTTACAAAGGGAGATAAAGTTCCAATAAAGGCCCCCTTAGGCTGAGAGGAAAGATGATGTTTAGAGATGGCTCTTAAGACAACATTTTACCTTTTATAACTTTAAACTACATTCTTATTTTCAGTGGACTCTTGAGAGGTTAAAATATGTTTAGAATAATAAAGAAAACTATTCCACCCAAAAGAAGAAAAAAGAAATCTATGGCATTCTGACCTATAAAAATGTTAACAATTTAGGCCCTTTGTAATGTATACATCAGAGGTGTATAAGAAAACTTGAATCATCTGCCAGGAAATTGGACTATAGTTTGGGGGAAATCAGGATAAGAAATGATCAGATAGGGAATGTGGATGCTGAAATTATTTTTTTCTCTCACTTACATATGTTTGTGCTTATTAATTTCCTTTGAATTTGTTCAAAGAGCATGAAAATCCATCTCTTGGCTCAAAATCTGAAACTCTGCCTCAGGGACTGCCTTTAGACTGAGAAAATTCTTTCCCCTAACCAAACAGGGCATAGGTGAGGAAAAATGAAACAAAGAAACAGAGGAGAACTAAATTTTGTATTAGTAGACCAGAATTTTTGTCTAGCCTCTAACACTTAGTAAGTTGTATAATTTTTGCTAATATATATACATTTTTTATTCTTACATTTCTCATCTGTGTACAATAGGAAGAAAATATCTACTTTCTAAGCTCAGTTAGTTTTGATGGAAATTCAATAAGATGGCAAATACAAAGGTTATCTGAAAAAACACAAAGTTCATTTTAAGATAAATTTTGGCCTCAATGGTCAAAATGTATGTGGAAAACCTTGTAGGTAAACATATGGACTTAGAAATCAGACAGATGCTACTACTTATGCTTTTTTTGATATTTAGCAAATTCCTTAAGATTTCAAAACTCATCTTCTTTATTAGAAAAATAGTTATAATCATACCTCATATGGTTTTGTGATGTTTTCGTGAACTAATATGTGTCACATGCTTAGCAAAATGTTGGCACTTAGTATAAGCACTCAGTAAATGGAAGCTGGAATTTTTATCCTTCTAGTGAAATATGTGTATATTCCAACTTAGTAGAAATAATTTTATACCACTATGACTGCATATATTTTAAATATTATGTCAAAGTTAAACCAGAAATCCTTCTGTGTGTTGGAGAGCTAGAGCACATTTGGGCCACAGAATCCCATAATCAAACCAATGATACATAACATTATTTCTGTCCTTTGATATTATTTGTCATATTGCCACATCCTCAGTCAAGTACAGGTGACAGAACATGCTGGACTATGGTTTTATAACCTCTCTCATCATTTCATGCTTGTTTCTTTTGTATGGTTAGGCAAAAAACAGTTTGGAACACAAGATATTTTTTGTTCCAAACATGACAGATTAGTTGACCCTCTCTTCTCCTCAGCTTTTCTTTGATTTTGGAGAAAACTGTTGCCATGGAATCAAAATTTTTAGTTAAAGCATCAGGAATCACAGAGTTGATGGGCTGTAGATCTATAAATTAGATTTTCATTAATGAGTAGAGGCCAATTACTGTACTCTAAATGACAGTGTTAATAAAAATACAAATATAGACATTCATCACAAGACACTTGGTCAACCCATTTTAATGTGTATCTAGTTCAATTTAGGGTAGTCATTCCTTAAATAACTTATGTTATTTATTTCTATTCAGCAACATTAAGAAAATTATATTATATTTAATATATTTTTCCTGGTAACAAAAGGGCTTTCATTTATTTTAAAAAGCTTGCTAGTTTTAGGGGAAATGCTTACTTGTCATCAAATACTTATAAAATAGGTACTTTAAAATGTCTGGATTTCAACAAAATTCTGAAAGAAATGTTTAACTACCTAAAAATTAATTTATGCTCATAAACTTACATGTCAAGTAGGTCTACTTGAATCTTTAAAAAAATGGTCACATAGAAGAAACAAACAACGGATTCATTAATCTAAAGAGACAAGCAGTATATTTTTCAAAAGAAAGCCAATAGGGACAAAGGCTTAGGACAACAAATTGTCATTTTCATTATGTGTAAATTATGGGTATACAAATAGACTCACAGACAGGCATACACACACACACACACACACACACACATACATTTGCAAATACCTCTAAGAAAACAACAAACGTAGATGTCTTCTTTTGCTTTCTCTACTTTCTGCAAAAATGTTTTGTGACAATTCAGACCAGATATGCACCTCCTGTTAGATGTTCCACTGTGTCCCAGATTTCTCCTTGTGTGATCTTACCATACTTGTAATTACTGTTTCTATGATTGTCTTACCCATGATACCACAGACTATTTCCATTTTGTTCTTTTTTATTTCCTCCAACTTCTGTGATAGCAATTGTAGATACATGGTAGGCACTCAATAGATATTTGTTCACTGACTGAAAGAAGAATACATTGAAGATATAGTTTCAATTATAAATAATTTTTCTATTCATTTCACAGAATACCATCTTCAAAAATACATTAGTATGCTTTCTGTTCTGTTTTTCCTTGTAATAATCTTACTTCTATTTCACCGAAGGCATCTAATGCCTCAGGCCAACTAAAGTTGTCTTAACAGGAAGGCACATTGGAGGAGAAGAATGATGATCAGCTCTTAACAAATAAGAATTATAATGCTTGTCTATGTGGACATGAGTGGTAAAGCAAGATATTAGCCTCAAACAACATTCTTTGTGTAGTGATAAAGGATTTTCAAATTTTGAGGGCATTCTCATTTTTAATCAAAAGTCAGGTTCCTAAGGACTGCTACATGAGCCTCAATGAGGAGAGGACTTAGGATAAAACCTAAGGGAATTCACACTCACCGAGGGAGAAAAGATAAAGCATAGCATTTGTAAGACCTCAAGAGAAAGAAGACAAGTTATAGAGAGTAGAGGGCAAGGAACTGGATGACAGAGAGTCCTTGTTTCTTCCTCCTCTCTGATCTTTGGAGTTGAACTCCAAGAAGAGTAGTAGAAAGAACAAAGATAATTTGGGGTAGCAGGGAGTGAAAAGCAGAAAAGTTTTTTATCTTTCCTGGGTCCGCCCAGTTTTAACTCAGTGTGTGTAGACCACTTCACTCTACTATGAGCATGATGGAGGAAGAGAAGCAGTGTGGCACATCCAAAGGCAAAGGCTGGTATAAATGAGCGTTCCACCACCTCTTGACCCCCACAACTTGCCATTGGTTTCTTGTGGCATTCAAGGTATAGATGTTCCTCTCTTGCTTTTAGCAGAGGAACAAGAGGAATAGATTGGTGAGCCAGTCAGCCTGCTGTAGAATTATTTTGATGAGGTGAGGGTGACACCATTAAAACGACAGCCTCACCAGGTATGGGAAAGAGTGTCAGTGACTGCTGTGCTGGGACTAAGACAAATGGTGTGGGAGGGCAGAAAAGTAGAGACTGATAATTCATAGTCTTGTGCTCTGAAGTTTCATCAAGGGCAAACTCAGCAACAATTCACAGTGGTTAATGTACATAATGTCTGCAAAGGAGAAGACACATTTCTTGGAGAACCAGCATTTGAAAATATCAGACCAACTAACAAAAGGGCTAGCACAGGAACCACCTGCCCTATCCCTGCTGTCACAAAACCACCTATGTGCTTACTTGCATCTGAGAGTCTTCCTAAGTAGGGGGAAAGAAGAAAGGACATCAGCTGAGAAGAAATATCCTGTTAAGGTGTCAATTTTAAATTGGCTAAATATTTGCTGCAAAGAGATGGTTTTATATTCTGTTTACATTCAGATGACACCAAGTTTAGTTTCCTTGGTAAGTTTAAATATTAGCCACAATTTCCTTTCACTTCTGAACAGGGTGTAGGTGTTTTTTATTTTTTTTTTTTTATTTTTTATTTGTTGTTGTTGTTTTGAGACAGTTTCGCTCTTGCTGCCCAGAGTGGAATGCAATGGTGCGACATTGGCTCACTGCAACCTCCGCCTCCTGGGTTCAGGCGATTCTCCTGCTTTCGCCTCCCTAGTAGCTGGAAGGCACCTGCCACCACGCCCGGAGAAGTTTTGTATATTTAGTAGAGATGGGGTTTCCCCATGTTGGCCAGGCTGGCCTTGAACTCCTGACCTCAGGCGATTCTCCTGCTTTGGCCTCCTCAAGTGCTGGGATTACAGGGGTGAGCCACCTCGCCTGGCCGGGATGTAGGTTTGAATAGGAAAATACAGGCTCCATTGGGCCTCATGACTATTGTTTGACATATATTTTCTCTTTAATTTGTAGAATAATACCTTATAAGTCATTATTCCAATTTTGTAGATAAGAAATGATAATTTACTAGAGGTAAGAGCTATTAGGTCATGCAGTTGGAATTCAAACACAGATTTCTTTTTCTGTAAAAGCAGTCCTTAGAAATGCCATGACTCACTAATTTCCTCCCAAAGCAATAAACTTGATAAGATCTCTCATATAGTTCTCATTATTATAAGAGCTATTTATAAGCATTTGGCAGCCTCTCTTATTTAACATAGTAATAATAATAGTTTCTATTGTTTTCTAGCACTATCTAAATTGCTTTTAAATATTTGTAGCACTATTAAATTTTTTCACTAAGCCAAATTTGCATCATCTTATATTATAAATAACTTTGATGTTTTTTGGATTCAACCAGTGAGTCTTCGTGACTACCTTCACTTTCTGCTCATAACGATATGTGCAACATTTTGGGGAAAATTTTCCTACCTTATATGGTTTGCTGCGATTCATCTGCATATCAGTATTCAGCCACAGAATTTTCAGTTAGTGTTCTTAGTTGCAAACTACAGAAACCAAATCAGATGAACTTAAACACAAAATATTTATTGAAAGCATTTTAAGGCGTTCCTGGGACTAATGGAAAGTCTCAAGCTAGACCACTGAAGGCAAGGAAGAACCTGGTTTCTGCTACAGCAGCAAATGTGCAGATTGACACAGCTCAGAAGTAGGACACAGCCAACCCTGGATACGACAGCCAGGTGTGCTCTTCTATATCACCTGAGGAAGTATACTGACTCTTAACTGTATTTGCTTTCTAGGGCTGCCATAACAGCATACTGCAGATGGGTGGCTTAATTAACAGAAATTTCTTTTCTCACTGTCTAAAAGCTGGAACATAAAGGTGTCAGCAAGTTTGCTTTTTCTGAGCCCTGTCTCTCCTTAGCTTGAAGATAGCAGCCTTCTTGCTGTGTTTTCACATGGCCTTTTCTCTCTGCCCAGGTATCCCTTGTTGTTACTCATTGTGTCTGCATCTCTTCTCTTCTAATGACACTACTTACATTGGATTAAGACCTACACTAAAGGCCTCATTTTAACTTAGTCATCTTTTTGAAGACCATTATCTCCAAATACAGTCACATTCCGAGGAGTGTGTTAGAATTTCAATGTATAAATTAGGGAGGGGCAACACATTTCAGTCCATAGCATTGTCACAACACCCAAAGAATTTGACCAATGTATGTATTTTTTTTTAATGGTGTCAGATTTGGCTACATTATTACATGTTTTTGTGCAATTCAGGTGAAAGTATTTAATTTAAATTAATTTAAATTATGTATTATATCCAATAAAGAGTATTTTTTCTGTTTTTTCCAATGAAATGTAAAAAATGATTTTTATATGCATTGCTTTATAATAAAACCCTACAAAAAACTTTCACCAAAAACATCCCACCAAAGACATCTAATGCCTCAGGCCAAATAAAGTTGTCTTAGTAGCAAGGCACAGGGGAGGAGAAGAATGATGATCAGCTCTTAACAAATAAGAATTATATTGTGTGTCGACTATAATATATATCACTATATTTTATAGTTCTATGGCTTGATTTGGCTCAGTTGGGTAGATTTCCTTCATGGTTCACAAGTGATTATAATCATAAACCACAGGCTGGTGCTGGAGTTTTCTGAAGGTTTACCTGAGCTGGGTGTCTAGATGGCTTCTTCACTCACATTCCTAGCAGTTAAGTGGCAATGGCTGGAATAATGAGGACTGACTGGCGCCTGTTTGTTTCCATGTTTCCTCTAGCTTTAGCGTCCTCCAGCAGGGCAGCCCAGAATGGCCTCACTTCTTATAAGGCCACCAGCTCTACCTACTAACCTTTCCAAGAGACTCAGAAAGAAACCACAAGACTTCTTCTGTCCTTGCCTCAGAAGTCACTTTCACCGTATTCTATTTGTTTCATAGGGCCAGCCCAAATTCAACTTAGGATAGGACTATACAGCAGTGTGAATATCAGCGGCACAGTTATGTGGGAGGCCATTTTGGGTTCTAACTGCAACAATTATTTTGTAATATGATTGACAACAGTGACTGCAATATATAATATATATTAATATGTATTTGCATTGATAAATTAGGCAATATGGTAAAATGCTGACTATCCCCCAAAAAATATATCAGTAAGCATACAATTCACCCTGATACAAATAAGGTTTACCTGGTTGTTAAAGTAAAACTAAATAGAAAGCTCCTTAAATTTTCTTTCTATGTTGATAATCCCAATATCCTTTATAATTATATGCACTCTAGTTGCATAATGACAGTACTCTCATGTACACATTTTATGTAAGAAGAAATCCTAAGCCACTAGAGTGTTGCTTTTTAAGTTCTTTTCCTCCAATATAAAAAGACATAATCATCACATGTCATTAGCAAGAAACCTAAATGTGTCAGTTATTGTGATAGACAAAATGAATTATCTCATCATATTCTTACTGTAGTCTTATAAAATAGCTATTACTATGCTCTTTTTACTGATGAGGAGATGGATGAGGGGAGAAATTAAGAAATTTGTACTAGTAAACAGAGCCAGTCAATATCAGAGCTGGAATTTAATCTGCATTTGACTGACTCTATATTTTTAACTGAGTACCAGCTTTAGGTATCTTTAAGGTCAATCTAAAACATGTCTTATAATCAATCTATCATTTGGAATTAGTCCAACAGGCAGTGCAATATAAAGTCCATGGGTGTTAAGAGAAACTGACAATTGTACCAACAGACAATCACCTGCCTTGCCAATTATTGTTCTAGGGAACAGGGTCTTGCAGTGATGGTTATTTTACTGACACCTGGTGACGAGAATGGGAATTCTCTGAAGTAATCTCAAGTTAAATGTTACCTCATTTTTCTCTATAGGTAATGGAAGCATAACATCATTTGAATAGCAGATAGGACAATATTTCTGCAATTCTCATCATGGTGGCACAAGCATCACATTTTCTCTTGCCATTGGTATTTTGATAAAGTTTTCAAAAGTTACTGCAATTAGTGATCAGAACACTTGGGTACTGTGTTTGCTGATCAGACAGAAGACTATTAAAGCCAAAAGTATTAAAGAGCTAACAAGCAAAGCCATCCAATACAAGGCATGTTTTTACAAATTATATATCTAGTAGGCAGCTTCAAAATTAATAGTTGAAAGATCAGAAATCACCACAGATATCATTTGAAGACTTAAAAACATAACTGAAAATATTTTCTGAGGCATTAAATACAAAATCCTAAGCTAAGTTCATGTTAATAAACTTTAGTCTTATTTTTACAGAATGATAAAATAAACCTTTAAAAAAAAAGATGAGCCTGTAATCCCAGCACTTTGGGAGGCCGAGGCGGGCGGATCACGAAGTCAGGAGATCAAGACCCCATCTCTACTAAAAACACAGAAAAAAAAAAATTAGCTGGGCATGGTGGCAGGTGCCTGTAGTCCCAGCTACTCAGGAGGCTGAGGCAGGAGAATGGCATGAACCCAGGAGGCGGAGCTTGCAGTGAGCTGAGATCACGCCACTGCACTCCAGCCTGGGCGACAGAGCGAGACTCCATCTCAAAAAAAAAAAAAAAAAGAGAAACAGAGATGATAGTAATTATAGTAATTATACCCCTGCATTCTTGAACCACCCTATTTGAACAGCCAGTCTGTTAATACTATATAAATAATGTCTAAGAGCATAAAATAGACATTATTTTTAGTGGGCTGCTAACTCGGAGGGTACATGGATTACTTAATGTAGTCTATCTGGGAGAAATATAATTAAAAACAAAATTTCCTCCTAACCTAGAAATCCTCTCCACAAAGGTAAAAAAGGAAGAAGCCGTTTTTACTATTGAATAAGCATGAAATCAGAATGTGATGTGCATCACAGGCACTCCGCTAAGATATTGGAAAGGCACAAAGTGTCACCTTTTTATATAGGCAAGCAGACACAATGCATTACATACATGTTCTTAAGATGAATACTCACTAATTCTCAAGTAAGAGGACTTGGCAGTACCATTTGTCACACATAGTTTATCCTAAATTCACCACTGAGAATGAACTACATGTGACAATTGAAGTCACCCTCAGTGTTAGTTAATTTGACTTTCTTCAAAATGAAAAATAAACGTCTTATGTCTTTATGACAGTAGATAGTTTTGGAGCTATGCACCAGCTGAAGTTAGAATGCTGCCTTCCCATAGAAACTGGGAAGAAGTTTCTCACAGAAACTTCCTTGATGAGTACATTTCAAAGAGATGGTTCCCAGGTACTTGAGAAAGATATCCCTGGGCCTTAAAGCTGGATAGAGATTTATTTAGTTTCAAAAAAGATTTTCATACATGTCAAAGAGAGAAAGATACAGCTTACAAGTTTTCTAAAGTAATTGTTCTAAGAAAAGAGGGTGGGGGTCTCTCCCTTTAACAGGGAGAATTAAGCCTCTTTATTTTTTCTAAACTTTTACTTGCCCTTACCTCTACCATCTATAACTGCCTCTGATTTTGAAAATAGTGAATCAATTTATAAAAGAAGAGTCACATATGGATTCTATGAATATCAAGAATACTAGAAGCTATCTATATTTTTAAATAATTTATTTGAGGTTATAGATTTTGTGATTGGAGAGTGCTATTAGTTTCACACTTAAAAGATATAAATAGAATTTTTCTTGCATTTAACTAAAATGATCCTTTAAAAATTAATACACATATATAATATATTTTTGTGATATTTTTATTTTAACAAGGTTTCAAGATAGTAATATTCATTTTATTCACTAAGTCACTAGTGAAAAGGACTTCCTCTCATCATGTTTTATTCATAACTTCCTTTTTTACAGGGTTTCTGTAATTGCAAATTATTGAGATATAATATTTATTACTCATTACTTAATTTAGAAAAAAATGTATTGCTTCCTTATGTTTTTACCACTTTGTTTGACTTTTTATGATATACTCAATTACTCCATGAGAACTAGCTATATTAGGAGGACTTTTAAATAGTAAATATTTTAATAACTTTATGAGGCTTATTGTCTCAGTAACATGAATAAAACTAATAAGTAAGGCTACATTAAACTTGGATATTGGGAGTTTGGCGAGGCTCCCTCCCTGGTAAAGGGACTCAATCCTATAGGCACGTTTTTCTTATAAAGAATGCACTCCAAATTGTCACTTCAGCAACATGACAATTACAGCATCTTAAATTCGGTGGTGATAAGAGAGTGATTGTATAGTTACTTTATCCTCAGTGGTCAGAGAATCCCTCTTTGTGGAAGTGTACATGTTTCAGGTAAGTTCTGAATAGTAAAGAGCCATTTTTGGAACAGTCAGGGTGAAGAGCATGATCCTGATTTTCTTAAGTTAATAGTGGGGAGTATTGGTCACATTCTCAAATCTACGAGAAATTCAAAATTTAAAATCCCTATACTGAATTGAGTAGTGTCCTGCTGCACATTTCATTGTCCACTTGGATACCCAGAATGTGACTTGACATGAAAATAAGGCATGTGAAAATGTAATTAGTTAAGAGGAGATCATGAAGAATGAGAGTGGTTCCTGATTCAATGATTCGTATAAGAAGAAGAGAAAACACATGCATAGAGATGGAGAGGCAGAGGAAAATGCCCTGTGAAGGAGATGAATTTCAGTGATGTTTCTACAAGCCAAGAAGCGCCAAGGATTGCTGGCAACCAGGAGAAGCTAGAAGCATGGAACAGATTGTCCCTCAGTGCCTCCAGAAGGAACTAACACTTCTGACACCTTGAGTTTGGACTTCTGGACTCCAGAAATATGAAAGAATAAATTTCTGCTGTTTTAAGCTACCTAGTATGTGGCAATTTGTTACAGCAGCCCTAGGAAACTAGTACACTGTGTGATCCCAGAGGTTGGCAAACTTTTCTTTTTTCTTTCTTTCTTTTTTTTTTTTTTTTTTTTTTTGAGATGGAGTCTCACTCTGTGGCCAAGGCTGGAGTGCAGTGGTGCAATCTCGGCTCACTGCAAGCTCCGCCTCCCGGGTTCATGCCATTCTCCTGCCTCAGTCTCCCGAGTAGTTGGGACTACAGGCGCCCGCCACTACGCCCGGCTAATTTTTTGTATTTTTAGTAGAGACAGGATTTCACCGCGTTAGCGAGGATGGTCTCGATCTCCTGACCTCGTGATCCGCCCGCCTCGGCCTCCCAAAGTGCTGGGATTACAGGCGTGAGCCACGGCTCCCAGCCGGCAAACTTTCTTTTAAATAAAGTGCCAGAAAATAAATATTTTAGTCTTCGTGGACAACATAAGGTCTCTCTTGCATACTCATCTTTGTGTTAGTTTTATAACCCTTTAAACATGTGAAAACCATTCTTACCTTTGTGGAAGACAAGGAGACAAATTTTGGGCCAAATTTGACTCAGAGACAATAATTTGCCTACCACTGCCTTATTCTCTGATTCCATTGCTTTAGGAGAAGAGATTACATGGCCAAATACAAGTGAATAACCATGTCTTTGTATTAAGAGATGGAGTAGAGATGGGCAACTATAAATAAACATGGTTTGGAAAACTTCTCTCTCTGCACATTTTATCCCTTCCTTCCCCCTTCTTTTCTTCCTTCCTTCCTTCCCTCCCTCCCTTCCTTCCTCCCTCCTCCCTCCCTTCCTTCCTGAGGAGACTCTTTCTCCCTCTTCCTTCCTTCCTTTCTCTCTCTTTCTCCCTCTTTCTTTCTTTCTTTCCCTCTTTCTTTCTTTCTTTCTTTCTTTCTTTCTTTCTTTCTTTCTTTCTTTTCTTTCCTTTCTTTCTTTCATTTTTTCTCTATTTCTTTCTCTTTCTCTCTCTTTTCTTTTCACATTTATATTACATATTGCAATGCCTAGTTTAGAATTAAAGCTTAGTAAGTAGAAGATATCGCTGTTATTATTATGCCTGTGCTTATCATCATAAGGAATTGGATCATAATGAAATAACTGATTTGTTAAAATGGCCAGAGTAGAGTTATAATGGATCATTTTTATTACCATTCTTTTGTTTTGTTGTCTGTTACACATTGTGTATATCTGGTGTTTCGTTAAACAATCTAGTAACTCAGCTCAGTTAACGATGCTATGAAATAGGTTAGGGTGTGTTTTGGGGGGTGATTTCTTGGCCTAGAGAGGTAACATTAACTTAAGTAATGTACTAACCCATTTAAGAGGTTTTATTGGTTGCTCTGAGTTTATTTGTTATTTTTTGTTTGTTTGTTGGTTTGGGGAAATTCAAGTACACATTCATAAAGTTTCAAGTATATCTGAATTAAATTTTTAATTCTTCCCAAGTGAAAGCATAGAAAAAATAAAGAAGTGTAAAAGATTGAAGAAGAGGTCCTCAAATATAAACACTTCGTTATATCTTGAGGAGAATATCAGTGACATAGTTAACATTGGAATTAACAGTTATTATTGGTTCTATATCTTTAAAAAAACTACAACATCCTCTCTATTCTCTTTAATTCTTGAAGAAGACAGAGCTTAGGACCCATATATGCCATCTTTTCGTGGAGTGGTGACTTATCAAAAAAAAATAATATGCGATGGGCCAACTCTCCCATTTGGAAGGCTGGCTTTACTAGGCTTTATCATTACTTAACTCTTCTTGCCTTGCTGTCAAAGTTATACTGTGGGCAAAGGCTGAGGCCTGTCAAGAATAATTCCCCTCAGCTTGTGTAGTTCACCCAATACACCCACATCAGCATTCCACACTTAGCTATGTCTTAGAATGCCAAACAGTTTGATTTTTGTGTAGAGCATTTACTCTGGATATCTCTCTCCAGATCCTGTGGCTCTGTTTTTCCTGTTAATTATGTTTGGCTAGCTTATCAAATTGGAATGGTTACAGAAAAGATTAAATCAGCTGTTATAAACTGCAAAAACAAACTTTTTTTGAAGTTAAGAGATTTTAATTCAGAATTTTCTTATCACTTTATCCTTTCCTTCTTGTTTGCTTCACTGGTTGCTTACTAGTGAAAGGATTACATTAATTGAGTCAGTGAAACTACATTTTCTGCAGGAATTATAGAAAAGGCAAGTTTACCCAGATGCAGTGGTAAATGTTTCACTCAGTCATGTTATCAAGATTCTTTTGAGGTGTTTTTTTTTTTCTGTTTAATTTGATATATTCTCCAATGCTACAAAAATACAGACAATATAACCATAGTTCAAAATAGTATTAAATCAATAAATACAACATATTTTAATTTTTTTTCCAAAATCTATTTTTCATCAGTTTTAAAACTCCACAGGCAGAAATGTTTCTGACACCAGTTAAAACAAAAAAAAATTGGCTGAGGGAAGATTTCCTCTGCTTTTTAATTAATGTATTTTTTAATATTCTGCCTTGTTTCAAAAGAGAATTAAGAAGGCTCTGTAGATGACTTAATTACTTTTCAATGGAATGTATGCAAATACAAAATTGTTACCTCGTTATGAGTACAAAGTTAGTATAAAAATGTAATAGAGATAACAGAAAAAAAGATTCAAAAATATCTATTTAGATATGCTGCATTTATCCAATTAATTTTGTTATGGAAGAATATTTTATGAGTCAAAAAGAGAGAAAATAACCTTAATTCAACATTTTGTCTCTTGGCAGATTTTTCTCAAATGTATTCTGCAAAGAAATGTCTGGCTCTTAGATTTCTCCAGAGGAAATGAATTTTACAGAAGCCCTAAATTCCTCAATCCAATGCTTAAAAACCTACTGTTAGAAAGTATTAGTTAAGCAAATTTGAAATCTATTCTGTTGCTTTCTCAGCTCAGTTAATTCCCTAACTATAGGGAGTCAAGACGAAAGGACTGCACTGTTTGTATAGAAATACTTGTAATGCCCAGGTATGCTGCTCAGATAATATAATTCCATCAAACTTTGGGCCTCCAGATAGCTATAAGACATAGTGATGAATGAGGCTTCAGATAATCTCCTTATATAGGGAAGAGTATTGCAGAGCCAGGCACATAATTCCAAAGCCAGTACAAATATATGCACTAAACATTGCTTCAAAAGAATATAAGGAAAAATAAGTGTGATCAGTATCATTATTAAATTCTTTTGTACTATTCATATATCACAGTACACATTTCTGCAGTTTTACAATACTGCCATCCTTTTTTGATCTATGCAGTCATTTTCTTGTCTAAATATACGTGACTTTTCTTTTTCTTATTATTACTTTGTACTGATTTCCATAGAGACTCGCTTTGTGAGTTTTTCAAAATGTATTTTAAACATCTTTTTTCTTGTTATTACTTTGTACTCATTTCTATAGACACTCTCTTTGTGAGTTTTTCAAAATGTATTTAAAAAATATCTTGTCCAAGCCCACACACATAGACACAGAAATCTGGTCTACTAACATAAATTTATTGCTGAGAAGTTTGAAAAATCAGAGAACTCTGTAAGACAACATGTATATAAGTGATTGATTATTTAGTACACAGCCTAAGGAACATGGGATTTCTGAGAACAAGGAGATAAATGAGCTCAATTTCCACGTTTTACAGGAGTATCTCTTTGCTGAAGAAGATACAGCTGATAGAGGACAACCCTTCAGTCAGTGACAAACAGATAGGCTGGTTAAAGAAGTTAAACCTGGCAGGGCGCTTTTTCCTTAGATTTCTGGGCAAGCAAGCATGACATGGCAAGCAAAAAAATATTCACAAATGAAGGAATTTAAAACTAAACAGATCTGAGATCAAAAGATGACATTGACATTTAATTATATGGTTCTGCACAATTCATCTAAACACTTGGATCAACTAACCTCAATATTTTTAACAGTAACATTTAGATAATCTTCTCTTGCAGGGTTTATTTAAGGATTAGAGATTGCTATCAACATGTTTCTCATATAGAGTTTACTCAAAACATGATAGTTATTAAATTAATTATTATAATTACTATGAAGATCAGAAAAAGACTAATTCATAATTTCCTAAATTATGTACCAAATCATAATTTCCTAAACACTTACACCCAAATAAAACCGTCCTTTTTCACGGTGCACATAATTAGTGGCAATTTTGAAAATGCTTGTGAAACAGGTAAGTTCCATGTGTGACGAAGACATGGTATATTAGGCTTTTGTGATTCTTTTCTCAACAATGAAAAGATTAATAGAAGTCAGGCCGAATCAATATGTTCAGAGTTCTGTGACAGGAATAACTTTTTGTTCTAGACACTTTTGAAAGAGGGATTTTATATCTTAGAAAATAGTACATTTTAGAATTGCTCTTAGATTTTTCTAAGGTGGACTGTATATATAGAAAGACCTAGAAAATCTTTCCAGGGAAAAAAATAGTAACCATAAACCTGAAGAGATGTTTGGCCTCGTGTGGTTTTCACTTCAAGTCAGAGTCTTCATGGAAAAAATTGTGATAGAGGGACAGAAATGGTTAACTGAATTTCACCTTTCTCTGATTTCAGTTTAATTAAATGAAGCTGATAAATCATGCAATGAGAAAATGGCATTATTATATCAATTTAAAACCAGAATTCCTTATGTATAGAAAGGATAACATTTCTCTTAGAGGAAACACAGATGGTGAATCCTAAATTCTGCTTACCAATCTTTGTGAACCTGCACACAGAGATTCATATATTCTCAGATTTTTATGTTCTGAAGATATAGCATGTGCTAGATTTGACTCAAGCCCCTGTTACCCTTAAGGATTCATTATGATTTTCCAAATTTTATACATACAAATCTGAGGCAAAATTTCCCTCAAATTTCAGAGTTACAGATAATAAAGCATAACTTATTTTATGCCTCCGTGTTTTCAATTAGCTGAACTTATCAGTATCCAGCCTTCTATGGATGTCTATTTCTCTCTGCCTGATGTATCTGATAAAGATATGTGCTTGAGTTCATGTCCTTTGCAGGGACATGGATGAAGCTGGAAACCATCATTCTCAGTAAACTAACACAGGAACAGAAAACCAAACACCGCATGTTCTCACTCATAAGTGGGAGTTGAATAATGAGAACACGGAGAGCAACATCACAGATTGGGGCCTATTAGGGGGTGGGGGCTTGGGGAGGGATAGTATTAGGAGAAATACCTAATGTGGATGACAGGTTGATGGGTGCAGCAAACCACCATGGCACGTGTATACCAATGTAACAAACCTGCACGTTCTGCACATGTATCCCAGAACTAGAGAGTATAATTTAAAAAAAATCAAAGTCAAATTCTTATAAAACTCTCAGAAAATGTGGCCTAGCTCTCTTAAATAATTTCATTTTGCCCTTGGTATTTCCATTTCAGCTCCGCACCAAACCAGGAGTGAGCAACAGATCACTACAAATAAAACCCTGAAAACTAAGAGCAAGATTGAGTAAAAAAATGCATCCATCTTCTTCAGTCAGGGAACCAATGTGATATAGATTTGTCCTGAGCTAAACCTAAAGGGTAGCAAATTTCGTATTTGTAATCAGCACAAACTTACATTCTGTAGGAGTTTGGGTACATTTCTAGAAAGATCCCTGCCTATGTGGCATTTTAGATATGAAGTTGGCTATCCAAGGTTGCAGGTATTCCTTTAAATCTTCTGGTACCTACCTTTATGTAAGAGGAATCATAATACCTTCATGAAAAGAGGCCAAGCGCTATCATACCTTGATATCTCTTTCAGGCCTGAGATGAAGATGAGAATTGTTCATGAAGGATTATGGCAGTCATCATTTTATATCACACTGTGGAGTAAATATCAAAATGAGGAAACTACAAATCCTCTTAAATCTCAGACATACCAGTAGGCAAAGAAAACACATACACACATCCATATACAAAATTTAGTTTTCTTAAATAACTGATGAGGCCTATTCATATAAATATGTCATTTTCAGAATTTTCTAATCTGGCTTTTTAAAAATACCAGTTGTGGTAGCCACAGAGATGAACAACATTGATCATCTCTCATGGAAAACTCACTGTGCTGTGGCAAAAAGTACACTTAGCTGACAGCCTGCAGTTCCTAACATTTAGGATCACCTCAGCTTTTAAGTTGTGGCCACATTGTTCTTGGGAAGCCACCAACTAATTAATGAGCATAGTGGGGCCACTAGGATGAGGCAATTTTTCTCAGTATTCTCAAGAACTCTTCTATCAGGCAATTTTTATTCCAGAACTTCCCATGCTTCGGTGAAGACTCATGTTTCACTGCAGTTTGACACTGTCTCAGCTCAGTCTTGTCATTTCCGCAATTTCCTTGCTCAAAAGCATTACATCCCATATAAAACTCTACTATGACTAACTGTACCTCAGCATTTACCTCCAACATGACCTGATCGACACACCGATGTTTGATAAGACATTAATACAATTGTTGAACAAATACTTATATGGACAAACTAATTGATTTCACATGATATTCACAAATGCACATTATCATTGTAGAATTTCTGCTGCAGTTGAATTTGCTTAATATTATTTCAATCTGTATTCCTAGAGTTATATAAGAGCATGATACTTTCCCTAAAGCTTCCCTTTATATATCTATTGATTCTGGTGTTTTGCAAATTTTGATGTATTTGATATAATGCTGTTACAAAAAAGGTTTCATGTTGGAAAGAGAAAACGCTCTCTCCAGTCCTTCTTCAAGCCATGTCTCACACTTCCAAACTTTGTTTCTTCAAAAAGAGTTAATCCATTTTTTGATATTTAATAATGACCAGTTGGCTCTCTTACTGGAAACTAAGGTCACCCCAAAATTGAAAGTTAGAGGCATGAATATTCCTTTCTCTCTCATCTTCTACCCATGTTCTGGCTGGACCTTACTCTTCTGGTTAACTATGTGGCTTCCTAGAGTGTAAAAAATAATTGGGATTGAGGTTTATATTTTCAGGAGGTTTAATTGTCCTCCTATTTGGGCCTCAAGGTGAAGCTCCCCATATTAGAGTTTTTTCTACTGGGAATGGCAGTGGGGATGGTGATATTAGGACACCCTCATCTACCAATAACACAATTTGCTTTGCTTTGATTTTACCACTTGAAAATAGAAGAGGGATGGAAGAAAGAAATAGGGGGTGAAAAAGAGAATGTGAGGGAGAGAGAAAGAGGGAGAAAGGTTGGAAAAAGAAAAGGAGAAAAGGAAGGAAAGATGAAGGAAATAAAATTAAATAATGTATAGAAAAACCCTAGGGTCTAATAGATACTTAAAAAATGTTAACTTTAAAATAATTTATTTTGCACAGTTTTACAATTTCATTTTTCAAAAAATAATCTTGAGAAACAATAGTATCTACCATTTCATCAGGCAAGTCATACATTATTTATCTGTTTTGCTTTAACATTTTTAAAATTCAAGCAAAATAATAATGACCAGTGGATAAAACATTAGATAAATTATTTTTTACCCTTCATATATAAAGAAACCAATGATATGTGATATGCGTTAGAAAGCTAAAGCAATTCAAGAAGTTCACTTGTGCTCCTTGAACTGAGACACTTAGACACCAACTAGATTTCAAGTGGCAAAATGGAATTCAAGTTCCCATGAACACAGCAGTAACTTCTAGCATGATAGTAGTGCACTCGTGTGAGGTGGCTCAAGAAATGGGTTGTGGTTTTTAAGTAAGTTCACACTCCAATCACAATGAAGTTGTTATAACATTTTATATTAGTTATAGGGCTTGAAATAGCAAAACACTGAAATGTGTCAATGCTTTTATCTCCAGCATGTCTATTTTGGATAGAATGCAAACCTACTCACAAATTTTTATTTCGTATGCTTGCCAGC